>NC_000014.9:35975349-36278379 GCF_000001405.40 Homo sapiens
TAGATACTTGTATGCAAAATAAATAATAAATAAATAATCAACAAAACCCAAAACTGACCACATAACAATTCATAACTTGTACCATATACAAATACGAGCTCAAAATGGATCATAGACCTAAATATAAAACCTAAAGCTGTAAAATATATAGACAAAAACATAGGCAAAAGCCTTTGTGACCTTGGATTAGGCAAAGATTTCTTAGGTGTAACACCAAAAATAAAAATCAGTAAGTTGGTCTTCGTTAAAATTAAGAACGTTTGCTCTTCAAAAAACACTGTGAAGAGAATGAAAATATAAGCCACAGACTGGGAGAAAATATTTGCAATCCACATACCTGATAAAGGACTTGTATTTAGAATATACAAAAATCTCTTAAAACACAACAATAAAAAAAATCAAAGGAATGAGTTGAAAATAGCCTTTTTGAACATCTATCAAAAAACAAAAACAAAGAATTGTTTTTTAAAAGTTGTTTTAAAAATATTTGAACAGACATGTCATCAAAGAAGATATGTAACGATAAATAAGTACATAAAAAATGCCCAACATCATTAGTTGTTAGGGAAATGGGAATGAAAACCACAACTGATACTATTATATTACATACATATTAGAATGTCTAACATTAAAAGGATCAACCATACCAAGTGTTGGTGAGGATATGGATCAACTGAGACTCTGTTACATTGCTGGTGGAAATGTAAAATGATGCAAACACTTTGAAAAACAGTTAAGCATATACCTACTCTATGATGCAGTCGTTCTACTCGTAGGTATTTATTTATTTATTTATTTATTTTTTTTTTTTTATTGATCATTCTTGGGTGTTTCTCGCAGAGGGGGATTTGGCAGGGTCATAGGACAATAGTGGAGGGAAGGTCAGCAGATAAACAAGTGAACAAAGGTCTCTGGTTTTCCTAGGCAGAGGACCCTGCGGCCTTCCGCAGTGTTTGTGTCCCTGGGTACTTGAGATTAGGGAGTGGTGATGACTCTTAACGAGCATGCTGCCTTCAAGCATCTGTTTAACAAAGCACATCTTGCACTGCCCTTAATCCATTTAACCCTGAGTGGACACAGCACATGTTTCAGAGAGCACAGGGTTGGGGATAAGGTCACAGATCAACAGGATCCCAAGGCAGAAGAATTTTTCTTAGTACAGAACAAAATGAAAAGTCTCCCATGTCTACTTCCCTATCCACACAGACCCGGCAACCATCTGATTTCTCAATTTTTTCCCCACCCTTCCCGCCTTTCTATTCCACAAAACCGCCATTGTCATCATGGCCCATCCCCAATGAGCCGCTGGGCACACCTCCCAGACGGGGTCGTGGCCGGGCAGAGGGGCTCCTCACTTCCCAGTAGGGGCGGCCGGGCAGAAGCGCTCCTCACCTCCCGGATGGGGCGGCTGGCCGGGCGGGGGGCTGACCCCCCCACCTCCCTCCCGGACAGGGCGGCTGGCCAGGCAGAGGGGTCCTCACTTCCCAGTAGGGGCGGCCGGGCAGAGGCGCCCCTCACCTCCCGGACGGGGCGGCTGGCCAGGCGGGGGGCTGATCCCCCCACCTCCCTCCCGGACGGGGCGGCTGGCCAGGCAGAGGGGCTCCTCACTTCCCAGTAGGGGCGGCCGGGCAGAGGCGCCCCTCACCTCCTGGATAGGGCGGCTGGCCGGGCGGGGGGCTGATCCCCCCACCTCCCTCCCGGACGGGGCGGCTGGCCGACCCCCCCCCCCCGCCTCCCTCCCGGACGGGGCGGCTGGCCAGGCAGAGGGGCTCCTCACTTCCCAGTAGGGGCGGCCGGGCAGAGGCGCCCCTCACCTCCTGGATAGGGCGGCTGGCCGGGCGGGGGGCTGATCCCCCCACCTCCCTCCCGGACGGGGCGGCTGGCCGACCCCCCCCCCCGCCTCCCTCCCGGACGGGGCGGCTGGCCAGGCAGAGGGGCTCCTCACTTCCCAGTAGGGGCGGCCGGGCAGAGGCGCCCCTCACCTCCTGGATAGGGCGGCTGGCCGGGCAGGGGGCTGACCCCCCCTCCCCCCTCCCGGACGGGGCGGCTGGCCGGGCGGGGGGCTGACCCCCCCACCTCCCTCCCGGATGGGGCGGCTGGCCAGGCGGGGGGCTGACCCCCCCACCTCCCTCCCGGACGGGGCGGCTGGCCGGGCAGAGGGGCTCCTCACTTCCCAGTAGGGGCGGCCGGGCAGAGGCACCCCTCACCTCCCGGACGGGGCGGCTGGCCCGGCTGGGGGCTGATCCCCCCACCTCCCTCCCGGACGGGGCGGCTGGCCGGGCGGGGGGCTGACCCCCCCACCTCCCTCCCGGACGGGGCGGCTGGCCGGGCAGAGGGGTCCTCACTTCCCAGTAGGGGCGGCCGGGCAGAGGCGCCCCTCACCTCCCGGACGGGGCGGCTGGCCCGGCTGGGGGCTGATCCCCCCACCTCCCTCCCGGACGGGGCGGCTGGCCGGGCAGGGGGCTGACCCCCCCACCTCCCTCCCGGATGGGGCGGCTGGCCGGGCGGAGACGCTCCTCACTTCCCAGACGGGGTGGCTGCCGGACGGAGGGGCTCCTCACTTCTCAGACGGGGCGGTTGCCAGGCAGAGGGTTTCCTCACTTCTCAGACGGGGCGGCCGGGCAGAGGCGCTCCTCACATCCGAGACAGGGCGGCGGGGCAGAGGTGCTCCCCACATCTCAGACGATGGGCGGCCGGGCAGAGACGCTCCTCACTTCCTAGATGGGATGGCGGCGGGGAAGAGGCGCTCCTCGCTTCCTAGATGGGATGGCGGCCGGGCAGAGACGCTCCTCACTTTCCAGACTGGGCAGCCAGGCAGAGGGGCTCCTCATATCCCAGACGATGGGCGGCCAGGCAGAGACGCTCCTCACTTCCCAGACGGGGTGGCGGCCGGGCAGAGGCTGCAATCTCGGCACTTTGGGAGGCCAAGGCAGGCGGCTGGGAGGTGGTTGTAGCCAGCCGAGATCACGCCACTGCACTCCAGCCTGGGCACCATTGAGCACTGAGTGAACGAGACTCCGTCTGCAATCCCGGCACCTCGGGAGGCCGAGGCTGGCGGATCACTCGTGGTTAGGAGCTGGAGACCAGCCCGGCCAACACAGCAAAACCCCGTCTCCACCAAAAAAAAACGAAAACCAGTCAGGCGTGGCGGCGCGCGCCTGCAATCGCAGGCACTCGTCAGGCTGAGGCAGGAGAAACAGGCAGGGAGGTTGCAGTGAGCCGAGATGGCAGCAGTACAGTCCAGCTTCGGCTCGGCATCAGAGGGAGACCGTGGAGGGAGGGGGAGGGGGAGGGGGAGGGGGAGGGGGAGGGGGAGGGGGAGGGGGAGGGAGAGGGCTACTCGTAGGTATTTACTCAAGAAAAAAATGAAAGCATGTGTCCATACAAAGACTTGTACACAAATGTTAATAGCAGTTAATAACCAAAAGCACCTGCAAATAACCCAAATTCACCTTCAACAGGTTAATAAATTGTCATAGATTCAAACAATGGAACTACTTACTTATATGAACGACATGAATAAATTTTTTTTTTTGAGACAGAGTCTCATTCTGTCACCCAGGCTGTAGTACAGTGGTGCAATCTCAGCTTACTGTACCCTCCATCTCTCAGGTTCAAGTGATTCTTCTGCCTCAGTCTCCCAAGTTGCTGGGATTAACAGGTGCGTGCCACAGGGCCCACCTAATTTTTTTTTTTCTGTATTTTTTGTTAGAGACAGGGTTTCACTGTGTTGCCCAGGTTGGTCTCAAATTCCTGATCTCAAGAGATTCTCCTGCCTTGGCCTCCCAAAGTGCTGGGATTACAGGTGTGGGCCACCATGCTCGGCTGAGCAACATGGATAAATATGAAAATAATTACTGAGAGTGAAAGAAGCCACACTAAAAAGAGTACATACTGTATGATTTTACTCATGTAAAGTTCTAGAAAATGTGAACTATAATGACAGAAAGCAGATTAGTGGTTGTCTGGGTATGGGTGAGGCAGGAGTAAGAAGGCAGGATTACAGCAGTGCAGGAAGAATCTTTTGGAAGTGAAGATTATGTTCATTATCTTGATATGGGCAATTTTTTCACCTATGTACACATGTTAAAACTTACCAAATTGTATGCTTTCAATATGTATGGTTTATTAAATGACAATTATACCTCAATAAAACTGTCAAAAAAGGGCAACTTAGTGAGAAATTCTGTCTCTGAAGAGTTAAAAGTTGTCATTAGAAAATGCTCCACTGACTTGAAGTGTTTCTTGGTTCTCATTTGGAAATATAAAATGATGACTAAAAGCTACTCAACATGCATGCCAAATTGAAGCTGATTAACCTCTGACCTTTCTACATCATTTAATGAGGCAGCATGCGCGCTGGCACGAAGAAGGTTCTGTCAAAATGCTGAGTTTGAGAGGATTCCTTTTCTGCAGCTCTTTGTTTTGCTCCCAGCCCACCTAATTTGACTCTTGTCGTGTTCATATGAGGCCGAGGGGCTTTCTGTGAATCCCAATCAGTCATAGTTGTTGGCAGAAGCAGCCTGGTAGAGAATGATAGTGTTGTGGTTTTTCGTGTATAAAAAGATGTGTGTGATCAACAGAAAATAAAATTTCCTTTTGTCTCTGGTCAGTACCATTTAACAATTATTATGGTATTTGAAGAAAACGTCAGCGTAGTCATTTTGTTTAGGTTATTTTGCATCCTGATGAACCAAGAAAAGAGAGTGAATGCAGAGATAGGTGTTGTGTGATAGAGAGCTGACTGAATTTTCTGTGCTGTACACAAAGACTGAAAACAAATTGCCCACAGATTGAAATAATTTCCATGGGGTCACACATGTCAACAACATCTTTCAGAATTGGTTTTCTTTCACGATGTCGTCCAGTTATGAAAACGAGCCTCACATGAAATATGCTCCAAGCCTTTTGAGGGCAACTTGGAGCTTTTAGGGATATGTCATTCTTTATATTATTTATTTCTATTACTGTTATCATCATGATTACTACCATCATTGGACATTTACTGATGTCACATGCAGAGATTAAAAAAACAGGTAAACTACACATTTAAAACAATGTGAAAATTAAGGCCCCTTTTTATAGCTTCATTTAATCATGTGATGTCTGTATATGATGAAGTATCTATAATTTTCACATAAGCAATGGAGACTTTTCTTTCTTTCTCTTTTTTTTTTTTTTTTTTGTTGAAGTGGGGTCTCACTCTGTCACCCAGGCTGGAGTGCAGTGGCACCATCTCGGCTCATTGCAGCCTTGACTTCTTTGGCTCAAGCAATTCTCCCACTGTAGCCTCTCGAGTAGCTGGGACTACAGGCACGTGCCACCATGCCTGGCTGATTTTTTATTTTATTTTATTTTATTATTATTATACTTTAAGTTTTAGGGTACATGTGCACAATGTGCAGGTTAGTTACATATGTATACATGTGTCATGCTGGTGTGCTGCACCCATTAACTCATCATTTAGCATTAGGTATATCTCCTAATGCTATCCCTCCCCACTCCTGCCACCCCGCAACAGTCCCCAGAGTGTGATGTTCCCCTTCCTGTGTCCATGTGTTCTCATTGTTCAATTCCCACCTGTGAGTGAGAACATGTGGTGTTTGGTTTTTTGTCCTTGCGATAGTTTACTGAGAATGATTTCCAATTTCATCCATGTCCCTACAAAGGACATGAACTCATCCTTTTTTATGGCTGCATAGTATTCCATGGTGTATATGTGCCACATTTTCTTAATCCAGTCTATCATTGTTGGACATTTGGGTTAGTTCCAAGTTTTTGCTATTGTGAATAGTGCCGCAATAAACATACGTGTGCATGTGTCTTTATAGCAGCATGATTTATAGTCCTTTGGGTATATACCCAGTAATGGGATGGCTGGGTCAAATGGTATTTCTAGTTCTAGATCCCTGAGGAATCGCCACACTGACTTCCACAATGGTTGAACTAGTTTACAGTCCCACCAACGGTGTAAAAGTGTTCCTATTTCTCCACATCCTCTCCAGCACCTGTTGTTTCCTGACTTTTTAATGATTGCCATTCTAACTGGTGTGAGATGGTATCTCATTGTGGTTTTGATTTGCATTTCTCTGATGGCCAGTGATGATGAGCATTTTTTCATGTGTTTTTTGGCTGCATAAATGTCTTCTTTTGCGAAGTGTCTGTTCATGTCCTTCGCCCACTTTTTGATGGGGTTGTTTGTTTTTTTCTTGTAAATTTGTTTGAGTTCATTGTAGATTCTGGATATTAGCCCTTTATCAGATGAATAGGTTGTGAAAACTTTCTCCCATTTTGTAGGTTGCCTGTTCACTCTGATGGTAGTTTCTTTTGCTGTGCAGAAGCTCTTTAGTTTAATCAGATCCCATTTGTCAATTTTGGCTTTTGTTGCCATTGCTTTTGGTGTTTTAGACATGAAGTCCTTGCCCATGCCTATGTCCTGAATGGTAATGCCTAGGTTTTCTTCCAGGGTTTTTATGGTTTTAGGTCTAACGTTTAAGTCTTTAATCCATCTTGAATTAATTTTTGTATAAGGTGTGAGGAAGGGATCCAGTTTCAGCTTTCTACATATGGCTAGCCTGGCTGATTTTTTGTATTTTTTGTAGAGACAGGGTTTCACCATGTTGCCCAAGCTGGTCTCAAACTCCTGGGCTCAAGCGATCTGCCCGCCTCAGCCTCCCAAGTGCTGAGATTTACAGATGTGAGCCACTGTGCCTGGTCAGCAATGGAAACATTCTAAAAATTAGTTTTTAAAAGGAATTTTAGTACAACAGGCTGGGTGTGGTGGCTCATGCATGTAATCCCAGCACTTTGGGAGGCCGAGGCAGAAGGATTACTTGAGCCCAGGAGTTAATAAACTAGCCTGGGCAACGTAGTGAGACCCTGTCTCTATTTTTAATTAAAAAAAAATTAGGCCAGCTCAGTGGCTCACACCTGTAATCGCAGCACTTTGGGAGGCTGAGGCAGGTGGATCACTTGAGGTCAGAAGTTCAAGACCAGCCTGACCAACATGGTGAAACCCCATCTCTACTAAAAATGCAAAATTAGCCAGGCATGGTGGTGCATGCCTGTAATCTCAGCTACTTGGGAGACTGAGGGAGGAGAATCACTTGAACCTGAGAGGCAGAGGTTGCAGTGAGCTGCGATTGCACCATTGCACTCCAGCCTGGGCAACAAGAGTGAAATTCTGTCTCAAAAAAAAAGTTAAAAAACTTAATGTTAGTACAACAGTTATTGGATAATGACAATTAGTATCAGGTTAAAGCAAATCCTTCTAGGATCTTCCTATCATTATTACATAAAGTTGTTTAAAGGACTATAAAGATTGTTATGGGGAAAGGCCATGATGTAAGGTGATTTTCTTACTCATGCGCATGAATGAGGTACAAAACATAAACTCTTAGCAAGAAAGGACCACTTTGCCATCTATCTCACCTCTTTTAGCATGCATGCATACATTGAATAATACTCATGGAGTAGCTACTATCTAGGAATACACATAGGTAATAAGCAATCACTTGGTAAGGAAATGGCAGCACGGAGGTATGACCTGGGTATTTGAAGGGGCACAGAGAAGACTCCTAACTTCATGTTGCAAAAGAGTGGTGGTGTTCAGAAAAGGCTTTCTGGATGTCTCAGCTAAGATCTGAAAGACAAATTGGTGTTACCAAGGTAGAAGGAGTTAGGAGGTAGAGGAAGATCGAGGCAGTGGCCAGCATGCATGAGCACTCAGAGGTTAGAAAGAGTGGCCTGACGTGTTTGTAGAGCTGAATGTAGTCCTGTCTAGTTGGGGCACAGAATCTATGGAGGAATGGTGGGGCATGCAAGTGGGGAGGTAAACAAGGGTCAGAGTAAGACCTGCCATAAAGGTCAATGTAGAGTCACTCAATGCAGTAGTTTAAGCAGGGGACTCACTTGTTCAGAATTTCATTCTAGGGAAGACTTAATGTTGTTTGTTAAGAAGAAAAACAATTAGATTTGAAAACAGATGGTTTATAAAATATTATAACATTTTGTTAAATATATGAATATTAGCAAGTGTGATTTATCTAGCTCTTTTTAGATACATGTTTTGGGTAGTTTTCATTCTATTTCATTGTAATATGGCTTTTGAAATAGACTCATGTTCATGTGACTATATAATTCAGAATTTAAAACCACAGTTGAAAGGCTATTTCCCTTGGACTTGAGGAGACAGAAGCCTCTCCCATTTTACTAAACTAAGAAAAAAAATCTTTATACATCAAACACATTAATAGTGTTCTCACAAACACAGATTTCATGAAAACCAACTAAAATGAAATAGAAAAGAGGGCAGAATGCTGTTATACTTACTTATTATGTTAGTTGAGTTTGTATTTTTTGACTTAATAAGGAAAACTCAGTATATTTGGGAAGTGGAAATTAAGATGTCTAATATCTGTGTGTGTGTGTGTGTGTGTATGTATATATATACACACACATATATATGTGTGTGTATATATATACACATATGTGTGTGTATATATATACATATATATGTGTATGTGTGTATATATATATATACACATATATATGTGTGTGTGTGTGTATATATATATATATATATATTTTTTTTTTTTTTTTTTTTTTTTTTTGTAAAGACAAGTTCATGCTATGTTGCCCAGGCTGGTCTAGAAACTCCTTGACTCAAGCAATCCTCCCGCCTTGGACTCCCAAAGTGGTAGGATTACAGGCATAAGCTACCATGCCCAGCCAAGTATCTGTATTTTGAGGTCATGGTTTTCTATATAGCTGTGCATGAACCCATGTATGAAGTAGTTAATTTATGTATTCAGCAAACATTTATAAGTGCAAATATACCAAGCATGTTGCCAGAAGTATGAATGAAACAGGCAGATACAGCCCCTGCTCTCATGAGCACATGGTCAGTGTGTGAGGAAGAGACACATTGACTAACCAGTTGCAGGGATGGTGGCCTGTCGTCACAGTCAGTGCAAAGCCTCCTGATGTCTAGGGGCAATAGTTAGCTTGAGTGCCAGGTATAGGAAGGCGATTTAGATATCTCTCTCCAGTCTCTGAAGAATCTCTGTAAATTCTCCAACCTATATTTATGTTCAATGAGCTCCTAGCTTTTATTCAGTCATCAGCACTTCAGTCCTTTCTGATGTGGCTTATTTGATCAAGTCCAGTTTTCTTAAAAATAATATTTTTTTCCCTTGTGAGGTAGGAGTTTTGCTGAAGAACCTCATCTTTGGAGTGGTAAGAGGGCTGGCTCAGAAGTCACTTGACCACTGTAGGACCAAGGAAGAGGCTGGAAAGGTGGAGTTTGAAACATGCTCTTTTTAGAGAAGCTGTGAAGCTTGGTCATGGCCTGCACACTCTAATTTTTGGTGGTTGTCAAGCCCTGCACTACGTTAAACAGAATAGTTTTTTCCTCAATTAAAAGTGCTTTTCAATGGTTATTATCATTTTTGCTTTACAAAACTCTCATAGGTTGAAGTCCATATTCTTTTAAAATTGTTGAGCAAGGTGGGATCCATGGAGCTTAAATTGAATGACAGGCTCTGTGGTTCTTGTATTTACCTTAAATAATTTCTTATTTGCCCGTGCTAAGTCATGGGATTGGTTTGATTGCAGAGTAGGCTCTTTAATTAAATGAGTGGGTGTGAAGCTGGGCCCATACTGGATTTACTCCACTAAGGCATAGTTAGGCCTGTATCTTTTTATTTACTTATTTATTCATTTTAAACCTGTATCTTAAAAGCATTTTATGCATCTTTGAATGGAGTCAAATAATCATAGCTGGTGAAACATCATAGAGGTGACTTGTTTTGATTTCTTTAGTTTTTATTTGGTAATGAGATTTGTTTGAAGGTACATCTAGATGTGGGAAAGCAAATCTGTAGCACTGATTTGAATGTTTTTCATTCATGTTTTCACTGTGTTTCTTTCTTTTATTTTTAGAAACAAGTCTCCTCTTCTTAATTCCTGTAGCACATTTCCAGAAAGTTTGCCCCCTTAGCTTCTGGGGCTCCCTGATAAAACAGTCACAGCCAGCCAATGGCATGTGTGCTTAGTTAGTTGATGTACTGCAAGAAAAAAAAAACCCATATATGTGGCATAAAGTTGGGTTCATAAGCTGCATGTCTGAACAACTAATCTTTTTCATAGAGAGAAAACTGTATTTCATATAATTATGTACCCTAACAATTCAAATCCATTTGTTCACTACTGTTGGTGCATGACTCGTTGAAATGGATTTTTTTCTGTCAGGCTGCACTGTGGGTATGTATACACATTGAAGACAGTCTTAAATGCTTCCAAAGTTTAATTAGTGGAACATTACAGACACACAAGAAACCCCCTTGTGGTAGAGTTCTCTATTATGCTGCTCGCTCGTGCCTGATTTGCTTCAAATGTGGTTTCTCCACTTTAGAGAGAAACTGGTATATAAGGTGGCTCTGGGAATTAGTGGAACCTCTTAACATTTACATAGAGATATAGGCACGGTATAACTAATACATAGATCCTGTTTGATTTAAAATATTGTCACTTTTGTTTCCTATTTTGCAAAACCCCAAAAAGTAATTTGGTGGACAGAGCCAAAGGGAGTCCACAAACCATAAGAACAAATCACCCCCATCTGATGGTATTGTAGTTACAGAG
The DNA here is from genome assembly GCF_000001405.40 of Homo sapiens. NCBI lineage: Eukaryota > Metazoa > Chordata > Mammalia > Primates > Hominidae > Homo > Homo sapiens. The sequence continues at coordinate 35,985,994 of NC_000014.9, forward strand.
TATTTAACAATCCCATGTGACTCCTATATGCCAAAGCTCTTGTGATCTCAGAAACAATCAGTTGTTTATTTCAGTAAATTACTGGGCAGTGAGCTGTGGAAAACAATTCTGGCTTTGTTGCTGGGAAAAGCTGAGTTTAAGGCATGGATCTCTGCTCATTAGTTATGAGATCCTGAACACGTTTTTTTTTTTTCTTTCTTCACCTCTGTAAACTTTTGTTCATCTGTAACATGGGGCTAGCAATAGTACCCATCTGTGAGGGGGTTGTAAGGATTAAATGGAACAGTGTGGGTAAAATATTTAGAAGAGGCCCTGGCACATAGGCAGCGCTCAACAAATGTGGTTTTGCTTCTATCAGCCTCTCAGTTGCCTAACTGGGCCCTGAAGAAAGAGGACCTTCGCTGTAAATTTGCTTGTGGTTTTGCTTGTGCAGAAGTTTGCCTGCCTGAGAATGGAAAGCTGTGGCAGACATTAACCCATGTTCTCAGAGCAAGGGGGACCCTTAGGGGGAGCAGGATGTGGATGGAGAATGCTTTGCCAGGGATCAAAAGACATGGACTCTGGTCCAGGGTTCAAAACTATGTGACTTGAGATTTTCTGGGTTAGTTCCTCTCTCTCAGTGCCTAGCACACAGTAGGAATTTGTAAATATTTGTTGTCTAGATTAAAGAATTAATCCGTGAAATGAAGTGATTGGATGGAACCATTCAATCCATATCCTCTTACAGGGCTCCCCTTCCTAATGGAGAAAGTTCCTTAATGAATGGACATCTGCTGTCTGTCATGTAGAGCTTTCTATGGACACTTCCAGTTGCTCTGATTGTCAGGGGCTCCAGTTTTGGGTGGTAGCATGCTTCTGGGAATGGTAGTGGTTTAAGGAAGAAGTTTGAGAGGAGTAAAGAGATGGCTTTGTCAGAAGATGCTAAAAAAAGAAGTAGAATGCTTCCATAGGCAATCAGCCCTGTACTCTCCATTGTCCCCAAAGCACAGGCCTGCTCTATCTCCTTGGCATTCTCCATAGCTAGGACTTCTCCATAGTCCAATCAAACTCTCCCTTTTATGTTTATTTGAATCCTTTGGTAATTCTTTTTCTCTTCAGGATTGCCCTTGGAATTTTAACCCAACAGCACAAAACGTCTTCAACGAGGGCAAGTGTAGGGGAGGGGAGCAGTGAGATGATTTAACTTCATCATGAACTATTAGGAATGCATCTGGGCCCTAAGGAGTTTCCAGGGCTGATGGTGCTGCTTTCTTTCTACTCTTTTAGGGTTGCCCATAAGAGCAATTCATGAGAAGTTGTTCTCGTGTGCTGTGCTCCAGTGTAATTTGAGGTGGATTTCTTCCACACTCATTATACTTGGGTATGTGAGGTTGCCAGGATCATCACAGAACTTGAGCTGTCTCGTTCTTCAACTTTGGGCGACTGAGGAAAAAAGGAGCTAGAATGGTGAGAAATGAATTTTGGACAGGTCTGAGGAAGTCAGAAGTGAATTCACCTTTGCAAAAATTATAACTCAGAACATTATTACAGTGAAAGAGATCCGACTTAAATGACTCCATCTTGCTTCTGACCTTCAGGCTGCGCTTGTTCTTTCCTGGGTGTAGGTGAAATAACTTTTGGAGGAACTTAGTTTATAGTTTACCTTTGAAACAAAGTTACAGCTGACAATAACATCCCTTTCCCCAAACAAATCCTCTTCCTGCCTAGGGACTAGACAGCCTTTGCAGGATTAACAAATTAGCCACAAAATTTGAAATTATGGTTTAGGAGTCATGCAGCTGGAGGCTGCAAGATTCTGAACCTCCCCAAATTGCTCCTGGGAATAACATCACTATTGTAAAACCTAAGATTAGGGCTTGAGATATTTTGCAGACCTTGTACTCAGTGGGTCAGCTGGCACCACTCAGATCGATAAACTGGCTCATGTGGTCTTATGGCCCCCACTCAGGAACTGACTCAGCACAAGAGGACAGCTTTGGCTCCCTATAATTTCATCTCTGACCTGACCAATCAGCACTCCCCACTTTCCAACCCCCCTACCCACCAAATTATCCTTAAAAATCCCAATCTCTGAGTTTTGGGGGAAACTGATTTGTGTAATAATAAAACTCCATTCTCCCTTACAGCCGACTCTGCGTGAATTAAATCTTTCTCTATTTTTTTTTTTTTTTTTGTCTGTTTGTTTTGAGACAGAGTCTCACTCTGTCGCCCAGGCTGGAGTCTTGTTCTGTCTGCCAGGTTCAAGCGATTCTCCTGCCTCAGCCTCCCAAGTAGCTGGGATTACAGGCGCCTGCCAGCCACCACACCCAGCTTATTTTTGTATTTTTAGTAGAGATGGGGTTTCACCATGTTGGCCAGGCTGGTCTCTAACTTCTGACCTCAAGTGATCCACTCACCTCAGCCTCCCTAAGTGCTGGGATTACAGGTGTGAGCCACCGTGTCCGGCCTAAACTCTTTTGTATTGCAGTTCTCCTGTCTTGATAAATCAGCTTTGTCTAGGCAGCAAACAAAGAGAACCCATTGTGTGGTTAAAGCAGTTTAAGAAAATAAAGTTGAGATAAAACATAGCATGATATTTAAGACTTACTGTGTATCAGGTATTGTATAAGCTTCTAAAATACATCACTACTCTCAATCTTCAAATTATCTTATGACACGAGTAATGTAGATATCCTTATTTTACAGATGACAAAACTGAGGCACAGAGAGATGAAGTAAGTTGCCTAAGGTCACACGGGAAGTGGCAGAACTGGGATTTAAACTTAGAAAGTCTTGCTGCAGAACATGCGCTTTCGTACAGCTAGCATTTAGGGAAATGCCATAGCGATACTCTGGTTGCCTTCAGCTCGGGCAGCATAGGACCAAGTCTTGCAGGGTTCCTGCACCTTGAACAATATCCAGAATTATACAGAAACATTTGGACCTCCACGAGAGCCAAAAATAGACCAGCAAGGGCAAATGACTCCTGTATCTACTTCTGAATGCGTGGTGTCCCAGGCTGTCATTTCTATTAGAGATGTACTTGCCTTCCTAGGGTCATAGTGCGGTGCTTCAAGCCACACCTTCACTCTTCTACCCCGCTGCCCAACCACTGTCAGCTCCAGCCATCACCATTCTACGCCATTTCACTCCACAGCAGCTGGAATGGCTGACAGTGTTCCAATAATTGTCTTAGTTTTGGCGAGTGTTCCACACTCAAATACATCTGCTCTTTGTTCTCAGTGCCTCCCAGAAAATTCCACGATAGATAAAAATAATGTCTAGGTCCCCACTCTTGTTTGCCTCTAGGTGTGGCCATATGACTCATGCTTGCCAGCGGCATGTGAGCAGATGGGGTCTCCCAAGTCTGGGCCTTAGGACACTGAGCATGCACTCGTCCACATGCCGTCTTTCCCTTCTGGAGAGCTGGAATATAGAGGTGCCTATGACTCTGCTTTGATCAAGCAGGAAAGGGCAACACCCTAGGCTCCTCCTACTCAGAGTATGCTTCATATCCGGGCAGCCAGGCATCACCTGGGAGCTTGTTAGAAATGCAGACTCTTGCCAGGCGTGGTGGCTCATGCCTGTAAACTGAGCACTTTGGGAGGCTGAGGTGGGTGGATTGCTTAAGGTCAGGAGTTCAAGACAAGCCTGGCTGACATAGCAAAACCCTGTCTGTACCAAAATATACAAAAATTAGCCAGGCGTGGTGGTGCATGCCTGTAGTCCCAGCTACTCGGGAGGCTGAGGCGGGAGAATCACTTGAACCCGGGAGGTGGAGGTTGCAGTGAGCTGAGATAGCACCACTGCACTCCAGCCTGGGTGACAGAGCAACACTCCATCTCAAAAAAAATGCGGCCTCTCAAGCCCTATCCCAGACATCAAATCAGAACCTGCATTTTTAACAAGAGCTGGATGATTCACACGCACATTAAAATTTTATGAACCAACAGCGTAGAAAAATCCTGGTTCTCTGAGTGATCACATGGAGCATGGCTTCCCTGATGACTGTTCCTCTCATTTGAGGAGTGTTACAGCAAGAATAGCATAAGCCTCTGTGGTAAGCCACTCTAATGTGGGGTCTGTTTGTTACAATGGCTTAGCCCTCATCCTAAGTAATGCTGTATTGTTATCCTGGTTTTAAGGATGAGAAAAGTGAGATTTAGAATGTGTACCTTCAGGGCTCTGACAGGAAGCAGGATTCAACTTGAGTGGTTTGAACAGAGATTAAGGATGGAGGGCTGGTGTAAGGGCAGGGTTAAGGACAAAGTGCTCATGTAGGGTTTTTTTCCCAGGAAGCTTGGCAGTAAAGGGAAGGAAATCAACTGGTGGCTGAAAGTAGCCTGGGGGTCAGGAACCTGAATATATTGGTGGGCAGTGGGAAAGGAACCAGTAGAATGGAAAAGATCAATGTTAAGGGAGGGTTTGATGGGATCCTGAAGGAGGGGAAGAACAAAAGCATGGTCTAGGCCAGGCGTGGTGGCTCACACCTGTAATCCCAGCACTTTGGGAGGCTGAGGCGGGCAGATCACTTGAGGCCAGGAGTTCAAGACCAGCCTGGGCAACATGGTGAAACCCCGTCTCTACTAAAAATACAAAAATTACCAGTGCATGGTGGTGCACGCCTGTAGTCTCAGGTACTCTGGAGGCTGGGAGGCAGGAGAATCGCTTGAAGCCGGAGGCAGTGGGCTGAGATTGTGCCACTGCACTCTAGCCTGGGTGACGGAGTGAGGTTCCATCTCAAAAAAAAAAAAAAAAAAGCATGGCCTGAGGGGAGAGGATGTTTCCTCTGAGATGGGGGAAAGCGATAAAGATGTGTGTGGAGGTGGTCAGTGTGTGATGTGTGTGTGTGTGCATGCCTGTGTGAGTGTGTGTGCATGAGTATGACTAGGCTTGAGGGAACTCATATCTTCTCTGTGAAGTGGGAGACGAGGTCTTGTTCTGAGAGAGAAGGGGCCATTTCCTGCACTAGTTTGAGGAGACCCTGTGTGAATCAGTGAGGGAAAATGGTGAGTAGATGTGGGGCAGGGCTGTGTGTAGAGTGAACATCTTGACTGCTTTAAGTCTCTCTGCTTTGTTCCTGGGCACAAGGTGGTCAAATTGGAGAATCACTGTGGTCTGGTAGGAAGTTGTAGTTTTTGATGAGGAATATCCTATATTAGATACAGTTTGGTAAAGAACTTCCTTAGAGTAAAATCTGGACAATGGCATCATATCCTGAACAAGCACATAATATTTGAGGCAGTAAAATGGCATGATAATTTCTTTGTCCTTTGGTAGAAGCTGCACCCTGGACCCTGGGCTGAAGCCCACATGTTCCCCTGGTTGCTTTGAGAGAATGAGACCGTGTACAATAGAGTGTCCAGCTTTCGCTTCACTAACTCAAGCCCCTGTTCAGAATTCACATGTGGGAAAATTATTTGGAAGATGCCAATAAGGTTAGAGCTGACTGCCAACAGTTCTGTGTATTGTATGCCAGACAGCCTGGAAAGGTGGGGACTTGGCCTGGGGGACTCAAGGTGCTTGTCACCTACTCAGCAGGCTCTGGCTGGCAATGCCCAGGTCCCTGGGACATTGCCATCTGATAATCATCTCCACATTAGCTGGCTTTGCTGGCCAAACCATCAGGCCAGCTGGTGGCTTCTCTTTGGCAGCTGTTTCAAGAAAAGGATTTCTTTTACAGAGACAATGGATTTTTTCATCCATGTTTGAATGGATTTGGGGGTCTCTCCAAGAGTGCTGAATTGTCCAACTTAAAAAAAATAAGTGAACAGGGACACATAATTTTTGACCTGCCTATAACTTCTGACTCTACGTCTACAGAGTTAAAGTGCTCCACTTTGTACCTGCTGTATGTAACCATTTCTGAATGATTTTTTCATGTTGGGATATCATGTTGTATATAGGCAGGGGATGATTTTAGAAGCATTATTAAATGTTATCACAAGTTTCACAGAAAGATTTATATTCACATAAGATAATATGGTATAATGCATGAATTACTAGATATTTAATTACATAATTTTTTATATAAATTCATTAAATACTTTTATATAAAATTTTTAACATTTTTTTCTTAACTTGAGGAATAACCAGGCCTTCTTGGGAGAATAACCTGTTCTGAACACTGTTTCTTTTTAACAGAAAAAACAAACTTGATTATCTAATCATTTATTAAATAGAAAGAAAAAATTAAAATTTAGTTAATGGAACAATCATCTGCTTTAGGTTTGTCATATATTTCTGGCTAAGGTAGTATATTGATTTTGCTTTGGAAAAAACTTTATTAAATATATTTTCTAGTTATAGGCAAACATATAAAAAATAAGCATGCATGAAAAAAGTCCTCATAGATGTTGTTAAATGGAAAAAGCAAGTTATAAAATAATACATATCGTGTGATTCCCAAACTTATAAAACAAATAAGTAATATATCTACATACAGATATACAGAGATGCATTTGCATGTATCTAGGTGTGTAAAAAGTGATTGGAAGTAATGCTGAGATTTTCATTTCATTTATTACTGACTTTCTTGCATTTACTGTTTTCCTGGATACAGGTACTTCTCATGTGTGAGCAGATGGGCGTAGGTTCTTAAAAATAAAGAGCATGATGCTTCTCAGATGAGGGTGGTAACTGAGACCTCTTGATGAACTTAAAGTGCTGGATGTCACATTATTTTCCAGGAGGAGTTAATGACGCAAAATTGGAGGCCTGAAATAATTGAACCCTCTTGTTTTCCTCAAAATAAAAAAAATGTGTATGCAGGGTATTCATTTATTTCTAGTTGTTACACTGTCGGCACTATATATTTGAGGGTTGGATAAAATTTACATAATCAGAAAAAATTATTAAAAAGTAAAGGAAATTTCCAAGTGATGACTACAAACAATTTGTTAACCTATGGAAAATGTACCTGATTTTAAGTCAAACAAATCGCATTCACCGCATTAAGAGGTACTCTCATGAGATGATGGTTAAGGAAATAAAAATGGAGAGAGGCCAAGGATGAAACTGAACATGTGGCACACATTGCCACTGTGTGTCTCTGGCTGGTCTTACACCCATCACAAAGGTGCATGTCTTGGGGTGTGGCAAATTGTTACAGGGAAGATACTAAGTGCTGAACAGATTCTGCTTTATATAGCAAAGACATTTTATTACAGTCTTGGAGCCAATGTAGTCTGATTATTTGAAGACTTAAAAACACACCCACAATTTAAAGCAGGCCGGAGGGATGCATGTGGTGAGATATCAAGCCCAAGGCAATTTATTGGCAGAATTAAATTCTGGCTAATTTCCTTAGTGCCAGAGTGTCCAGTGCTCTCATTAACTGCACTAGTTAGCAATGGAAAATTCGTCTTTCAGTGCAAGGCACTTTGCTGAAGTGGAGCCAGCCTCCTGAGAAGTGCCTGGAAGATTGGTTTGGAGTATTCTGAAGTGGTTTGGGGCTGCCCAGAGTCTCATGGGCATGGTACAGTGACTCCTGTGAGGGACTCCTTTGGCCTCAGAGGTAGGTTCTGAAATGAGGCCTTGTGCTCATGCCAGGCCCTGTTGCTAAGACAGCTTCTGTGTGTTACTGTGTGGGAAAAGGAGGTTCAGCTCCATGGCCCACCTCCCAATCACTGGGAGAGGAATGTGAAAGGCAGAGCAGGGGACCTGGAGGAGGAATGCGCAGTGATGGAAGTGCAAAGGCAGGAGATGGGTCTGGGAAAGACTCCAGTCACGGTCACTTCCAGGGCAGAAGAAGCCATAGTCAAGGGTAATTGCAAGCCAGGGAGCATGCAATTTATTGAGTTCAGGCATTTTGGGAAAGCGTAAAGAAGTGAAGGATTGGGACATGAGGCAAAGATGCCAAGGTTTGCTGCAGTGAGATGCGGGAAGGGTAAGCTGGGGTGTAATGGTTGGGAGGTAAAATCAAAATGCCTTTGGATTTACAGGGTGAGTGGTTACCCATGCAATGCAAATTTTAGAATGTTCTCTGTGATGACTTCTGCATTTTTACCCAACAAACTCCCATTATCCTATTGTGTTTTCTGTTTGCTAATGTAATCAACAAAAGGAATGCCTTTATTAAGTGACACTGAAGTAAAGGAATGACCATATTTATCCTTCCTTCCTTCCTTCCTTCCTTCCTTCCTTTCTTTCTTTCTTTCTTTCTTTCTCTCTTTCTTTTTTTCTTTTCTGACGGTGTCTTGCTCAGGCTGGAGTGCAGTGGCATGATCTCGGCTCACTGCAATCTCTGCCTCCCAGGTTCAACCAATTCTTGTGCCTCAGGCTCCCAGGTAGCTGGGCATGCGCCTCCATGCCTGAGTAATTTTTGTATTTTTAGTAGAGATGGGTTTTCGCCATGTTGGCCAGGCTGATCTTCAACTCCTGACCTCTGGTGATTCACCTGCCTCAGCCTCCCAGAGTGGTGGGATTACGGGTGTGAGCCACCGCACCTGGCTTTAACTTCAGTCTCTAAATTGACTTAACAGCTTAATGCAATGAGATGGGGTGGAGATTAGGGGCTATGGACAACTGGACTTTGTCCATATTGGAGAACATGGCTGTCAAAGAGATATGCATATCTCACCCTTCCTGTATGCTATGGTCTGAATTATGTGTTCCTCCCAAATTCACATGTTGAAACCTAATTACCAAGGTGATAGTATAAAAGATGGGGCCTTTAGGAGGTGATTAATCATGAGAGGAATGCCCTCATGAATGGGATTAGTACCCTTTTAAAGGGCTTGAGGAAGGCAGTTTGGCCTCTTTTTTGTCCTCTTGCCCTTCTGCCCACTGCCTTTGAAGACACAGCGATAGGCACCATCTTGGAAGCAGAGAGCAGCCCTCACCAGACACTGAGTCGGCTGATGCCTTGATCTTGGACTTCCCAGACTCCAGAACTGTAAGGAATAAATTTATGCTGTTTATAAATTACCCAGCCTCAGATATTTTGTTATAGCAGCACAAATTGGACTAAGGCACTATGGTAAAACACATGGCAGAAACACTTTGGATTTATCCTGTAGGAGTTCACCTTGGGACTATGTTTATTTTCCTTTCAAGAAGTGTTTTTCCTGGCTGGGCGTGGTGGCTCATGCCTGTAATCCCAGCACTTTGGGAAGCCGAGGCAGGTGGATCACCTGAGGCCAGGAGTTTGAGACCAGCCTGGCCAACCTGATGAAACTCTGTCTCTACTAAAAATACAAAAATTAGCTGGGTGTGGTGGTACGCACCTGTAATCCCAGCTACACAGGAGTCTAAGGCAGGAGAATTGCTTGAACCCGGGAGGTAGAGGTTTCAGTGAGCTGAGATCATCCCACTGCACTCCAGCGATAGAGTGAGACTCAGTCTCAAAAAAATAAATAAATAAAATAAAATAAAAAAGTGTTTTTCCTTTTGAGAAAGGAGAGACTGTTTATGTATTACTTCAGGCATTGGGATGATGCCATCCTGGGATGCGAGAAACTCTGAGATGAAAGAACAAAATGGGTCAGGTGTGGTGTCTCACTCCAGTAATCCCAGCACTTTGGGAGGCTGAGGCGGGCAGATCACTCCAGGTCAGGAGTTCGAGACCAGCCTGGCCAACATGGTGAAACCCCATCTCTACAAAAAATACAAAAATTAGTTGGGTGTGGTGGCGTTTGCCTGCAGTTCCAGCTACTCAGGAGGGTGAGGCAGAAGAATCGCTTGAACCTGGGAGGCAGAGGTTGCTGTGAGCTGAGATTGCACCAGCCTGGGTGACAGAGCGAGACTCTGTCACACACACACACACACACACACACACACACACACACACACACACACACAAAATACAGGATGGTTTGAGACATGGGATATCGTTGGAGCTAACGAGAGAGAGTGTGATTAGAATACCTAGAGTACAACCAGAGAGTCACAAGAAGAGAAAAAAGAAAGGAAGATTTGGAAAAGTTAAAGATTCTGCTAGGAATTGTAGTGTAGCTGTGAGAAACTGAACAAGTTAGAGTAGACTTATCAGTAGATGTCTGGAGGAACCAAGTAGAATGATTTATTTTATATGCCTAAGAAAATGGCTGTAGAAAATAAATACAGGAAATAGGAGTCAGGATAGAATAGGGAGTCATCCTTCAAAGGATCCCCCAAGTCCACAAGTTACCAGAGAGAGCGATTTCATCTATTCTGATAGACATGCTGTTTTAGGATGAGAAATTCCCTTAGTGAATATGGCATGTAGTGAGCTATGAACAGCCAGATGGTAAAATTTTAATGTTTATATACTATTTACTTATTTACTCATGCTCTGTGGTTAAAGAGGCTCACATTCTCACTTACTTTTTGCTGTATGTTGCTTCTGTCTCTGTAATTCTTTGTGTGTTAAAATGCAACCTTTTTTCAAGATATCAGTGTCCTTGCCCCTCTAATAAGCTTCCCTAGCTCATAGGAAAGAAAGGGCAATCTTGTGGCTAGAGTTTTGTCTGATGCCATTGGAAAGTATAAACAACAGTTTGGGCAAAGTATTATGAGGAGTCTTTCAGTAACATCTAGTTTGCAGATTTAAATATAATAGGGAATTTTCTTTTTTAAATAAGATTCCCCCCAGCTCTATTAAGGTATAAATGACATGAAATTATATATATTTATTGTATACAATGTGATGTTTTCGTATATATATATGTTGTGAAATGATTAAATCAAGTTAATTAACACATACTTACATTTTTGTGGTAAGAACATTTAAGATCTACATTCTTAATTTTAAAGTTTGTATTATTATTAACTGCAGTCACCATACTGTACAAGAGATCTCCAAAACTTATTCATCCGACTTAACTAAAACTTTGTACCCTTTAACCAACATCTCTTCCCCACCCCCACCATCCCGGCCCTTTGCAACCACCATTCTACTCTCTGCTTCTATGACATTGACATTTTTAGATTCCACATATAAGTGAGATCACGCAGTATTTGTCTTGCTATGTCCAGCTCATTTCACTTATCATCGTGTCCTCCAGATTCATTATGATGTTGCAAATGGCAAGATTTTTTTTCCTTTTCAGGCTGAACCGTATTCCTATGTACATAAATGCCACATTTTCTTTATACATTCATCCTTTGATGGACTAGATTGATTGATTCCATATCCTGGCTATTGTGAATAATGCTGCAGTGAACCTGGGAGTGCAGATATCTCTTTGACATAACTGATCTCATTTCCTTTGGATAAATACCCAGAAGTGGGATTGCTGGATCATATGGTGGTTCTATTTTTAACTTTTTGAGGACCCTCCAAACTGTTTTCTATAATGGCTGTACTGATTTTCATTCCCGCCAACAGTGAACAAGGGCCCCCTTTTCTCCATATCCTTGCTAACAATTGTTATCTTTCATCTTTTGAATAATAGCTATTCTAACAGGTGTGAGCTGATATCTCATTGTGGTTTAGATTTGCATTTCCCTGATGATTAGTGATGTTGATAATTTTTTCATAGACCTGTTGGTCATTTGTATGTCTTCTTTTGAGAAGTATCTGATCAGATCCTTTGCCCATTTTTTGATCAAGGTGTTTTTTTCCTTGCTACTGAGTTATTTGAATTCATTATGTATAATTACTTTGGATATTAACCCCTTATCAGATATATGGTTGGCAAATTTGCAACATGTAACAAGCCATACAGGGCAAGGTGGCATCATTGAGTAGTTCTAGGCAAGAATCTTCTGACTCCTTAGCCTGTGTCAGAGTGTGGTTCTAGGACCATCTGCATGAGAATAACCTGTTAGAAGATATATTACACGTGAAAAGCCTTCTTAAAAATGCAGATCCCTAGACCCCAGTCCTGCTGAGCAAAAATTCTTGGGAGTGAGTCTCAGTAATCTGAGTTTGCGAACTTTCCAGATGATAATAATCCACAATAAAATGTGCAGATCCCCACCTTAAGGGAAGGAAGAGGATACAGAATACCTTGCCCCCACTTCTTATTGCAGCCGGGTCTGCTGTGAATTCTCTCGGTTTTGGAGACCACATTTTAAATTCTTGCTATCAAAGCATGGTCCGTGGACCAGCAGCATCGGCATTACCTAGGCATCTGTTAGAAATGTAGCATCGCAGGCCCCATCCCAGACATACTGAATCAGAATCTGCAGTTTAACAAGATTGCCAGGTGATGTGCATGCGCAATTAAAGTCTGATGAGCACTGCCCCGCGTTACGCTAATGTCAAACAGCAGGGAAAGGATTGAGCTGGCAGGTGTAAGGGCTGGGCCCAATAGGTAACTCTCTTTTCCCTCATCTCCCAACCAACTGACAGACCGACCCAGGAATCAGATAGATGGATGATAACAACTTATTATTATTATTTTTTTTAACTGAGAAAGGTTGTATTGGAGAACATGACTTAGAGTCAAGTACAGTTATTAACTCTTCCCGGAATTGAATGTAACCTCCCAAATATCTGGCCTCTTTGGCAGCTCTGCCGCACTAAGCTCTCTACATGGCCGAGGCACCAGACCAGAATGCGCCCTTTCGACAGGCAGAGAGAGCCAAAGGGGAAAAGAGCTGAGTCAAGGCTGCCAAGTTCCTGCTTCCAGCCCTACCAGCCGGTCACTCGCGCCTTGCAATGAGGAAACCAGGAGTCCTATCTAGGTAAGTTGTTCCGCCTGGAAACTCGAGGCCCGAGGAATGGCTGCTCTTTCCTAACATCAGAGGTAAAAACTCTGAGAGCTTTTGTCCCTTTGGAGACCACGGTCACATTAGGCAGGCAGCTCAGCTGGCTTCAGAGTCACTGTGACATAGGGTCTCTGATAATGTCTTATGGAGTCTGGGTGAGTAGCCCCTCTGTCCTACCCAGCGACCTCTTTCCATAACATGCGGGGTCCACAGCTGGCAGGGCTGGAGGACCCCATGGAAATCCAGGTGGTGGCTGCATCTGCAGATGAACTTCGGAAGGCAGGAGCCAATTGGTGAGGTGTACGTTTTTGAGGACAGAGAGCTGCATTTCATCCCTTGCTAAGATCTTGTTACTTTAGAATCTTCCTTCAGTCCATGAAGAAGCTGCTTTTCTTCCAGGTGCAGGTTTCTCACCTCTATTACAAGAAAATGACTCTGAGTTCAGACTGATGGCCTTAATGCCTGATAGTGTGTTGTTAGTGATATGTAAAACCAGGCATTGAACCCCAGTGTGTCTAGCATTGTCTAATCATTTAATTGGCCATAATGATTTTATTATCTGGGTTGTAAAATGGGACAATTGGCAATTTTTTCCAAGTGCTTCCAGGTTGATTATATATGTAAAGGGGAGGAGGTATATAATATCTATACACCCAGTAACTGCTTTTTCAAATTACATTCATTCCTCTTTATTTTATTTGAAAGTGTATGGAGTTCAACATAGTTCAAGGAAAGCATTGTGGTAAACAGCCAGCTTAAATGTGAGCAGTGTAAAGAGCAGCAGCTTGCAGAAATATTGCTATAGATACTAAGGCCGCATCCTGCCTCGATACGGACCACACATAATTGAATCATGTTCAATAGAAGGCCATTACAAAACCGAACATATTTGCAATGCTAATGTGGGGAAGACAGCTGTCACAGGGAATTAAATATGATCATTCAGAGCTTGAATAAATGAGGTGTCCATTATCTTCTGGCTGTGTTGCAGGCTGCTTGAAGAACACAAATAAATGATACTGTTGCAGTAACCAGCCCATGGTTTTGTGTTTTAGTCATAGAAATATGAGAGAGATGGAGGTGCGTGGCGGGGAGGGAGACAGGGATATAGAAAAAGGCTTGGCAGATAAATATAGGCAAGAGTTTTATGCCCCTTCCCCCAAGAAACCGTGAATGCACAGACATAAAACTCTACTTTTGATGCCTGAAATAGATTTTAATTCTATTAAACATTTTTGTCAAGATTCATCCTTTCTAAGACTCAAATCACAGCCAACTCACAAAGGAGGCTGAATGTTGAAAGGGTAGAGTGGGGAGTAAACAAAGCTAATCCTTTTGTCCCTTCCCCAAGGCCTTCCTTCCCATCCAAATGGATAATAAAGATAACAGAGAACTTCTTCATGGATAATCAATCTGCCAATGAACATAAAAGGTACTTGGATCAGTGCTGGTTTTAAAAATGCCATTAATTATCCAATTAACAGAAAGGGAGGCTTCCTTTGATTGGATCTGAGGAAACTATCTACAAATCAGTTTTCTTATGTTAATAACAGATACTAAGCTGTCATCTTTTGATGAACACGTAAGAAAGTTCGGAACAATCTTAAAAAAAAAGCACTTAAAGATATGACCATCCTTGTTTCCTGAGGAATATCTGATACACGTAATGCTAGAGCATGGTTTATTAGTCTGAAATTACATGACACTGTGATTGAGAGAGAAAACCCAACCCTCTATGAGCAGTGGTCTTTCTTTATGAAAGACAGCTACTGGTGCAAAATGATCCCTTGAAAATAAACAAGGTCTGTGGAAGGCTTGGGTTCTTGTCTTTTTGACTTTATTCTTCTCTGTAAATATCAGGAAACTTAGCAGTCATCCAAAATGCAAAAACAAAAAAAAAAAGAAAAAAGTGGTACTAAAAGAAAGAAATAGATTATGTGTGTTTGTATCTATTTTTGTATATCCCAAGAAACTTAGCATTGGATATTTTCTGTATTGTGGCATATAAATTACATTTATGCAGCATATAAATTCAATTCAAGAAGGTGTTATATTTTTAACTTCTAAGGGCTCTGGGTGTCTTAGTGCTGCTTGTCTGTAAATTCTAACAAGGTGGTTTCATGAGTTTATGTAATATTTTCGAAATGAAATGTGAAAACAACTGGAATTCCAAGAATTTGTAGTGTGACAGAGCTGTATATAAAGATTATTACTCCACACTCACAATATAACACTTCTTCTATCAGGGCTCATATATTTTTTAGGTGGTTAAAAATATATTCCTTTGAGGGAAGATTATTAGTAGGATAGTCATTGTGATGGGAAGAGAAAAAATAAATAGGATTTTGAAAAATTCTCTAGAACCATGGCTTGGAAGGAACTTTCAGGAGTGATGGCATTCATGCCTGGGCTGGAAGAGCTGCTACCTCAAACAGAAGTCATCCTGGATTCAGGATTTCTAATTTACTAGAAACTTGAATAATTTAGTAGGTGATTAAGTATATGTCTTGGCTGCAGCCTTAATTTTTTTTAAGAAATAGAATTTTCTGTCTGATTGTAAATATATATGTTTATAATAAAAACTTCAAACAGGACAGAAATGTATGAAATAGCAAGTAAAAGTTTCACATAATTTCAGCTTTCCAGAGATAATCTCTATGAACAGTCTTATTTCTACATTTTTCCCTGTGCATATACAAATCTCTTTTTTCTCAACAATATATGTATGGTTTTGTTTGCTTAGTTATATGTCAATAGGCATCTTTTCACATCTGTACATGTAGACCTACTTTTTTTATATCTGCATGTATAGATGTACTTAATTTTTAAAAATGAAATATTCTGCTGTGTATAATAATACTTATTATAATTTAAACCAAGTGTTGGCAAACTATAGCTTGCAGGCCACATCCTCACTTGTTCATGTAGATAAAGTTTTATTGGAACACAACCACACTCGTTTGTTTATTGTCTGTGGCTGCCTTAGCGTTACAGTGGGCAAGCTGAGAAGCTGCAATGCTGTATCGCCTTGAAAGCTGAAAGCTGTGCAGCTATGTTACTATATTGCCCATTTACAGAAAAAGTTTATCGGCTTCTGATTTAACCAATCATATGTGTTGAGTGTGTAAATTGATTCTTATATTGTACCATAAAAATAATATGGCGATAAATATATTTGTATATATAAATACTAAAACCCATGTTTGTGTATTTATTCACTATTTCCTTAGGATGGGTTCTGAGACAACTGCTGAGTCTTGCCTTAACTTCTGTGGCCCATTAGTCTTCTTCCACTTGATAAATTCCTTTGCTAAATGATGTTTCATAACAACCAATTTTTCGTGACATAGATTTTAGAATCAGGAAGACCTGAACTTTCTGCTTCTATAGTTATTAGCCATTTGATTGCACAGGTTTTTGGCTGCAAACAACAGAAATCAATTCTAGCTAATTAAAGCCAGGATCTTTATTGGATTTTGTGCAGTCAAGGGTTAACCCAGCAGGTGCAGATTGCTCAAGCCCTGAACATTCCAAAGAAAGGCCTGTCTTTAGGAGGACTGGCCCTTGACAGGTTCCTGGGAGACAGCCTCTGAGCCCTTGGAACATCCTGCTTGAGACGAGTGTTTTTGTACTCCTGAGGCCTTGTGTCATGTTGTACCGGTGTGATCTCTGGGGGCTGGACACTGGGTAGCGAAGTAGTGGTCACACAGGTGCTGCCTAGCTATCTGAGCGGCTGGCAATAGACACACCCTAGATGCCAAAAATTAGGTGAACTTCCATGGTTGGCAATGCTTCTCTTGTGTTGCCTCACATCACTGATGGGAGAGTTAAGTGCTGTCCATGCAACTCTGCTCAGAGAGACAACTAGAGACTTGTTCCTAGTTCCTCTTCGACTCCACCCTAGGAGTCTTTTACCTTTGCTGATTTTATTTTACTTTTAATTAATTAATTTATTTTTAAAGAAATAGTGTCTCACTCCGTTGCCCAGGGTGGAGTGCAGTGGCACAGTCACAGCCCACTGCAGCCTTGAACTCCTGGGCTCAGGCTATTCTCCTGCCACAGCCTCCCAAGTAACCGGGACTACAGGTGCCACCATGCCTGATTTAAAACTTTTTTTTTTTTTTGGTAGAGACAAAGTCTTGTTTTGTTGCCCAGGCTGGTCTTGAACTCCCGGCTTCAAGCATTTCTCCCGTCTCAGCCTCCCAAAGTGCTGGAATTACAGGTGTGAGCCACTGCACCTGGCTTCTTTGCTAATTCTGATCTTTATCCTTTTGCTGTAATAAACCATAACCATCAGTATACATAACAGTTTTTCAGAGTTCTGTGAGTCCTTCTAGTAAATCATCAAACCTGAGGGTGGGCTTGGGAACCCTGACATCTGCATATGTATGTGTATACATTGTAGTGAGTAGCTCATACATGTAATGAGAAGGCTAGAGAGTGAGGCTTGGAATCAAGACAGAACCTATACAAAAGCATGGTCCATTATATTTCTTGTCAGGTCAAGACTATTGAAATGATCAGGCGCTAACTTTTCTGTGTGGGACTCAAGAATCAAAGTTCTGGAGAGTGCTAGCTTAGGGCAGGTGCTGCCCTCCCTCTCTTGCTGCACAGGTGACGGGAGGGAACCTCTGAGGGAGAGAGCACGTGAGGCTGTAGGCCCCTTGCTGTGGTGGGAAAACAGTACACACACCTCAGTCAGCAAATACTTATAATCTACTATATACCTGTGTTATGAGCACTGAGGATATAGGTGAGAACAGGAAAACATCCTGCCCTTAGGGCGCTTGTGTTCTGCTAAAGTAATTCTTCAAAAGGGAATTGATGTGCTATTAGGAAGGAGTTGTGGATGCTGGATAGTCAAAAGATAGCAACCGTCTAGTTCAGTAGACAAGTTACTCAACCTTTGTAAGTCAGTTTCCTCATCTGCAAAATGGGGATCAATGATGATGTAATTAGACTATTGGCTGGGTTATCTTGAGATAACCTTTATGTTTGGCTTGATTCAAGAAATGATGTTTATTGTTGGAGGATGAGAGAGTTCTAAATTTTGAAATCAAACCTACATGGTTCACACTCCAGTAACTTTTTAGCTCTTGATCTTACAGAAGTTATTTAATGTCTGAGTTGGTGTGTCTTCATATGTGCGCAATCTGTGCAGTCACACACGTCCCTGAGCTTTGTTTAATACTCTGTTGCTGTCGTTTTGACATTCTTGGTAATTTTTGAACAAGAGGCCCTGCGTTTTCATTTTGTACTGGGCCCTGTAAATTATGTAGCTGTGGTCCCATCTCTGAGCTTTAGTGTCCTCATGTAAATGGAGATAGTAATACATACCGCATTATTTTTCAGTGGTCTCATTTTAAACTCTTGGTTTAAAAGTTTTACATGAAAAAGTTTATCCTTTTCCATTTGTCTCCCTTTCAGAGATAATAGTATCACATGGTGCTCATATGGGTCCATTTCATTTATTTTATGGAAAGAAAGCAAACCTCATTTCTTACAGGAAGATGAAATATTAATAAGCCCAAGGCATAGACAAGTTTCATGCTCTGCAATGAAGAATCATACCCTGAATGTTTCAACATCTTTCACAGACCACTCAGTGTTTTTATATGAGGAAATTGTTGAATTTAAAGCTGAAGATATAACAAAATGTAGAGCAATTCATAAACTTATATAACAGGAATATAGCTGGCCCTTGAAGGTTGGTGCTTTGATGTAGAGTGTGGTATAAAAGCAAACTTCAGTATTGTTAAATGCCCTCTTATAACTAATTCTTGCAATTTAGGTCCTTGCAGTCTAGGGCAGAAATAAATAAAGAACCATGTCGCCCTATACTGGAGAAAGTAAATTTGAATGAAAGGTTAAAGTAAAAGCAATAAACCATTTCAGAGTGCTTCAAGTATGATGGCATGGTTGTCTTTTAAAATATAGTACTTGTATTTAATTTGCACCCATCAGCAGGTAGAAAGAGAAATGGAAAAAAGAGAAAATAACTTTACAGATCAACAGAGGTCTATTGAGGTAATAAGAGGTCTAAGGTAAGCATATGTTCAAATCCTGGCAATTAAAAAAATTTATATTTGGATTTCTATCTTCAACAATAGTAAATTATGTGTTGGTGTGAAATCTAGCACAATTTGGAGCCCTGACCAAATTTCTTCGAAAACTTTGAGGCATCCAAATATGCCAGTAAGATGCATGCATGTATATGCATGTGGGTACACCTGTGTTTGTGTATAGTATGAAGGTAGGAAGTGTTTGAGACTGCCTCATGGTGAGGTGGAAGTACACTTTAGGTTTGCTTCTCTTGGTGGCTCTGTGAAGGCCTATATGTAAACAAACTAGGATTTTACAATTTGGCAACCAGGGGCTGTTTAAAAATTCAGAGAGAAGCTGTATTGAAAACAGAAAAATTTTTAACTGATTTTTTAAAATACCAGTGGAAAAATAGTTCGTCAAAAGGAAATAAACCTGAGTTGAGTTAAAAAATGAAATTATTGAAATTCATTGAATTAAAAAGTATTCCTACAGAAGGAGCAAAAATTGGATTAAAAACAACAAAAGTATTCCTCCTGTGATGGGTATGCTAATTACCCTGATTCGATCATTATAGATTGTATATGTGTATCTATCACAATATCATTCTGTACCCTATGAACATGAACAATTATTATGTGCCAAAAATAATTTAAACAATGGGATTTACAAAAAAAGAAGGAAAAAAGTATTCCTCCTAACTTCATGACTCTAGCAGTGAAGAAAGACAAGGAAGAACATGTATAATCCTACAAGCAGGCTCTGCAGTGTGGGGAGTGAGGGCGGTGTCAGCCGTGAAAATGGTGGACCCCTTCCATGAAGAGCTTTTAATTTTGCAATTAATAGAATGTCTGTTTTATTTTGCACCAAATTTAAGCTTACAATGCTACCCCCACTTGAACTTTAACCAATAAGAGGAAAATGAGCACTGGCCTGGGGTCCAGGGGATGGGAGAATGAGAAGAGCACGTGTTTTTAAAATTCATCATTCATTAGTTCATGTTTATAGGCTGAAAGCTTCTCTTCCAACCTCAAAGGTCAACAGTGTAATAATGCTCTTTATTACCATGATTATGATAAATAGTTACCTTTTGCCACTTTGACTGTGCCACTTTGAAAAATTACTTTTGAAAATAGTTTTTCTTCAGTCCTCCCCTCTCCCCCACCCCCTGAGAGTGGCGAAAGGGAATTACTGGTGTTGAATCATGCAGGGACTCGGAGGATACAGAAGTGGGTGGGCACAGGCCACACACAGTGCGCATGTCTGGGAGAGGGGTTAGTGAAGAGCAAGACAATATCAATGGTTTCCTTTCCTGCAGTGGGAAAGTGATTGGATTTCAATTTGGAGGCTTTGGGGTTGAGTCTGGAGTTCAGTAAAGCTGCTTGTAGAATGCGAGTGACAAATCCTTTTTGTGTGTTCATGTAAAGTATATATGTGTTGGGTTTTTTCAAGGACCCCAGAGATAACATAACTTGAATCCATGACATGGAGTTGGTCAAGTGTTAGGGAGAAGTGCAGCCGGGTTCTACAGCATAAATGGGAACTTAAGTTGGTAAAATAGTCTAGATTTTAGATTTAGCAACTTGTGTATTTTTTATTAAGCTTGAGAGAGCAATGAAGGGACTGACAAGAGTAAAAGAGGTTTTGGGAAACAACTTCTTTAAGATGTTCCTCAAGAAGGGTGTGTGAAACACCTTGTAATTGGTAGAGTTTGGGGAAAATCAGAAACATGAGGATAATACCTAAAAATGGAATGCCTCCTGGGCATGGGACCTGGACAATTTATAAGAGGAATATTATATTTTTAATGTTAATGAAACAATCTTGGATTAGAATGTAACTTCCTGTAATGTAATTAGGCAAATACGCTGCTGCCCTGCTAACAAGAAGGCATATTTCACTTTAGGCAGTTGTTAAGTTCTAGCCATGCTAGAATTTTTCTTACCTGATTTTGTCATTGAATGAGCAGAGAGATATCTTATACTCAGTGTTTCAACCTTGATGGTGCCATTCAAGTATGAACTACGATAAACTATCATAGTTGGCTAATTTATAAAGTGTTATATACCAGGACGATCTCCCAGACATAGTTGAGATTTAGGTGTTTGAAAGACACTCTGTAATACTTACAATCAAAATGAAAACCTCTCAACCACCTTTTTCTTCTGTTACTCACGGATTGATTCTCACGAATACCCAGTGTTTTCTTCTTACCTTATCTCTATCCTTAATAGAAATGAGTAATATTTTGACTTGAAAGATGCTGGGTGTTCCAACCAGATAAAAAGCACCAGCAAAGACACAGAGGGCTGGAGATTTAGGGGTGGTAGAGTTGCCCAGAGGTGTCTGGACATGCAGTGTGATGTTTTAGCAGGGACTCTAGGGTGAGAGGAGAGGTTGAAAGAGAACATTGTAAGATGGAACCAAAAGATAGATTGGGGTTAAATCGTAAGGACCATTACAATCTGTGATCGGTGATTTCAAAAAGTGACTCTGGTGGCAGTGTGGAAGCAGGATTAAAGTGGACTAAGTACAGTGAGGTCAGAAAACCAATTATGTTGTCACCTGATGAGAGATGATGAGGCAGACTCTGTCCATGTCTGCAGGAAGGGAAAAAGACAGTTATTTCCTGAGCAGAGTTGAAAGGATTTAGTGCAAGACAGATGAGATGGTGGAGGGAAAAGTGCAAATCAAAGGTGACCCAAGCTCAGGTGGCCGGGGAGATGACCTGGTGGTTCATAGTGAAGTGGGGAACTTCAACTTCCAGAGCTGTGCAGTGCAGCTCAGGGTGGGTGTGTTAGGCTGCCATAACGAAGTACCACAAATTGGCGTCAGGGGGTTCTGGAGGCTATAAGTCCATGACAAAAGTGTCAACATAGTTGGCTCCTTCCAAGGGCACTAAGGAAGGTTCTGTTCTAGGCCTGACTCCTAGCCTCTGGAAGTTCCTTGGCTTGTGGTAGCATAACTCTAAGCTTCACATGGTGTTCCCCTGCATGTGTGTCTGTGTACAAATTTTTCCTTTTTATAAGCACACCAGTCATACTGGATTAGGGGTTCACTCTATCCTGTGTGATCTCATCTTAACTAGTTAGATTTGCAACAACCTGTTTCAAAATAAGGCCACATTCTGAGATGCTGGGGGTTAAAACTTCAGCATATGAAGTATTTGGGGGCACACATTTAAATTCAACAGGGGTATGTGAAGTGATAACAATTAATTGGATGTGCTAAGTTTTAGGTTCCTGTGGGCCCAGCATCAGCTGGCTGATAGATACGGGGATATGAACTGTGTGCATAGATTTGGTCATCATCTACATATAGGGAACACTCATCTATTGAAGAATTGTCCATGGATTATTTCATAGCTGTGGGAGAGGAAGCATTTGCCTGAGGAAGAAGAAATAGAGGAGGAACATAAATTCATTGAGTACCTAGATGGGGCTGAGGACCTGTGGTCCCCAAATATGACACATTAGCATTTGAGAAGACAGCAGAAGCAGAAAGCCCCTTCTTGCCTTCTTCTCACTCTTCTTCCCTGCAGCAGGCCATGAGATCTTCATCTGAGAAGTGCCTGCCCTATACCTGGAGGAAGGGAGTGGAAAACGCAGAGATGCCCAAAGGAATCTAAGCAAACAGGCCTTGCCAAGTCCCCCCTGAGTTTACTACTTTTGGCTCATGCATCCTTTGTCCAATCACACTTCTCCATGGCTGTCCACCGCTTCATCAAGCCTACCATAAAAAATACAAAAATATACTTTCTTTGGGGCTTTTTTTTTTTTTTTTTTGAGACAGAGTCTTGCTCTGTCGCACAGGCTGGAGTGCAATGGTGCAGGCTAGGCTCACTGCAGCCTCTGCCTCCCAGGTTCAAGCAATTCTCCTGCCCCAGCCTCCTGAGTAGCTGGGATTACAGGCACGTGCCACCACGCCCGGCTAATTTTTGTGTTTTTAGTAGAGACGGGAGTTTCACCATGTTGGCCAGGGTGGTCTTGAACTCCTGTCCTCATGATCCGCCTGCCTCAGCCTCCCAAAGTGCTGGGATTAAAGGCGTAAGCCACCGCACCCAGCCCGGGACTACAGTTCTGAAGGCTCCTGTGTTACGTAAAACTTACCTTAAATACATGTATTTGCTTTTCTCTTGTTAATCTGTCTTTTGTCATAGGGGCCTCAGCCATGAACCTAAGTGGGAAGAAAGGATATTTCCTCCCCCACACAACCTGCCTATGATCGGGCTTTCTGTTCAGTGCTTAGATATCTGAACTCTCACTTGATCCTCATGGGGACCTCGTGAGGGAAGGTTTGAGTGGAAACTGAGGCCTGGGATTACATAACAGGTGGACGGTAAAACTGGGATTCGCATCCAGATGTTTTTGATTTTAGCGAAAGATGCCGCCTCTTCCTGTGGAGAGAGTATAGGATGAGAAAGAAAAGGGCTGGGTAGAAAACCCTGGAGGAACTTGTGTGCTTAAGGGGCAAGCAATGGGAGACAGTGAAGCGGAAGAGAGAAACGAGAACTAGAAAACACAGCCACTGGAAATCCAAAATAGAGTTTCAAGAGCAGGGGGAGAGCAACGGTATTAACCATTTTAGACAGGCTAAGGACCTAGAAGTATCTCTTTGCTTTAGTGCCCTCTCTGCTCTTTGAGCATCCATTTGATTAAGAAGTGAAATTATAACAAATTTTCGTCCACAGTGATTACAGGCAACAGATTCACTATAAAATAAAAAAGAGAATTACTGTCAATTTTATTCCAAGCTCACCACAGTCAATGTGCTCGTGGGGGAGAAACACCAATTCTGATAAATTGTTCTATCCGTGTATGTACATTGACCTAGTGATGGCTTTGGAGGCAGATTTTCTTCTTAAGTTCTGAGCATTGGGACCTGTTGCCAAGGTTGTGGGCACAGTGTATATGTGTGTGTGTGTGTGTGCGCGCGCGCACGTGTGCACGCGCTGTTGTGTGTCTGTTAAGAAATGCTTTGCTTTGTATAAGCATGGCATACAAGCTAGCAGGGAAATCTAATGAGGATATTTTAAAGGCTGGGTTAAGGCATTTGAGGACATGTGAGGCTATTCGGTGATAAATAAGCACTTCCTGACTTGTTGCCCATACCTGCTTTATATTCACTTCAAAGAAGCAAATTTTCATTAAAAACAAAGCAGTTAAAATGTCAAGGTGCCCATTCTCTTTTTTCAGATTCTCCTTTTTTACATGACAAAATAAGTGGATTGAGGGAAGCATAAACTGCAGCTAAATAAAGGCTTTTCTTGGCATTCCTTGGAGAAATCAAATCCAAGACCAGTGGTGAAAGGTGATTGTACTATATCCACTACACAGACTATTTCTTCTAATTATCAGCATGAATGTAATTACTTACAAGCATCTCAGGCTTCTATGATCATGTCCCTTAGAGCATTTCATCTTTAATGATTTTCCTTGATAGAAAGCCAGTTGGAAGCATTTGTTGCATAACATTGCTCAACCAGAAAGAAAAATACGTACTTCTCAAAAGAAAGATCTGTATGCTTTCTTCTCAATGGTACTTATATTCTGCCAGAATTTGATTAGGAGCTATCTTGGCACAAAGATTGCTAATGACCGAGTCAAATAACTTATATAGATTAAACAATTTCTTGGAAAAAAGTACAATGTAGTATGACATCCCTTTTCCAAGAATATTGAATTTCAGAATTGTAACCACTTAAGGTGAACTGTTAAATTCTCTAACTTCTGGGGGCAGAGAGTATGGGAAGAACAGCTTCCTGAGGGAATTTGTAGATTCTCAGGTGAGATAGTTTCAACGGAAGAAATTTCTGGGCCTGGGGTGAGACTAAAGTATAGACTTATACGATAGATTAAGAGTTTTAAAGCAATGTGGGATGTGAGAGGTTACCTAGACTCCCTCCTTCAAGAAATGAACGATCTATCCAGAGAAATTACAGTCCAAGTGCTTAGTAATTTGCCCCTTGTCGCACAGTTTGTTGGTGTTAGAGTCACACTAGTTGCCAGACCTCAAATTCCTTCCCAATTATTTTCATTGTCACTTTTTTCCCTAGGATTTAAACAAAAAATTACAAAAGACTTCGTTTATCTGGTATTGTTGAGAAACACGTTTTAAATGTTTTATATCAGCTTTCTGGATAGCTAAAGTTTACCCCTTAAAGCGTCCCTTTAACGTTTTTAATGAAACTGGTCTTCTTAAAGAGTATGCTGAACGTAGCTTTTCTTTGAGGAAGTAGTGTCGTTAGTATGAGCATCAGTTATTTTGCCATGATTGCATGGAATCCACAGTTGCCCTCTGGAGTAATTGAGGTGAAAGGACGATTGCTATTCAGTGGCCATTCAGTTGCTCAGCTGTGTTTTATTTTGATGTCTCTTTGTGTGTGTGTGTGTGTGTGTGTGTGTGTGTGTGTGTACACATTTAGTTTTATTGTAACAAAGCAACTTGTACATTTCCTTTCCAGTGAAACAAAAAGAAAATTTAAAAATAAACAGGAACAAAATTATAATAGAGAATGTCAATTCCAAATAAGATCCTACAGGTTCTGCTGATTCTCCCATTGAGTGGCAGGGCTCAAGTCATCATTAGGAGAATTCTAGCTTCTTTCCTCCTTTCTCTGTATATTTTGATGTCTCTTATCACCATTTTGCTACCTAGCAGGCCCTTCTCCCTCCACTCTCCAGCATGCTCTCCTAGCTGCTGGTGCTGCCTCTTGCTGAAGGTGACTGGAAGACTCGCTTGCGGGATCACTATGTGGTTAAGGATTTTTTTTAATTTAATTTTTTTTAAGTTTTTATTTCCATAGGTTTTTGGGGAACAGGTGGTATTTGGTTATGTAAGTTCTTTAGTGGTAATTTGTGAGATTTTGGTGCACCCATCATCCAAGCAGTATACATTGAACCCAATTTGTAGTCTTTTATCCCTCACCCCCTTCCCACCCTTTCCACACCAACTGAGTTCCCAAAGTTCATCGAATCATTCTTATGCCTTTGCAACCCATAGCTTAGCTCCCACTTATGAGTGAGAACATATGATATTTGGTTTTCCATTCCTGAGTTACTTCACTTAGAATAATGGTCTCCAATCCCATCCAGGTTGCTGCGAATGCCATTAATTCATTCCTTTCTATGCCTGAGCAGTATTCCATCATATATATATATTCCATCATATATATATATTCCATCATATATATATATATATTCCATCATATATATATATATATTCCATCATATATATATATTCCATCATATATATATATAGATAGATATATCTATATCCATATATATATATAGATAGATATATCTATATCTATATATATATCCTAATTTCTTTATCCACTCATTGATTGATGGGCATTTGGGCTGGTTTCACATTTTCTCAATTGCGAATTGTGCTGCTATAAACATGCATGTGCAAATATCCTTTTCGTATAATGACTTCTTTCCTCTGGGTAGATATCCAGTAGTGGGATTGCTGGATCAAACAGTAGTTCTACTTTTAGTTCTTTAAGGAATCTCCACACTGTTTTCCATAGTTGTACTAGTTTACATCCCCACCAGCAGTGTAGAAGTGTTCTCTTTTCACCACATCCCTGATAACATCTATTATTTTTCAATTTTTTTTGATAATGGCCATTCTTGGGGGAGTAAGGTGGGCAGTTAATGATTTTAGCTTTCTTTTTGCTTGAAAACTGAGTCTAATAAAATTAAATACCTTTTGTAATCTCTATAACCTTGATTTAATTGTTGAAAACAGGACGCTTACATAGGGGTTTCTTGTTTCCCTAAGTAACTCCTGATTGCTGACTCAGTAGCTCTCCTGCCTGCAGACTGTCTCTTGTTCCTGGGAGATGTTTTGGGGGTGATTCTTAAACTTCAGGAGGCATCAGATTCACCTGGAGGCTTGTTAAGTGGCAGATTGCTGGGTCTCACAGAGCT
Organism: Homo sapiens; assembly: GCF_000001405.40. Taxonomy (NCBI): domain Eukaryota; kingdom Metazoa; phylum Chordata; class Mammalia; order Primates; family Hominidae; genus Homo; species Homo sapiens. Next base: position 36,012,588 of record NC_000014.9, read on the forward strand.
TCAGATTCAGTAGGTCTAGGATGGGCCTCGGGATTTGCATTCTTAACAAGTTGTCAGATCCCAGGGTCCGGGTCCAGCCCATGCTGAAGTCCGAAGGAATGGGTGGATGGGCAGAAAGAACACTTGGGGGCCCGTAGGCAGGTGAAATGTAGTTTTATTCAGCAGCTTTCTCATCCATAGTTTTCTCACTGTCCGCCCTGTCTCGGCTGCTTGAGCTGGCCACCCCCACACACAGGCTGACTCTCCCTTGCCTTCAGGGTCAGCAGCTTAACCCTTTCTCTCTCTGGGCATGAGCAAGCTGAGCTATATCCTGGCTCCCTCCTGTCTGTCTGCAAAGACAGACAGCTCTGGCACTCTCTCTCTCTCTCTGGGTGCCAGCGTGCCTGCCATGTTAAGCCATGTTGAGCCAAGTCGAGCCAAGCCACCAAGAGTCCCTGTACAGCGTCAGCAGGACAGTTACACCTTTTACAGATAATAGTTGCGTAGGGTCAAATATGAACTTACACAAACAGGTTATATACCAAGTGGAGGTGTGTGCTTACGTGCCAAACTCACTGAATCATGCAGGCCTGGATATCTGCCTCAGCCTATTCCTTGACCAAGGCACATCCGTGTACCTAATACTCTAGCCCCCAGGCCGAGGGAGACATAGGTTTTGGATACACAGGTTTGACACATACGCTTTGGGCATGCAGGCCTGGTATACATAAGCCTCGATAAACTGCCCAGCTATCGGCGCAGATTACCACAGGTGTCACCCTTTTGGTGATTATTATTCACACTGTCCTGAGTTTAGCTCATTAGCTACTCTGTTTACACCTGGTTTCAAACTGTATGGCGTCAATACAAGGCTGGACTGCGACAACAGTCCAGGCAGCAGTAGCACCCCAGCTAGACCTATCTGTATATTATGCCCTGTTAGGAATGGGGGCTGCCCTTCCTAACAGTGGAGGCTCAGGATCTAGGGGTGCTTCAGGTCCCATGGCCTTATCTTGCATTAGGACTGCAGGCCCCAAAACCTCTTGTAAATCTGCTCAGGGACTTGTACTCAGTGTACTTCACTGTTCTAAGTAGGTGCCCCACTTCACTAAAGTGGATGTCTGCACTCTGGGGGTTGTTACCCACGAACACACCCATCCTGCTACCGGGTAAGTTGTCTGCACAATGACTGTAACCATCCTGACATGCTTTTATGAGCCTGAAGGGCAGCATATGCAGTTACTAACTGCTTTCCCAGTCTTGGGGGTGGTTATCCATGAATGCACCCATCCCGCTATTACTAACTGCTTCTCTGTTAATGGACACTGGACCTCAACTCCCTTCCATAGTTGGGACCAAAAGCCTACTAGCATACTCAGGCACTCTGTGCACTGCTATAGGCCTTAACTGTAATTATCTGTGGTCGTATGCACATCTAGCTTAAATGGGCACCTCTGGTTGACTACTCATAGGATCTGTACCTGCTGAATAGCCTGCTTGGCTACCAGGAAGGCCGTCTCAGCTGCATTATCCCAATCCCAGGCAAGAGGGGTGCTGCCTCTTCTAAACCTGCAAGCAAATCAGAGGTTAATATAATATCATCAACAAAACCATGATATATGATGGGGCTATGCAAGCCCTGCAGCAACACTGAGAAAGCCCGTTGTCATCTTCCCACGAAGGCAAACTCTTTCTGGCTCTCAGTGGACTGTCCCGGTTCCATTGTCCAGGGGTCCATGAAGTCTGTGACGGCACAGCTGCCAAGCCGTGCAAAACATCCACCCCCAGAATGTCCTTAGGCATGGGAGAGACATACACAGTGCATAAGTGGAGAGCTCAGTGGCCAATGCCAAGATGCCAAGATGCAGTTTCACTTTCACTGACCGGTCTTCATAGCCGTCAATAAATGCAGCTCTGCCCGGAAACTTACCCGGGTGCAGGAACCAGTGGATTGCCAAGTCCACAGGTGGCTGTGGTCATCCAGTGCTCCCCATAAGCCGGGTATCTTGGCCAGTTTCTTATCAAACAGAAAAGGCTTTGCACTTCCACCAACTGCAGCAGGTACTCTTTGAACTGGAATGGTCCGGCGGGACCGGGCAGCACAGCAGTGTCCTCCTCCTGAATGACTTGGACTAAATCTTTACATGACTGCAGACATCATTTGCTTAACGGGGGCACAGGCACCATAGGAAATGTATTCCACCATGACGGGGGGTCTCTGGGCCCACCCTTGGGGCCCAACAGCTGCTCATGCTCTATTTTCTGGTGGATCACTGGGCGGGCCTGCAATGAAGGTTCTTCCTCCTCCCTGCGCTGCATCCTGCAGGGACTGGGCATGCAGTTCCCACAGCACAGTCACAAATGCCCCCCTGACTCTGCTGGTAAAGGCATGCTGCTTCTCAGTGCTGTGCACTTCCAGGTGCTTCAGCGCCTTCTCCACACTTGCGGGGCATATGTCCACTGCCTCCCGTGTTTCCACTAGGGCTCATCCAAGCAGCACGGCTGCCACTGGGTACCACAGCCCATGCTGCGGCCACATAGCTGACCCGGGAGCCCTGGAGGCTGAAGACCCACTCACTTCATCCCATCCTCATCGCCAATTGTCAGATCCCAGGGTCTGGGTCCAGCCCATGCTGAAGTCTGAGGGAGTAGGTGGATGGGCAGCAAGAACACTTAGGGGGCTGTAGGGAGGTGAAATGTAGTTTTATCCAGAAGCTGTCTCATCAACAGTTTTCTCACCGTCCGCCCTGTCTCGGCTGCTTGAGCTGGCCACCTCCATGCACAGCTGTGTGGCCAGCTCCCCCTGGCCTTCAGGGTCAGCAGCTTAACTCTTTCTCTCTGTGCATGAGCGAGTCGAGCTGTGTCCTGGCTCCCTTCTGTCTGTCTGCAAAGATGGACAGCTCTGGCTCACTCTCTCTCTGGGCATCAGCAGGCCTACCATGTTAAGCCATATTGAGCTGAGTCGAGCCAAGCCCCCAAGAACCCCTGTACAGCATCAGAAGGACAGTTATACCTTTTACAGACAATAGTGGCATAGAGCCAAGTATGAACTTACACAAACAGGTTTTATAACAAGTTGAGGTGTGCGCTTACGTGCCAAACTCACTGAGTCAAGCAGGCCTGGATATCTGCCTCGGCCTATTCCTTGACTAAAGCACATCCATGTACCTTACACAAGTTATAGGACATGTTGCTGGGCTTGGGACCATAATTTTGAGAGTCACTGAGAAAGTCATCATTCTCCATTACTCTCCAGAAAGAAAGTAACAATCAAGATGGACTGAGACTCTCTGGGCCTCCAGGCATCTATTACCAGAGGACATTGTCCAGAGCCACCTGTGTGTCCGTGGGGGCTGCTGTGTGGGACTCTGGTCAGTGGCTTCTCATATTGGAGAATAAAGAGTCTGCACTCATGTTATTGTTAATAAGTTCCTACCCTTTGACTTGAGAGTCATAAAAAGCTACACTATTACTGGTGTCTTTGGTAGCAGATGGGCTTTATTCTTGCTTTCCTATTCCAGAACATTTGTTATTTAACTGGATTTCTTACATACACATCTCTGGGGTTTCTTAATAACTTTCAAAATCAAAGCATGATAAACCCTTTAGCATTCACTTTAATATCCTCAGTCACAGAGAACTTGAGTATCTGGCTCACAGGCCTCTTTTCAACTCCCGCTATGTTGATCTTGGTCTTTGTTCTCCCTCACCTGCATGTGCATGTAAATGTGTGCATACATACACAAGTACACATGCATGCATATTCCACATAGAAATTTAGGCTGAGGACATCATCCTCAGGAACTTTAATATCCATATCATTGACTCTGCCAACCTCTTGAAGCATTGCCCCTAACCCTCTGTCTGCAGTTAAGAGGTCATGACTACATAAACAGTGACATTTGCCTCTTGACCTCCCCACCCCTAACCTTCCTGCTTAACCCTGCCCCCTTTTAAACTTACTGAGCCTGTGCTAGGAGACTGTGTGGCATAATAGAAAAAACAGGGGCTTTGGAGTTAAATGTGCACAGGTTTAAATCCTTTTCAGCCGTGTAACCTTGGGTTTTGATGTTCGTTGTGGAAGATAATACCTACATTACAAGGTTGTTGAGAGAGTTAAATTAGACAATGTATGTAAAGCACTTAGCACATAGCAGATAATGAACTAATGATATTCATTACCCTCCCTACACTTCAGCTGCTCACAGGGTTAATCACACCTTGGGCCTCACCTGTCACGCAGATTTGCTCTGCCTCCAAGACCTTGAATCTGGAGTTTCTGTCTAGATCCAGAACATACCATTGCGGGGCAGGATGGCATGAGATGCTGGAATCACAGCAACAGGAGGAGAGGAAGATGGCAGAGATGCTAAGCCGCTGGGTAGCTAGCCTTTATATCTCACCTTATTGTAAAGTTAGGGGGTTGATTCAGAATCTCTAAGGCCCTCTCTATCTCCAATATTATATTATTCTTCACCTCCAACTGAGTTTCCTCATTGCCATCACCATGACCTCCAGTTCTCTGTACTTTTGCAGCTCATTAGTTCTCTTCTCAGCAAACTTGCCTTCCATCAACCTTTCATTTAAGTCTTCTCTCTTCTATTTTTCTACCATAAATCATATGTTCTAGCCAAATGGAAATATCCTGGTTTATTTTTCTTCATGGTGTGCCTTTCTTTCTAATCTAATGTGTTATTTATTTTGCTTTCATATGTCTTCCTTACAAGGATGTAAGCTCATTGAAGGCAGAGACTTTTACTCATTGCTGTACCCCTGAACCTAGACTAATGCCTGGACATAGAAGGTGTAAAAGAAATATTTGTTGAATGAATTCCCTGCCTTCCCATCATGCTTCCAAACGTGTGTTACTTAAGGTTACTCCAGTTTCTAATTAACATAGGGACAGGAAATACATTGGAAATGTAAGGATGATGGATCCTAATCCTCCTGACTTGGAATCTAACCTGACCCTGCGTACCTTCCTTGGCAGTGACTGCCTGCCAGAGAGTACTTTGCTGCCAGTGGTAATGGTCCAAGTGTGTGCACCCATGACAGTAGGTGTTGGACTGCTGGCCACCTTCCTGGGGCTTTTGTGCCACTAAGACACACACTCTCTCTCTCCTCATTGGGCTTGTTGCTGAGGTACCTTAGGCCCTGGAATATTCCCATTATAATGACATTAAGTTTTGTTCAGGTCAAATCAGCTGGCTCCAGTGATGGAAAGGCTAGGCAGGTGAGAACCAGGAGGAAAGAATCCTGGTTCCAAGTGAATGTCTGACATTTGACTGTGGACAGAGATTTCCCAATGTAAGCCTGAAGACAGGTTCTGCTCTCTGAGAGATTGCAATCTGGTTGAGAGACAAGATACACTACATAAAACCTTTTATTTTGTCTCCAAAATATTTATCCAGTGTGTTTTCTTCTTACCATCTCCGTAATCTATACCCTAGTTTTCTCCATATCCAAACTCTGCACCCTGATTTGAGAGACCATCTCCTCTTGCCTGGACTACCACAGCTTCCTACCTCATTCCAGCATGTTCAATCTTGCTGCTTTTAGTCTATTCTCCCATAGAAGAATGACCTTTCAAAAATCTAAATCAGATCATGGTGCTTTCTTACTTGAAGCTTCCTGCTGGACTTTGAATTTAATTGAGTCCCTACCTTGACTTACTGGGGTCTGCTTGGTTCTTCTGTGCCCACCTCTCCTTATTCCTCTGGTGATGTCTCCACTTACCAACTTTGAGACAGTCACAAAGAACTTCTGGCACTTCCTTAAACACTTGATGTCTTTCCCACTTCAGGGCCTGCCTGTGCACATGCCATAGGTCTGCCTGAAATGCTCTGCTTCTCCACCATCCACACTGGTCTTCATATGGCCAGCTCCTCCTTATCACTGAAGTCTCAACTAAAAAGGAATCTTCTTGTAGGTCTTCTCTGAATCAAATATCCTGGTCATTCCACTGTGGGGCATTATACGTTTCCATCATAGACCTTATCACAGATTGCAATGATTTACCTGTTAATGTACTTGTCTGTCTGCATCACTAGACTGTAAGCTCCCTGAGGCCAGGGATTATGCCTTCTTCAGCATTCTACTCTTCTAACCTCAATACCTAGCACAGTACCTGATATGCAGTAAGCCCTCAATACATATTTTAACACTAAACAAATAATGAGTAGCTGCCAAACACGATGCTCCATGGAATGGCACTGTGTCTTTGTATAAGCTAGCAAATCAGTGAAAGATTTTGTTCATTGCATTTATGGTAACTGTGCTCTGTGCCAGTTGTCCTCAGGATACCTTTACATAATTAAAAACATTTAAAAGCTATTTAATAGTTAAAATCATGCAAAAATACTAAAAATAATGTAAACTGTATATTCTGCCATAATGGATATCTTGGGATTTGTCATGCAGGTAGTATATTTCAAGAACTTCTATCCATAATGTGTATCATGCTTGCTTCATTTAAAATCAGTACTGAGATGTAGTTTCCTTATCCTGAAAAACATCTTTAATAAAGACGATTGCACTTTGAGGGAGATGACCCTCCTTTCCTAAGGATTCCTTTCAGACTCTCCAGGAGTGGAGGGTAGCTCTCAGTTACAAATCCTTCTCTGGTAGGCCTTGGATTGTAACAGTCTCGTTGGAGGTTACAAAAGACAACTTTCTCTGTTGCATCAGCTTACAAAAGACAGTTATTCTAAAACAAGTACTGCAGATCGCTTAGTAAAATATCTGCCGGATGTGGTTGTAAGTCATCTTATGAACATGCTACATGTGGTACTGAGAACAGGGTATGTTTCTGAAAGAGCAGCTGCCTCTCATTTCATCTGACCCTATATTGATTCATCGTATTTACTGGATTCAATGGCCGGCTTAGTTGCATTGGAACATGGGCCTGATGCCTGCCTGTTGACAGCTCTGGCTGTCTGGGTGCCTTTCATTTTTATCCCTTTGATTATCAAGCAGTTTTGTGTTATTGATAAATTACAGGTATGGTACTCAGAGGGAGGATGGGGCCAGCTCAGAGTGAATGGCGGTGCCCTTGGGTCTGATGCTTACTTGGATTCCTCCATCTAGACAATTCTATGTAGTGGAAGGTGTGTTTATGGGATTAGTTATTAATCACAAAACAGGATAGGAGTTACTTGACTGCTAATTATAACATTGGATGAGCACATAAAAATCATCATCATAAATAATATCATCCCTGTAGAACCCTTCACATGAAATCAGTCCTGTCAGACAAACAGTTATTTACATAACACAAAATCTTTAAAAAATCCTAAAAAAAAACAACCAAACAAGCAAAATGTGTGTATAGAACCTAATAAAAATTAGTACCTTAAAAAAATCACTGCAAGCTATGTTTTCTGTAATTATATCAAACCCTAGAGTTCTAACCATGTAATAGTAATTTTTTAGTGTTTTTGCCGTTATTGTCCTTTTGATTTACTTAACTATGTCTAACTTGAACAAACAATGTTAAGTGGGGAAACAGATGCGATTAAATAGTCTGTAATTATGTTTTTAGTCAACTGCCACCATCACAGACTCCTCCTGCTCTTCGGACCAGAAAAAAAAAGTGACCTAACTGATTTCACCAACTGCTTTGCCAGGCCCTGATGCAGAATAGATGGCCTTATTAAGCAATCAAAAAATCAGCCATTACAGAGGAATGGTAATCAACAGTGTTTATACAGCCCACACACTAGCCCCACAATACACAATCAGGACCGTGAATTCTGCTAATTGGGTACCTTCTGTGTCCAGAGGTGCCTGCAAAGGGAAACAAAAGGGACTTGAAAATTAGTGTTTGTAGCAATTAGTTTCTGTCTAAAGGCTTAACCCAGTTCAGGGAAACCATGATTCAAACAGGGATTATTATAGCAACTCTGGTATTTAAATGTCTTCTGCCATTATTTGAGGTAGGATTTAGCTTTGGCAAAAGTAACGTCGATTCATCTTCTTTTTAAAATTTACTTAAAATGATTTTTGTTTTGAACTTTTCAAAAATCAAAACCATTAAGCCATTTGCTGCTTTAAATTTTCTGGCATTGAGTATTGTGTGTGTATGTGTGTGTGTGTTTATATCTTAGGATCTTGTTCAAGACCAGCTGAAAAGACTGTTAAATACATGTATTGTTGGGAAGCTCTGCTCCGAGGAATAAAATAGTCGAGTTTGTTGTGCCATTATTTCTCTCAGAATGATCTGTAGTTTAGTGGGAACCACAGGGTGTAATTCTTGGTGAGGGAAAAAGGGACAGCAAGTGTTTTATTTAGAAATGTATGTACGAATTCACATTCTAAGTAATAGCGCTAAAATAGTCCAGGAGGAGAATGTAGAGTCTCTGTGTGTATTTCATCTGAGTAAACTAGCAGGGCATTTCCAAATGGGCCCCACTGAAAGCCCAATGGATTTTATAAAATTGATTACAAAAAGCCTTTTGCCCTTTTCTTCCCTTTTAGTCTTTAGCATTTCTGACGTACTAATCAGATAGACAAATCTCCATGCTTTGCTTCTGTCTTTATAGACTCCCTGCTGTACATGCTCAAAGGGCAAATTAACAGTAGCACAATTCAAGGGACCTCTTCACCTCCCATAGACAGCATCAGCTGCAGGTTCTTGCTGTCCTGAAGCTCTCCACATGGTTATAGAAGGATCATAACAATGAAGAAAAATAAAAGATTAGGGAGGGGAAGGGGAAAACCTAATGATTCAGAAGAAAACCAAAAAAAAATCGGTGTTTCACTTTCTGTGATTTAAAGGCTACATGAGGAAATGGCAGTTTGTCTTTTTAAATTTATTAATCATTTGCTCTCTCTAGTTACTTAAATGATGGTTCACCATTGTGTCAATAAGTATAGTAAAAATTGTATTATTAACACCAAATTTCACATTATTAAGACAGAAATTATTGAAAGAATATTGGTACTTTGAAAACAATCAGAATGATAAGTATGATAGATTTGGAGACACTGTAACAACATTTTACTCCTGACTGATTACATTACATATTGATATTAGTGAGCATCAGTATGTAGTGCAATCAGTCAGGAGAAAATGAGTGAAATGTGAACTAATGAGAGCTAATTGTATCACATAATAGCAAGGACACAGAATTCTACCAATTAAATTAGTTTGAGATGAGACAAATATGAATATAATAATGTTTATAATAATGAAGCAATTAGAGCTAATGAAATAAACGTTAATAAAGACTAGGATCCCTAGCCCATTTCTGCCCTTCTCCTTCTAATTCCTCCAAACTTTGAGTTGTGTTGTATTCACTGGAATCTTTTCAGCCACTGATGCTTGTTTCTTTGTATGTTGGAAGCTATAGGGATGAATAGAAACCTTCGTTATCTGCATGTTTCTTGCTGTCAGCCCTGTAGAAGGCTCCTCATGGTCTGGTGTATTTCTTGGCAAGGTACCCCTTTCCCTCTGATGAATAAATCATGCCTTGTTCCAAAGAGCTTTTACTTTTACTTTCATATACTGTCTTTTCTTTACCTGGGTTAGAAAATTGGTACTTCTTGGTGTCAACATTGATCTCTCTTGACGTATTGGAGAGTTAACTGCTCAGGTCTAGTGCCTCTCCGTTGTGTAATTCAACTGGATTTTGCTTATTAGACACTTCTTTGGTGTCCTTAAGTCTTTGATGATCATGCTACTTAGTACCCAGATACAGAGAGTCTCAACTGGGATGGCAAAGCCTGTTTCTTAAATATCTGATTAGGAATGTACTCTCCAGGAGAAATTACACTGATGTCTCTCAGGAGATAGTTTTGGAGACCCAACTTCAGTCTGGCAGACTATTGAAATCAGCGAAACAATCAGGAACCATATTCTGTATTACAATTTAGATTTCAGCCTAAATGTCTATTTTGCTGAGCATCTTATAGAACAGTGGGTATGGGTATTAGGGAAGATGATACAGCGGTATATTTCTGATCAGCTTCGAAACTCGCCCATTTAGTGAAGACTACTACTTTCCAAGGAATGATGCATTAATACAAATTATGGATTAAGAAAAAAGTATTTTCTGTGGTGCATGCCTATTCTAATATGAACACTGCATTGGTAATTAATGGCAGTCTTGAAAGATTTTAGTAATTTCTTCTTGATTATCTATTTGGATGTTACTCTGGTTGGTGTATTTATATTTATTCTCAATCTAGGCTAGTTAGTAAATAACATTTGGCCATTAAATTAGGTGGTACTCTGTGCTGTGAAAGTTCCAACAAACTTTCTCATTTGGCTACCGTGTTTCTATCATGTATATTATTGTGTTTTTGCTTTTGCTTTTGTATTACATTAAAAAGACATCAGAACGAGCTGTGAGTTAATGTTTCACTTATAAAAGGTTATGGATTACTCTCAGCTGGTTTCTCAGGCTGACACAGAGTTCATGATTAGAAGAATGAAAACAAACATGAATTGAAAATGTCACTAACCTTTATTGGGCTCTGAGAATCCCGGAGTCTGCGTGACAGGAGGCTTTCCTGTTTTCAGCAGTATAAAGAAGATTGAAACAAAACAGCACGGATCCTGGCTATTTACATCTTTTAATGAATGCTCTTCACGTTTGGGTTCCTTTGTCTGTCTCCCAGTTTTCAAGGGTTTAGCTGTGAAAAGTGCGGATGGTATCACATACTCTTATAAACCATGGAGCAGACATCTGTCTAGGATGCTTTTTCCTCCAAATTACGCTCAGTGTAAAGGGCATATATACAGCTGTGCATGTATAAAGTAGCCAGTTATCCACTCTCAATGTTCACCAGCACTGAGATGGAAAGTATTTTCAAATACACTATTAGTAAAGCTGTGTGTTTATGTGGGTGTGTGGTGAAGGGATATTTAAGATGAAATCTATCTTACATATGATGGGCCCATTAGGTTTGAATCTGATAGTGCTGTCTTTAAAAACCTTTTACTAATGGTAAACCCTAAACCCCAGGACCTCATTAGACTAGAGAAAGTAAAATGAGCTGAAACAGTCTGTTTACATGAACCATTGAGTATCCAGAGATTAAACTGTGATACAAGAGATAATAAACACATTTGACCAGCAATAATTTGTTTGAGCTTTAAGTTTCTATTAAGAATCCCTGTCTTTGTTTCTATACAGTGATTTGGGCTTGGTTGTTCTTGACCTATATATGAATAACCTTACAGTATCTGAAACATATGTATATTTTTCTTTCCCCCTTAATTTCTCTCCCTGCTACCTCTTGATCTGGCATACCTTGTGACAAATTGTACTATATTTTTTGCTGATTTCATATGTAATTTGAGAAAATATTCTATGATGATCACTAAGGAGATCTCAAAGCATATTCCTTTAAACTGCAAATATATAGTGGGTGAGGAATTTTAGACTTTTACAAAGGCATTTACTTGTTCCCAAATTAAAGTGAGTTCTATAGCCCCATGCTTAGTCCAAAATTATTTCAAATACTGGTATTTCATGGTGTAACTTTGGCCTACAATACAGATTTAATGACATTCGTTGGTGGAGTATAAGTGTTTTGGAAACAAATCTATTCCTTTGTATTCTCAGTTTATCTAATTACATATTATTCTTTGAACCCAGAATTTGTTTTTCATTTTAAAAGAAGATTGAAGTAATCCTTTGGCCAGAATAAAATTTCATTTAAAAATATGGAGCATTTTCTGTTTTTATTTTATAATAGTCTTAGAAAAATTATATCTAATTAATAATAACATAATAAAGCAAAACTTATGCCCAAATATTGATTGTTAAGATTAACATTATTTTTTTTCTAAAGAGTTCAGTGTTTTTTAGAAAGATCACTTCTAGGTGATCACTTGGAAGATTTTCTCTTGATTTATTTTTATTTTTACAGGTACATAGTAGGCATATATATTTATAGGGTAGATTAGATACTTTGATATAGGCATACAATGTATAATAATCACATCAGGGTAAATGGGGTACCTATCACCTCAAGCATTTATCCTTACTTTGTGTTAAAATCATTCCAAATACACTCTTTTAGTTCTTTAAAAATGTACAATATTGTTGATTATAGTCACTCTGTTTTGCTAGCAAATGTTAGATCTTATTCATTCTACCTAGCTATATTTTTGTAACCACTAACCCTCCCCACTTCCCTGCCTTCTCCCTCCATTACCCTTCCAGCCTCTGGTAACCATCATTCTACTCTCTATCTCCATGAGTTCATTGTTTTAATTTTTAGCTCCCACAAATAAGTGAGAGCATGTGATGTTTGTTTTCTCATGCCTGGCTTATTTCACTTAACATAATGTCCTCCAGTTCCATCCATGTTGTTACAAATGTCAGGGTCTCATTCTTTTTTTATGACTGAATAGTACTCCCTTATGTATATGTCCTACATTTTCTTTATCTATTCATCTGTTGATGAACACTTGGGGTGCTTCCATATCCTGGCTATTGTGAATAGTGCTGCTATAAACATGGGAGTGTGGATATCTCTGATATACTGATTTCCTTTCTTTTGGGTATATACCTAGCAGTGGGATTGCTGGATCATATGGTAGATTATATTCTAGTTTTTGAGGAACCTCCAAACTGTTCTCCATAGTGGTTTTACCTAATTTACATTCCCATCAACATTATAAGAGGGTTCCCTTTTCTTCACACCATTGCCAGAGTTTGTTATTGCCTGTCTGTGGATACAAGCTTTTTTAATTGGGGTGAGATAATATCTCATTATAGTTTTGATTTGCATTTCTCTGATAATCAATGATGTGGAGCAACTTTTTATATGCCTGTTTACCATTCGTATGTCTTCTTTTGAGAAATGTCTATTCAGATTTTTTAAAATCCCATTATTAATCGGATTATTAAATTTTTCCTACAGCATTGTTTGAGTTCCTTATATATTCTGATTATTAACCCCTTGTCAGATGGGTCATTGGCAAACTACCCATTTTCTCTCATTCTGTGGGTTGTCCCTTCACTTTGTCAATTATTTCCTTTGCTGCACAGAAGCTTTTTAACTTGATGTCCATTTTTTCTTGGCTTGCTTGTGCTTGTTAGGTATTACTCAAGAAATCTTTGCTATTGTAGACCAATGTCCTGGATAATTTCTCCAATGTCTTTCTTTTAGTAGTTTCATAGTTTGAGGTTTTAGATGTAAGCCTTTAATCCATTTTGATTTGATTTTTGTATATGGAGAGAGATGGGGATCTAGTTTCATTCTTCTGCATGTGGATATCCAGTTATCCTAGCACCATTTATTTGAAGAGACTCTTTTCTACAATGTACGTCCTTGGCACCTTTGTTGAAATGAGTTCACTGTAGGTGTATGGATTAATTTCTAGGTTCTCTGTTCTGTTCCATTAGTCTATAAGATGAATATATATATATATATATATATATATTTTTTTTTTTTTTTGAGACGGAGTCTCACTCTGTCACCCAGGCTGGAGTGCAGTGGCGCGATCTTGGCTCACTGCAAGTTCTGCCTCCCGGGTTCACGCCATTCTCCTGCCTCAGCCTCCCAAGTAGCTGGGACTACAGGCGCCCGCCACCACGCCTGGCTAATTTTTTGTATTTTTAGTAGAGACGGGGTTTCACTGTGTTAGCCAGGATGGTCTTGATCTCCTGACCTCGTGATCCACCCGCCTTGGCCTCCCAAAGTGCTGGGATTACAGGCATGAGCCACCGCGCCCGGCCAAGATGAACATTATTTTTAAGCACGAAGTTAGAAAACTTGGTGAAAAGAAAGTTACTATTTTTGGTACTTGTTTGGCTCAAAAGTGAGAATTTTATTATTGCTTCAATTTAAAAGATTTATGTATACATATAATATTATCTTATTTTAGAACAATCAAATGAGCTTTTTCAATTTAAAATGTTTCCTACTTGGGAAAATATACAGGTTTTTCAGAGAAAGCAAATCACTCAGGCTTAAATTGGAAGGATTGTGGGTCAGGAACCTGGTTCCAGTTTTGATCTTGCCGCTCTTGATGATTTATGCAATGTTGAAAGTCACCTAAACTTGCTTTCTTCAAATTTCCTTTCCTTCTTTCTCTTCTTTCTTTCTTTCTTTCTTTTTTTTTGAAACAGAGTCTCACTTTCTTGCCTAGGCTGGAGTGCAATGGCGCGATCTCGGCTCCTGCAACCTCCGCTTCCCAAGTTCAAGCAATTCTCCTGCCTCAGCCTCCCAAGTAGCTGAGACTGCAGGCACCTGCCACCACGCCCGGCTAATTTTTTGTATTTTTAGTAGAGACGGGGTTTCACCAATTTGGCCAGGCTGGTCTTGAACTCCTGACCTCAAGTCATCCACCCACCTTGGCCTCCCAAAGTGCTGGGATTATAGGCGTGAGCCACCATGCCTGGCCCAGTGTTCACTTTGACAGAATGTGAAAACATCTCAAATTGAAGACATTATGAAATAAGCCAGTCACAAGACAACAAATATTGTATTAGTCCCCTTATATGAGGGACCTAGAGTAGTCAAATTTTATAAAGACAGAAAGTAGAATGGTGGTTGTCTGGGAGGGAATATGGAATTATTGTTTAATGGATACAGTGTTTTAGTTTGGGAAGATGAAGTTCTGGAGATAGAAGGTGGTAATTGTTGCACAACAATGTGAATGTATTTAATGCCATTAAATTGTTCACTTAAAAATGGTTAAAGCTGTGAATTTTATGATTTGTATATTTTACCACAGAATTCTTTTTATTGTCAACGTTACCAATGACCTGGAAGGTGTCAAATCCAATGCTCAGATTCACCACACTGAATCCCTCAGCATCATTTAACACGGAAAATCTTCCCCACTTCTTTAAGTATTTTCTTCATTTGGTTTCCAGAGAATCGTAGTGTCTTAGTTTTGTGGTTTCTTTCTTTCCCTGTCTCTTCCTTTCTTTCAGTGGCTGCTCCTTCCCAGTTCTCTTTGCCGTATCCTCCTCCTCTTAGTGATGCCAAATGCTTGGGAGGCCTCTTCTCTGCATATCTAAACTTGCTCTTCATGTGATCTGTCCAGTCTCATGACTTTAAATATCTACATGCAGATGACTCACATTTGTATCTTCAACCCCTGCTTTTCCCCTTATGTAGACACTATTTTAAACATCTTCATTTATATGTCTAATAGACATTTCATATTTAACATTTAAAACACAGGTTGATTTATTTTTTCTCCTAAACCTGCTTTTCACCCACTGTTTACCATCTCAATAGCTGGCAAAACTCTTTACCTGGTTTCACATGACAAAAATAAATAAATAAATAGATAAATCTGAGATCATTATGACTCTTCTCTTCTTTTACATCATGTATCTGTTCCATTAAAAAAAATCCTGTTGGTAGTGCTACCTTCAAAATAAATCCCAAATCTGATCACTTGTGACCATTTCTATTTCTGGTACACTGGTCTAAGCCACCCCTATCTTTTTCCTGGAACTTAGCATTGGTTTCCTAACTAGTCTCCCTGCTGCTTCTACTCTTGCTGCTTCTCCCTCCTTCAAGTCTCTTCTCTTCCTAGCACCTCTAGTGCTCCTATAAAAATCTAAATCTGATCATGGCAAATACTCTAATTCTTCCAATCCCACTTAGAGGAAACTGTAGGAATAAATATTTTGATTCTTTTAGAAAAATACTGATATTCCTCTTATCAAGCAGAGTTTGGTTAATGCTATGGCCTGAATGTGTCCCTGCCCCCACCCCCATATGTTGAAGCCTAAATTCATAATCAGGGAGTATTAAGAGGTGGAGCCTTTGGGAGGTGATTAGGTTATGAGGGCTCCGCCTTAATAAAAGAGGCTTGAGGGAGCCTGTTTGCCCCTTCTACCTTGTGAGGACAGGTGGAATGCGCCATCTAGGGGAGATGGGTTCTCACCAGACACCGGATTGGCTGGTGCCTTGATCTTGGACTTCCCAGCCTCCAGAACTGTGAGAAATAAATTTCTGTTGTTTATAAGCTGCTCAGTCTAAGGTATTTTGTTATAGCAGCCCAAATGGAGTAAGACAATCAAATTTGTTATATGATTCTTTTAGCCCACGTATTCTTTTTGTTGGGATATAATCCAGAATTTATAGAGAAGGAGTGTTTTGTTGATAAACAGTTTCTTACTATCTTTTCCTCAGATCACCCATTTCTCTTAAGTGGCCTGGTCATGTAGTGATGATAGTAAAACTGGTTAAAAAAAAATCATGCCCACGTCTCTTATCTTTCACTATTTTCAACACACTTACAAGATTAGAATGGAAATAAGGTGACATTTATATTAACTTTTTGCTTAGTGGTGCCAAATTAAAGAGTAGATTAATACGCTTACCTTGCTTTTTTGCCAATGATTTTTTTAAGCTTTTTTTGTTCTCCTAGTAGGTTCTTTTGACTCTTCAGTATTTTGGTTAGGCCTCTTTTTTTTTTTTTCAAATTTTCGTCCTGTACCATTATTTATTTCTTTTTCCATCCAGGTTACTAACAGTGAGTCTGAGTGATCCTGTTTTTCAACCTCTCTTAGATTCTGGGGCCTTGTACATCCACAACAACAGCCATACAGGTCTTAACGATGGGGTAGCAACATCTAAAGTATGGTCATTGGAAAGGACACTTATCTATCATGTTCTTTCCTGGGTTGTCATTTAAGGCTGCTTTCTGCAGCATACTTTCTGGTATTTGATTCCAATTTGTTTTAAGGATCCCATATAATTGGACCTCCATCCTTTGGGTAAAGAAAACAGCTCTTTCAGGGAGCAGTCAATTAACCACCCTCAGCCATGCATGGTGCCTTAATAGTGTGGGCAGGGAATTGAGTTACTCTCAACTACTCGCAGGAATATGCCCAACTTAGCCTAATAGTTCCTTGGTTGGTGCATAGTTTGTTAAATCTCCTATGGGAGGCAAAGACTTTATAATTTTTCTGATACTTAATAGAGTAGCTTCAGAGTAAATCTAGTGGTATTTTTCTGAAGTTGTACTCATATTTGAGCTGTTTAACAAGAGAGTAACGTCTCCTAATTTGTCCGGGTCGTGCTCTAGAGAGAAGCTCTTTTTCTTTACAGGATGTAAACTGGATTTCTTAAATCACAAAAAGCACTGACCTAATTTTTTTGTCTCAGTTTTTTTTTTTTTTTGAGCTCTTGTGACCTTGGGGTGATGAATTTTGGTGAGGTGGGAGCAAGGTGTGACAGCATTTGTGGAGGAAAAGGTAGAGCTGGCAGGTCTCAAATTGGCTTCTAAGAGTGTCCCAGTGTCCCAGCCTGACTCACAAGGTGCCTGCTGCAGTTCTGAAACTTTCAGCACCTTGAAATGGTGTTAATTATTTGGATATTGCTTGACTCCTTCCAACCCCTTTAGGTCTTAGAAAAAAGAAAAGATATGATTTTATTGGTGGTGAGGGTGGCTAAATATACACCACTAGAAAATGACATTTTCTATTTTCTCAGCCCAGGCAAGCAATTAACGAGCAAGCTTTCCTGTATGCTTTTCCCCATATTGGACCTGGTGAGACCATGTCTGGCCTCAGCTAAATAGCTTGTGATATGCCTGATTGATACTCTTGGAAAAGGGAAAAGTATTCCAGCAAGGAATCCAAATATAGCACACAGTTATTTAGACTAGCCTACGGCTATGCTAACTGTAACTCTAAACTTAGACATATTCTGGAACCACATGATGCTTTTGTTGGTGATTTTGGGGTGAGTGTTGTGCATTTTTATGTCTCTTCAGGTGGAGGTGCCTAGGCAAAAATGTACTAGACTAAGTCTAGTTTTCTGTGCTCTCATTATATATGTGATAATTGACTCATTTTTTTTACTTTTAATCTTATGAGGAATGCCCTTTGCTAATGTTTCATGAAAAGCTATGGCTGGCCGGGCATGGTGGCTCACGCCTGTAATGCCAGCACTTTGGGAGGCCGAGGTGGGCGGATCACCTGTGCTCAAGAGTCAGAGATCAGCCTGGGTAACGTGGTGAAACCCGGTCTCTACTAAAAAGACAAAATAATTAGCTGGACGTGGTGGCACACACTTGTAATCCTAGCTACTCAGGAGGCTGAGGCACAAGAATTGCTTGAACCTGGGAGTGGAGGTTGCAGTGAGCCGAGATCATGCCACTGCACTCCAGTCTTGGCGACAGAGCAAGACTCTGTCGAAAAGAAAAAAAAAGAAAAAAAGAAAAGCCATGGCTGAAATATAGAACTCACAAAGGTTTACTCTGTTGTTACTAAAGTGCTGAGCACTGATCTGTAAGCCTATGCAAAGACATTGTAGGATGGGCAGCTTATCCCTTTGCTGATTGCTGTAAATTTTACTGAACACCCTAGTAAATTGTACTTGCCACCAAACTAATTCTTGGTTATTGTTGCTGCAAATATCTCTGCTCTCATGGAGCTTATAATCTGGTGGGAAAATATACAACAAACAAACAATTGTATACATAGGTGATTCCCATTGTAATAAGTCTTTCTTCATATGGTGGTTTAGACTTTAAAAAATATTTTTCTCTCCAGATTTTCCAATTTCTTAATAAGACACAATTTTTTGAATTATTAAAAGAAATTCAATTTTTTTTTTGAGACAGTCTCACTCTGTTGCCCAGGATGGAGATTAGTGGTGTGATCTCAGCTCACTGCAATCTCTGCCTCCTGGGTTCAAGAGATTATCCTGCCTCAGACTCCCAAGTAGCTGGGATTACAGGTGTGCACCACCACGCCCAGCTAATTTTTGTATTTTTAGTAGAGACAGGGTTTCACCATGTTGGCCAGGCTGGTATCAAACTCCTGACCTCGTGATCCGCCCACCTTGGCCTCCCATAGTGCTGAGATTACAGGTGTGAGCCACCACGCCCAGCAGAAACTCTCTTCTTTTCAAGCAGTGTTTCTATATCCAAATTTGGCTTTTTTGATAAAATGAAACTAGGTGCTGACTCTGTACTTGTATGCTGTTGGAAATAAATATCAGAGATTTAGTGATATAATACAACTTGAGAATTGTTTGGTACTCCTCTGTATAAACTGAAAATCCTCTAAATCATTTAATAAATATTTATTGAGGGGTTTATTTATGCATGTCACTGTGCCAGGCCCTTTAGGGGATGCATAATGTATCTGCAAAGTGCTTCATATATAATAAGTGATATAAGACTTGTAAAAAATAACTATAGTATAAGGCAGTCTGTGACAAATGTCTTAAGAATGAAAAAAAAGAATAATAAATCAGATAAAAGAGATGTTTCCATTTGATTACATGAGTGATCAAGGAGGCTTTATGAATGGAGTCATGTTTCAATTGGCCTTGAAGGATGGATAGATTTAATTTAAAAATCCAATAGTAACAGCTCATTTAAAAACTTGGAACGTATATAAAACCATAAAGAAGAAAACAAAATTATCCATAATGACACAACTCAGACACAGACACTGTTCTCAGGTGTATCTTTTTCTAGTTTTTGTTGTACACAGACATACATAATTAGGAGTATATTATTCATATAGTTAGGTGACTTATTTTTTCATTTCAATTATATCTTAATCATTTCTTTATTATTAAACAGTTTTAGAAAATGTCATTTTAAACTTATACATAGTTTTCCATCCTATGCATTTCTGATGGACAGACTGAGTCGATGGATAAAGATATAGAAAATGTCATGCAGACTAAAGGAATGGTACTAGGGAGTTTAATGAAAGGATTTTGAGCAATAGAGTGACAGTCAACATGTGGAGAAGATGGTCCAGCAGCCACATTAGGATGGTTTGGAATGAACTGAGCCTGCAGCAGGGAGATGATGCTAGGGCTCAGTTACATTAGCCTGAGTGTCAATTTATGTGAGACTAAATGGAAGAACTAGAATGGAGATGTAAGAGAAGAGGAAGAAAGCATGGGAAATGCTGTGGCGGAAGATCTGAGAAGACGCAGTGACTTATGAAAGTAGAGGGAAAGGGGAAAGAAACAGTCCCAGAGAATCTCAAGGTTTCTAGCATATGGGGTTGGGAGAGGGATTGTACTATTATCAGAAATGTAGACTTCAGAAGGTGAGCTGCACTTGAGAAACTGAGAAATGCCATTTGCTGGAAATTTTCGTTTTATGCCCCTGGAATTTGATATGCCAAACAAAGAGATAAGAATATTTAGCTGGCAACTAAAATACAAGATTAAATCTTATGAGAGAAATGGGGATGAAAATAACTGGTAGTCATTCATTCATTTTTTTCATGTATGCATAAATGCTTTAATGAATGTTTATTGAGCATCGAGCATCATTTATTTCTCCCAGATTTTCTTTTTTTCTTTATTTTTTTTTGAGACAGAGTCTCGCTCTGTCACCCAGGCTGGAGCGCAGTGGCGCGATCCCGGCTGACTGCAAGCTCCGCCTCCCAGGTTCACACCATTCTCCTGCCTCAGCCTCCCGAGTAGCTGGGACTATAGGCGCCCACCCCCACGCCCGGCTAATTATTTTGTATTTTTTTTTAAGTAGAGATGGGGTTTCACTGTGTTAGCCAGGATGGTCTTGATCTCCTGACCTTGTGATCTACCCGCCTTGGCCTCCCAAAGTGCTGTATTTCTCCCAGATTTTCAAATCTGCTAAGTTTTAAACATTTCAACTACTGTATATTTTTTAATTTTCAAGAGCTGTTTAATTTCTGATTGTCCATTGTTCTTGCTTCACGGATACGTGTATTTTCTTAACTCTGTGAGGTATTATAATTTATTTGAAGTTATTTCCAGCTCTATATTTTGTCTATTTTTTTCAGCTTCTTTCTTTTTTACCTGTTTGTTTTGGTCTCTGAGGCTGTCTATTGTAAGAGCTAGTTAGACACCAGAAGGCTGATTGGAAGGGGTGTGTGTGTGTGTGTGTGTGTGTGTGTGTGTGTGTGTGTGTGTTGGTGGTGGTGGTGGTAAGGCTTGTTGGCTAGTGGGCTTCCCTGTGAGACTATTTGGTGATCTGAAGTTCTGGGTTTAGTTTTTTCCAGAGACAGGTGCTCCATGTTCTGCCCTGGGTGTGTGTTAGTTGGGACGGTAGATTTGGGCTTGGGGAGAAGAGGTAGAACTCTGGCTGTTGCTTTTCTGAGGTTCTGTGGGAGAAGAGAACTTGGGCGGAGGGTACCACCATTTTGTATGGAACCTTCATTAATTCTTTCATTTTCAGTTCTGGCTCTGTGTCTGGTGTCTCTCAGTCTGGAGCCTGAAGATAGTTTTTGATTTCCCTTTTGATTTCTTCTTTGACGCATGGGTTGTTCAGGAGTGTGCAGTTTTGTTTTAATGCATTTGTGAATTTTCCTCTTGTTACTGATTTCTGGTAAACATTTTGTTCAGAAAAGATACTCAATGATTTTAATATTCTTGAATTTGGTAAGCTTGTTTTTTGGCCTAACATATTGTCTGTCCTGAAGAATGTCCCATGCGTGCTTGAGAGGAGTGTGTATTTTGCTGCTATAGGATGGAATGTTCTGTATATGTCTGTTAGGTCCATTTAGTCTAATGTGTAGTCCAAGTCTAACATTTCCTTATCATCTGTCTGGATGATCTGTCCACTGCTGGAAGTAGGGTGTTGAAATCCCCTACTATTATTGTATTGCTTCTATCTTTCCCTTCAGATCTATTAATATTTGCTTTATACATTTATGTGTTCCAATGTTGAGTGTATATATATTATATATATATACACTCAATATAATATAATATATATCATGTATATTTATATATGATATATTATATATATATGTATTTTTTTTTTGAGATGGAGTCTCACTCTGTTGCCCAGGCTGGAGTGCAGTGGCACAGTCTTGGCTCAGTGCAACCTCTGCCGCCCGGGTTCAAGCAATTCTTCTGCCTCAGTCTCCTGAGTAGCTGGGATTACAGACACCTGCCACCGCACCTGGCTAATTTTGTATTTTTGGTAGAGACGGGGTTTCACCATCTTGGCCAGGCTGGTCTTGAACTCCTGACCTTGTGATCTACCTGCCTCGGCTTCCCAAAGTGCTGGGATTACAGGTGTGAGCCACTGTGCCAGGCCCAAGTGTATATATATATATATAAAATTGTTATATCCTCTGGTGAATTAGTCCCTTCATCATTATATGATGATCTTCTTTGTCTCTTGTGCCAGTTTTTGACCAAAAGTCTATTTTGTCTGGTGTAAACATAGCTATCCTGGCTTTCTTTTGGTTTTATTTGCATAAAATATCTTTTTCCATCCCTTCAATTTCAGTCTATGTGTATCCTTAAAGCTGAAATGAGTCTCTTGCTTGTAGGCAGCATATAGTTTGGCCTATTTTAAAAAATCCATTCAGCTCTTCTATGTCTTTTGATTGAAGAAGTTAATTCATTTACATTCAAGGTAACTACTGACTGGTGAGGACTAACTACTGCCATTTTGTTAACTGTTTTCTGGCTGTTTTGTACTTCTTTTGTTTCTCTCTTTCTTGCTGTCTTCAGATCAAAGCATACATATTAAATATATATATTATATATTATATATATATTTTGATATATATCAAAATATATAATCATATATATATTTGATTCCATTCTCTTTATCTTTTGTATATCTATTATAGATCTTTGCTCACGTTTATCATGAGGCTTACATACAATATCTTGTAGTTATAACAGTCTATGTTAAGCTGATAACTTTGATCACATACAAAAACTGTACTTTTACTTCTTCCCTCAACATTTATGTTTTTGAGATCACAATTTACATCTTTTTTTATTGTATATCCCTTAACAAATTATTGTAGCTATAGTTTTTTTAACGGTTTTGTAATTTAACCTTTATATAAACACATCTTATTTTATTGTGCTTCATTTTATTGTGCTTCACCGATATTGTGTTTTTTGCAAATGGGAGGTTTGTGGTAGCCCTTTGTCAAGCAAGTCTATTGGTGCCATTTTTCCAACAGCATGTGCTCACTTTGTGTCTCTGTGTCACATTTCAGTAATTCTTATAATATTTCAAAATTTTCATTATTATATCTATTATGGTGGTCTATGATCAGTGACTTTTGATATCACTGTTATAATTATTTTGTGGTACCACAAACTGCATCATATAAGATGGTGAATATAATAAATGTTGCATGTGTTCTGACTGCTTCACTCACTAGCCATTCCCTTTTCTCTCTCCCTCTCCTTGGGCCTCCCTATTCCCTGAGACACAGTAATATTGAAATTAGGCCAATTAATAACCCTACAATGCCCTCTTAAGTGCTCAAGTGAAAGGAAGAGTCACAAGTCTTTCACTTTAAGTCAAAAGCTATAAATGGTTAAGCTTAGTGAGGAAGGCATGTTGAAAGCTGAGACAGGCTGAAAGCTGGACCTCTTGTACCAAATGGCCAAGTTGTGAATGCAAAGAAAGTGTTCTTGAAGGAAATTAAAAGTGCTACTCCAGTGAGTATACAAATGATACGAAAGTGAAACAGCCTATTGCTGATATGGAGAAAGCTTTAGTAGTCTCCATAGAAGATCAAATCAACCGCAACATTCCCTTAAGCTAAATCCTAATGGAGAGCAAGGCCTTAACTCTCTTCAATTCTATGAAGGCTGACAGAGGTGAGGAAGCTACAGAAGAAAAATTGGAAGCTGGCCAGAGGTTGGTTCATGAGGTTTAAGGAAAAAGCCATTTCCATAACATAAAAGTATAACATGAAGCAGCAAGTGCTGATGGAGAAGGTGCCGCAAGTTGTCCAGAAGATCTAGCTGAGATCATTGATGAAGGCAGCTACACTAAACAACAGATTTTCCATGCAAATGAAACAGTTTTATATTGGGAGAAGTTGGCATCTAAGACTTTCGTAGCTGGAGAGGAGAAGTCAATGCCTGGCTTCAAAGCTTAAGGGACAGGCTGACTCTCATCTGCTAATACAGATGGTGATTTTAAGTTGAAGCTAATGCTCATTTAACATCCTGAAAATCCTAGGGCCTTTAAGAATTATGCTCAATCCACTCTGCCCGTGTTCTCTAAATGGAACAACAAGGCCTAGATGACAGTACATCTGTTTAGACATGGTTCACTGAATATTTTAAGCCCACTGTTGAGAACTTCTGTTCAGCAAAATGATTTGATTCAAAGTAATACTGCTCATTGATAATGCACCTGGTCACCCAAGAGCTCTGATGGAAATGTACAGGAAATCAATGTTATTTTCACGCCTGTTAACACGATATCCATTCTGCAGCCCATGGAACCAGGAGTAATTTCAACTTTCAAATCATATTATTTAAGAAATATATTTCATAAGGCTGCCATAGATAGTGATTCCCTTGATGGATCTGGGCAAAGTAAATTAAAAGCCTTCTGGAAAGGATTCATCCCTCTAGATGTCATTAACATTTGTGATTCATGGGAGGAGGTCAAAATATCAACTTTAACAGGAGTTTGGAAGAAATTGATTCAAACTCTCATGGATGACTTTGAGGAGTTCAAGACTTCAGTGGAAGAAGTCACTGCAGATATGGTAGAAATAGCAAGAGAACGCAAATGAGAAGTGGAGCCTACAGATCTGACTGAATTGTTACAACCTCATGATAAAACTTGAACAGATGAGGAATTACTTCTTATGGATGAGCAAAGAAGGTAGTTTCTTGAAATGAAAAGTACTCCTGATGAAGATGCTGTGAACATTGTTGAAATGACAACAAAGGATTTAGAATTATACATACACTTAGTTGATAATGCAGTGGCAAAGTTTGAGAGAATTGACTCCAATTTTGAAAGTTTTACTGTGTGTAAAATGCATCAAACAGCATCACATGCTACAGAGAAGTCTTTTGTGAAGAGTCAGTCAACGTGGCAAATCTTTTTGTCTTATTTTAAGAAATTGCCAGAAATACCCCAACTTTCAGTTAACTACTTCTCTGATCAGTCAGCAGCCATCAGCATTGAGGCAAGACTCTCCCTCCACCAGCAAAAAGAGGACAACCTGCTTAGTCTCAGGTGATTGTTAGCAATTTTTTTTTTTTAGCAATAAAGTACTTTTAAGGTCCGTACATTGTTTTTTTAGACATAGTGCTATTGCACACTTAATAAACACTACAACCTAATATAAATAATACTTTTTTATGTACTGGGAAACCAAAAAATTCATGTGACATGCTTTATTGAGATATTTGCTTTATTGTGGTGGTGTGGAACTAAACCTGCAATATCTCTGAGGTATGACTGTACTAGAGATAAGTAATTTACACACCACCATTACAGAATCAGAGTATTTTGAATTTGACTATGTACTTATTTTGACCAGTGAGTTTTATGTTTTCATACATTTTTATGTGAGTAATTAGTGTTCTTTCATTTCAGATTGGAGAATTCCCTTTAGCATTTATCGTAAAGCAGGTCTAGTGGTGACGACCTCCCTCAGCTTTTGTTTGTCTGGGACAGTCTTTAGATATTTAATTTATTTATTAACTTCTTATTTTATTCATATATTGTTTTCCTAATTTTGTTTTGGCATATGTGTTTTCTGGTAGTTCATTGAACTTTTAAAAGGATTATTCTGAATTCTTTGCTTGTCAATGTATAGATCTCTGTTTCTTTAGCGCTGACTCTTGGAACTTTGTTAGCTTCCTTTGGTGATGTCACACTCCCCTGATTCTTCATGATCTTTTTATCCTTGCATTGGTGTCTGTGCATTTGAGGAAGCAGTCCCTTCTTTCAGCCTTTACAGGTTTGCTTTGGTAGGGAAATACCTTCACCAGTTAGCCCCGCCTGGGGTTGTGGAACAGCCAGCTGATAGTGTCTGTGGGCCAGTGGGGCTTGCTCCTTGGGTCTCTGTTGGGTGTGGCTGCTGCCCATGCCCAAGGTAGGGTGAGGCTGCTGACTGGGCTCCCTGGTTGTATGGGGCTGCTGGCTGTGCTCTGTACTTAATCAGGGTTGCTGCTAGGCTCCTAGATTGACATGGCTGCAGTCTGGGCCTTGCAGTTAGGTGGGCTGTAGGCTGGGCTCCCTGGTCAGGCAGAGCTGCAGGCTGTGCTTTGCAGTTGGGTGTAGGCTGGCTGGGCTCTCTTGTTGGACAATGCTAATGGCAGGGACTTGGTGCCACCGTCAAGATCCTGACACTGGATGCTGTAAGTCCCACTCTCTCTCTTTATTTCTACCTAACTTTAGGTGGTCCAGCCCTGCCAATTCCCTTAGCATTCCCTGTGAGGTGGGATGGCAGTGGATCTCCTAGACTCCCTGGGCCCAGAATACTGGGAAAGCTGGATGTCTGCCTCAGGCTTTCTTTTCCCCACTGGAGAAACTGTAGGTCTAAAGAACTCTACTTGGTGTGGTGCTGTGTGGCCTCAGGGAGGGGTGACATAGTCAAAGCGAAGTTGACCTTTTCCTTCTAAGGTAGTTTTTCTGCATTTTTGAGCTCCACAGTGGATGCTTCAGCCACTTCATCCCTGGGTTCAGGGATTTTCACAAAGGCATTCATGTCTGTGAAGAGTTGCTAGTCAGTATTTTTGTGAGGTGGATTAGAGCCAGGAACTTCCTATTCCGCCATCTTGTTGATGTCCTCCACCTTGAAATTCTGAATCATTTTTCAATGAGGGGCCTTGCGTTTTTATTTTTCACTGAGCCTTACAAATTGTGCAGTCAGTCCTGTAACGGTTGAGTGGAAAAGGTGTAGAATCATTCGCTTCTAAGTGAGAATAGTGGCCATCGAACAGAAGCATCACAGCCAACCTCTTCCCAGGAGGACTAGGGGCAAGGAGGGAGTGCCTTTTGAGAGAATGCACAGTTCGAGGAGTAACAACCCTTTCCCCACTTTTCCCCTGTCTCAAGTGGTGACGGTCATCCCACTTGTCCTCCACCCCAAGAGAAATGGCAATTCTGGAATGGTTCCCTGCCTCACTAAGTTGGGGAATGGGAATCTGTTTTTGTTCAAATGTTGCCAACACAGCTGGGTAAGCATCTGGAAAAACTGGCTATGAGAGGGTGGGCCACGATTCCTCCCACACCAGGCCTTGGGAGGCAAGACTAGTCTGCACTAGGGAAGAAGGGGCAGAGAGCAGGCAAAAATGGTGTGGGGTAGCAGGGAAGTCTTAAAATGAAAATGGGAATGGAGTTTTATGATGAACAAGAGTGTTAAGAACCAGAATGAGAGTGTTTTGATAATCGAACAGTGAAAGCTTGAGGAATTGGGCATTTAAGTATCATTAAATGAACACACCACCCAGAGAGAAGCGGTGTTTAACAGAGCACTTCAAAAAAGAATATGGGTTAGGGGAAGCCGGGGGAAGAAGGTAGAAGAGTGAGGAGGAGAAAGGAAGTAGGAAGTACAGGTGAAATAAGGTTGGTTATAGGTTGATGGTTGTTGAGCAGGTGGGGTACATAAGTGCACCTTGCTGTTTTCTTTCCTTTTTTATATGTGAATGGTTTATAATAAAAAGTTAAAAATTTTTGGCCCCAAACGGATCACCTGAGGTCAGGAGTTTGAGACCAGCCTGGCCAACATGGTGAAACCCCGTCTCTACTAAAAATACAAAAATTAGCCGGGCATGGTAGCGCGTGCCTGTAATCCCAGCAACTCAGAAGTCTGAGGCAGGAGAATCTCTTGAACCCAGGAGGTGGAGGTTGCAGTGAGCTGAGGTCATGCCATTACACTCCAGCCTGGGCGACAGAGGGAGACCGTCTCAAAAAAAAAAAAAATTTGGCCCCAAAATGCTTTAAAAACCTGCTTTGGAATTTTTGTTGTTTGAATATATTTGACCCATTTTAATTTGTCTTGTTTTTTGATTTTTAAGGCATCATGATTTTATCTTTTAATATTCTTTTTGTTTGTTTGTTTTTGAGATTGAATCTCACTCTGTCTCCCAGGCCGGAGTGCAGTGGCGCGATCTGGGCTCACTGCAACCTCCGGCTTCCAGGTTCAAGTGATTCTCCTGCCTCAACCTTTGGAGTAGCTGGGATTACAGGTGTGCACCACCATGCCTGGCTAATGTTTGTATTTTTAGTGGAGACAGGGTTTCACCATGTTGGCCAGGCTGGTCTTGAATTCCTGACCTCAAGCAGTCCACCTGCCTTGGCCTCCCAAAGTGCTGGGATTACAGGTGTGAGCCACTGCACCCAGCCTATATCTATTCCTAGTTTTACCTTTAATTTTTTTATGCCTTTACATTAAAATACCTGTCACTTTTTAATATATTAGCAGAGTCCTAGTCTTACCATTTTACATTTCTGAGTTTCTTGTTCTCTCTTCTTGATATTTTAAAATATTTTTAACTTTTAAATAACTTTAAACCTTAAGTGTCCTTTTCTCTCTCTTTTTCTTTCTCAGCAGCACTAACCTCCCCCACTCTCCTTTAGAGTTTTCCAAAAATTATTTAGGCTAAAAGCACTTTAAAAAACCCTGCCAATCTTATTGTACAGATAGCACATTTTATTTGCTAAACATTATTATTTCTTATATCACACAACTGGTGTCTTCCTGTTTCTAAAATATGCAGTCCTACCACACCATCATTGGCAGCACATATCAGTATATAGGTATACACTAGCGGTTTGCTGTGTCTTGGACTCAAATACTTCGCCTTATATATCTTTTTGTAAAACTCATTTTGGAATATTTTTGCCATTCTGACCATAGCCAGCTCTTAGTTACTTGTAAGAATGGAAGTGTAGAAGTGAGGTTTTTTTTTGGGTTTTGTTTTGTTTTGTTTTGTTTTGTTTTGAGACAGGGTCTTGCTCTGTCGCCCAGGCTGGGGTGCAGTGGCGCAATCACATCTTGCTGCAGCCTTGACCTCCTGGGCTCAGGTGATCCACCTCAGCATCCCTGGTAGCTGGGACTACAGGTGTGTGTGACCAAGCTCAGTTAATTTTTGTATTTTTTGTAGAGACAGGGTTTTGCCATGTTGCCCAGTCTGGTCTCAAACTCCTGGACTCGAGCAATTCACCTGCCTTGGCCTCCAAAGTGCTGGAATTATACGCATGAGCCACTGCGCGCCCAGCTTTTTTGTTTGTTTGTTTGTATGGTTACATCTAATATTTTCTTCAAGCCATTCTAAGGAGACCTGATTCCGAAGGCTCTGAAAGTTCTCCTTTTTGCATTTTTTTCCACACTGCTTGCTTCTTTGTTACATTTTGCTGTCTCTATCCTGAAGTGGCTCTGCACTTTGAAGCAAGGATGATTATTCTGTTTTTGTTTCCATTAAGGGTCATAGAAGTCTAAAACTTCAACCAAACGAATAATTAGGTGCAAAGTATAGGTAAAGTAAATGAAATTTCTTTTAGACCCTGGCTTTACAGGGGGCTAACTGGGTTCTTTATAAAATTGCTGAAGTCTATCATGGTAGACCTTTTAAAATATTTAAATCAGTCTCCTACAAAAAATTAAATACTGTGCACATATGCATATGTGTAAGTGATTTATTCCCAGGATTATGTCAGTATACTAATAGTGGTTCAGTTTCTCGAGGAAAAAGTCATATTAACCAAACTGTTGATGGTTGTATAGATAGAATATTTAATAATCTGCATTAAGAAATCTAAGAGATGGGGAACACTCTTCGTGTAGAAGTATCTTGAAAGGTTTAAAGTCAGAAACTTGGAATTCGGTCAAGGAGGGCTCATAATTCTGTATAAGAGTGCCAGGGAGTCTGAAGAATGTGCAACCATAATAAAGAAATTTTTCTTTTAGGACTGGTCAAGTCCCTGAGTGGGCCATCCTTTTCCTTGGTCAAATGTGTGGATAAGCATTCATTTTTCTGTGTTCCAACCTAACCATTCTTCCTTCTGACCAACAGTTTCTTTCTTTAGGGATGTTATACCATTGATTTGCTCATAGTTATACTCCTACTTCTTCCTATTTCTGGCCCAGACATTCTTTTTTTTTTTTTTTTTTGAAGGTCTCACTGTGTCCTCCAGGCTGGAGTGCAGTGGCATGATGACAGCTCAAAGCAGCCTCAACCTCCCAGGCTCAAGTGATCCTCCTACCTCAGCCTCCTGAGTTCCTGAGTAGCTGGGACTGCAGGCAAGCACTACCATACCCCGCTAATTTTTTAAAAAAGTTTTTTGCCAGGCGCAGTGGCTCACGCCTGTAATCCCAGCACTTTGGGAGTCCAAGGTGGGCGGATCACGAGGTCAGGAGTTCGAGACCAGCCTGACCAACATGATGAAACCCCATCTCTACTAAAAATACAAAAATTAGCCAGGTGTGGTGGTGCGCACCTGTAATCTCAGCTACTCAGGAGGCAGAGGCAGGAGAATCACTTGAACCTGGGAGGCGGAGGTTGCAGAGAGCTGAGATTGCTCCACTGCACTCCAGCCTGGGCAAAGGAGTGAGACTCCGTCTCAAAAAAAAAAAAAAAAAAGTGCTGGGATTATAGGTATGAGTCACTGTGCCCAGCCTCTTCTCATTCTTGTACCCATGGTAGAACTGGCTTTCTCTCATCTTACCACCAGTTGCTTGGTTCCTCAATATTTTGTAGAGATGGGGTTTTTCTATGTTGCTCAGGATTGTGTTGAACTCCTGGAGATTAAGGCTGCAGCAAGATGTGATTGTGCCACTGCACCCCAGCCTGGGCGACAGAGCAAGACCCTGTCTCAAAAACAAACAAACAAAACAAAACTGAAAAATCCTTACTTCTACACTTCTATTCTTACAAGTAACTAAGAGCTGGCTATGGTCAGAATGGCAAAAATATTCCAAAATGAGTTTTACAAAAAGAGATATAAGGCGAAGTATTTGAGTCCAAGACAAGGCAAACCACTAGTGTACAACTGTATACTGATATGCGCTGCCAATGGTGTGTGGTAGAACTGCATATTTTAGAAACAGGAAGACACCAGTTGTGTGATATAAGAAATAACAATATTTAACAAATAAAATTTGCTATCTGTACAATAAGATTGGCCTACACATCTTGATCTCTCAAAGTGCTGGGATTATAAGCATGAGCCATCATGCCTGGCCCCAGGAAATGTTTTGTCTCAGTGATACTTATTGCATATATCTGATTCTTAGGTACTGATTTTTAGCTAATTCTCAAGAATCTTAACTATCACTTTAAGTATTGCCTACAATGAAACAAGTATGATACTATGCTTTGCAACAATATATAAAGTAACATATTTTATTTGATGCTAATAAATATGCTAAATAGAAAACTATGTAAAATTACATATATATGAAATTATATATATAAACATTTCTTTGCTCAGTGAGATAAATACTTTTAAACTTTCTTGATTTGGATGTCTTGAGGTCTGTTTTTGACAAATTCAGTTAAGAAAAAGATCCTGGAAACCACTTGTTGAGAGCATTAACAAATGATTGTACGCTTGACTAATGTGCAAATAATACTCGATGTATAGGTTGTAACACTCTGCATTGTGATTTAGGCTCTGGCACAGTTATGAAATCATTTAACAACCACTGATTATTTCACCACTTAAAATAGCAAGGTAACTCACTGACAATTAATGAGTGGATGTTTTCTAATTATGTAATAAAAAAAAGTACCGTTTGTATTTTAGAAATTGATAGTAAGGAAGTTTAAGGTGATAAAAATTGTATTAAATTACAACTGGGATCACAACTCTGCTTAGCACAGACTCATCGCATGCGGCAAAAGATACCAGGGCCCTCTCCGTAGAGTGTCGTACACCTCAGCTAAGCAGACATTATTTGCAACTGAATTATAATCAGGTCTAAAGTATAGTATCTTAAAATTTAAATGCCCTGCTATCTACACTTATTTTAATTAGTGAAAAAATTATTGCAAAGCACAGATTAAAGCCTGTATGTCTGAGATGGTCAATGAAGATTTGTTGATGGATTAGACAGATCATTGCACTTCATTTGTTCAATGTCAAGCATTAAAGAGGGCTCACATCCTTAGACACTAGCACATCTTGCTAAAAAGTCTGATGTTTGCTCCTGTTTCCAACATTTGAAAACTTTAGGGTTCTTCCCATTCTTGTGTTTGTTTGTTTGTTTGTTTGTTTGAGACTGAGTTTCACTCTTGTTGCCCAGGCTGGAGTGCAATGGCGCCATCTTGGCTCACTGCAACCTCCACCTCCTGGGTTCAAGGGATTCTCCTGCCTCAGCCTCCTGACTAGCTGGGATTACAGGCATGTGCCACCACACCTGGCTAATTTTGTATTTTTTGTAGAGATGGGGTTTCTCCATGTTGGTCAAGCTTGTCTCGAACTCCTGACCTCAGGTGATCCACCTGCCTCAGCCTCCCAGAGTGCTGGGATTATAGGTGTGAGTCACCGCGCCCAGCCTCTTCTCATTCTTGTACCCATAGTAGAACTTGCTTTCTCTCATCTTACCACCAGTTGCTTGGTTCCTGAATATTTTCTCTCCTCTTTCTAGCTGGAATCCCCCAACAGGAGCCCCACTCTCCCATGCCTAGGAATACGTACTCCAAAAATATTGAAACTTGTGTCCAGAGATGTGTCTGCTAGGACATTCAACAACCTAAATGTTCATCAAAAGGAAAATCATTAAATGAATGTATAGCCATGTACATCCATATAGATATTATTTGCATGATTATATTTATAAACCTTATATATATACATATCAATTGTGTATCTGGTACTAGAATGTTTTCAAAACATTTACACACTAAATTCTGAGCAATGGCTGTCCAAGAAAGTGGAGGAGGAGTTAGTTGAAGGATTGTGGCAGAATAGGTAAACTTTTACTTTTTATACTGTGTACTTCTGTATTTTTTGAAAAATGGCCAAATGAGCATCAAAAGATTGAATGATATACATAGGTTTCCTCTAGCTAATATTTTATCTAGATTTCATTTTTCTATGAATCAGAGATCTTTCCCATTTCTCTTTGCTTGTTCTGATGATAGATGATTCCATCTTGTGATTTCTCTGTCAATTTGTAAATTAATATGACTTTCTGAGTAAATAGTTTGGATGACATTTCTTTCTTGATATCAGCATTTCTGAAAGAGTGTAGACCACTAAAAACATAGTATGAGTTATTTGTCCTGCATTCCCTTGAGACATAATGTTGAGCTTGAAAGTAGGTTTAGTTTTTTGAATACACAGTTCTTGGTTTAATAGTTAAGTGTCAGGCCAGGTATGGTGTCTCATGCCTGTAATCCCAGTACTTTGGGAGGCAGAGGCAGGTAGATCACCTGAGGTCAGGAGTTTGAGACCACCCTGGCTAACATGGTGAAACCCCATCTCTACTAAACATACAAAAAAAAAAATTACCCGGGTGTGGTGGTGCATGCCTCTAGTCCCAGCTACTCAGGAGGCTGAGGCAGAATAACTGCTCGAACCTGGGAGATGGAGTTGTAGTGAGCCGCGATTGCACAACTATACTCCAGCCTGGGTGACAGAGCGAGACTCCATCTCAAAAAAAAAAAAAAAAAAAAAAAAGTTAAATGTCTGCAGAATGCTAGATACACAATCATATGTAGAATAGCATGTTGTGCATTCATTATTTCTACAATATGAACCAAAAAAATGCAAAAATGCGTACAGAATGAGGAACGAAAGAACAAGCAAGTGTATTTTATTTATTATGATAATCCTCCTCAAGTCCCCTCTTTGCGCTTTTGATCTAGGTGAAAGCAAGCTGGGAACCTAATTAAACCAGCGCTAGAGACGCCAGGAGATACAATGCACAAAAAACCCCGATTCTGATCAACCAGATTTTGAAGTTGAGGCTAATTAAGGCAATATACAAATAATCCCTGCAAGCAGTGACATTTAAAAATGCATGTTCGGTATTCTGAAGCAGTTATGTAAATTATCAAGAATAAGACTCCAGAGGAAACGTAAAAATGCAGGCTGAACTTTTAATACCTTTTGGTTAATGTTTTTATTAGACTTAATGTTTGCTGGGGGACCGTGTGTTTGGAGGTAATCTGACAACAAAAATGTAGCCCATGACATGAGGAGCCATGGAGGAGGGAAGCCACCAAGAGGGAGACCTGTAGTTAAGGGTCGATAATAACCATAAAAGTAAGAAAACTAATGACATTCTCTCTGGTTCTGTGGCAGTTTTGAGCCTGCCTGCAAGGTAAGAAGCAGAACCAAGATGCTGAGGTGTGGCCTTAGTGCTTATGAGGTTTACACCTTGGATAGAGTCTTAGAATGGGGATGACAAAAATTTTAACTGTGAAATTGTATCATATAAGTTACAAGTCGCATGGACTTTCAAAGAATTCTAGTTCAGAGATTTCTGTAGGACGAGTAGGTAATGTGGCAATTTCTGTTTTTACATATCTGGGAAAACAAATGCAGAATATTTAATATTTCTAAGATCATGCAGCTGGCCAGTGGCAAAATGGGGAACTGACCCCTGGGGTTCTCATTCTCCCTTCTATAAGATATCTGCAAATTCTGGGGGCAGTAACTTCTGGCACAGTTGCCTCTAGAAGCAATTCTATTAACACAGGATGTAATATCATCATGAATTTCTCCCTGCTCCCCTCCCAATTATGCTTCCCCATTCCTTCCATCTTTTTCTCCTATACCATTGGCATTGGCCAACCCTTTCTTAAGACCTTCTAACTTTTCTCCCCTCCATGGCATTTCATCTTTGTATATATGTTCAGAGATCATCCTAGACATTGTGAATTCTCTTGTATACTGTCAGTTCTATTCTGGTTGGGTGCTTCTTTTTCTCTTGGTAGGAGAGAAGAGGAGAAATTGTGCTGATCTATTTTATGTAGCTCAGAAATGAATTTCTAGAGCCTCAGAGACTTATTAGAACTGGAAATGTGCTCCACATTTTGCCTATCAACAAAGCCTAATCAAGAATACATTCTTTGCCAGCAACATTCAAAACGGAGATGATTCCAAGCTGTGGCTTGGAAATAAACTCCTTTTATTGCATTTCAATTTATAGTGTTCTTTGCTTTCATTTTGCATAAATATTCAGGGAATTTTCCCATGTCGAAGAACCTGATATACAAATTAAGATATTTCAAGTAATGTCATTTATGATCTGTGGAGAGATCATTTTGGGTTGATATGCGATACTATTCTGAGTTTCAGACAACCATCTATGTACTTAGAATGTGCTCCTACATACACTTCTCACAGGAAGACTAATTGTCTTGGGATTAACAACATAATTTAATGGGACTGGTGTATTATTCAGACCTCAATTTGCAAACCTGTGGGTGTTCTTTTGTTTTTGTTCTCCTTTTCTTTTTTTTTTTTTTTTTTAGCTTTTCTTTGATTTTCCTCCCCACAAGCTCTCTCACGGGACACAGCTTGCAGAGCTGCTCAAAATTAATTTAAGACCCCAAGACAAATCACCAGTTCTTTGATTGATTTGTAGTAGCAGAATCAGGTAACATTTAAGAGCAGGATAAACAATATGTGAAGTATTCATGGAGATGGAACTGTTGCTCAGGTTGAACAATTCAAAAGTTTGGAAACTGCTATTTGCAAATTCATCTTGTGGATCTTCTTGTTGGAATGCTGCTTCTAACTAAAAACAAGGAAGAAAAAAAATCAAGTGGAATAAATGTTTAAGTTCCCAGAACCAGAAAAAATAAAACAAATCTCAAATACTCACATTAAATTAACCCTGGATTTATCTTGCTAACATGGCAAGTCATTATATACTTAACACAATTGAGATACACGATTTTGATGAGCGGACCATTTCTTGAAACAATATTTTCACAGTACGTGAAATATAAGAGCTTGGGATAACACCAAATTAACCCTGAGGGAGACAGTCATTGACATGTTCATGATTTTATATGGGAAGCTGAGGAGAGTAAAGCTGAAAAATCCGATAGATAGACAAGTCTCAAGCTGTGAATACATGTGTTTTCAAAGTCCATTTAAAATTGGTAGTCTCTAACTTTTCAGCACATTTTCCTACAATGATAATAGTGAATTCTCAATAATGTTAGCTATGGGCTAGGCCCTTTCTAAGTGCTTATGTGAATTGTCTCATTTAATTCGTTCAAAAATCCTGTGACTTAGATTATAGTTAACCTAATTTTGCAGAAGAATCTGAGGCTCAGAGAGATTAAATTGTTCAAGGTGACACAGCTGGATTCCGGGCAGTTTGACTCTAGAACCTGTATTACTACCCACTTTGTACATAGAGTTGATGGTATTAATCATAATTAGATTCTGTTCTGATTATCTGTTATTGTATAACAATCTACCCTCTTCCGCCTGCCAAATTTTTTTTTGCTCACAATTTTATGGGTCAGGAATTTAGAAAGGGCACATCCGGGCAGTTTACATTTGTCCTACCTGGTGTCAGCTGTAGACTGAGGCTGGGGGATTCACTTCCAACAGGGCTCACATGGCTGGCAACTTGGTGTTGGCTGTCAGCTGGGAACCGGATGGAGGCTGTTGGCCACGGTCCTTGGTTCTTCTCGACAAGGGGCTTTCTGTGGGCCTGCTTAGGCTTCCTCACAGGATGGTGGCTGGATTCCATGAGTGAGTGTTCCAAGAGATATAAAGTCGAAGCTGCCAATTTCTTATGGTCTGGGCCTGGAAAACTAGTACAGTGTTATTTCTGTTTGTCAAAATTGTGATAGAGGCCATTTAGATCCAAGGAGAGGTGGTCTGCTTCTCAGTGGAAAGAGTGGCAAAGAATTTGCAGTCATCCTTAATCTACCACAGGTACCCCAAATAGACCATAAAAGCCCACTTATTTACCATGTGACCTAGATTAATGTTCCTCAAAACTTATGTTCCTCAAAACTCTTCCTATATCAGGTTAGTTTTAATTTAAATCTTACTTTTTCTTTTTAGAGATAGGGTGTTGCTCTGTTGCCCAGGCTGGAGCACAGGGGCATGATCATAGCTCACTGCAGCCTTGACCTCCTGGGTTCAAGCGATTCTCGTGCCTCAGCCTCCTGAGTAGCTGGGACTACAGGCGCTCACCACCATACTGGCTAATTTTTTTTTTTTTTTTCTGGTAGAGATGGGGTGTCACCATGTTGCCTAGACTGGTCTTGAACTCCTGGCCTCAAGCAATCTGCCAGCCTCAGCCTCCTAAAGTGTTGGGATGACAGGTGCGAGCCACCGCACCTGGCCAAAAGCTTAACTTTTAAAAAACGTTTTCTTTCAACTCTTATGGTTTATGATTCTTTGAGACAAGGGTGCATTATTTTAAAATATAAAATCCCTAGAACAGAGTTGGGATTCTATATATGTTTGTCATTTTTCCTTTTGCTCTAAGCAACCATAAGATTTAACAAACAAAGAATTAGGGCCAGGTGTGGTGGCTTACGCCTATAATCCCAGCATTTTAGGAGGCTGAGGCAGGAGGACCACTTAAGCAAAACCCGTCTCTACAAAAAATGTAAATATTAACCAGGCATGGTGGTGTGTGCCCATAGTCCCAGCTACTAGGGAGGCTAATGTGGGAGGATGGATTGAGCCTGGGAAGTTGAGGCTGCAGTGAGCCATGATTATGCCACTATACTCAAGTCTGGGTGCCTTAGTGAGATCCCTTCTCAAAAAAAAAAAAAAAAAAAAGAACAAAGAATTTGGCCAGGGGCAGTGGTTCATGCCTGTAACCTCAGTGCTTTGGAAGGCTGAGGTGGAAGGGTCCCTGGATCCCAGGAGCCCCAGGCTGCAGTGAGCTATGATTGGCCATAGCACTCCAGCCTGGACAACAAGGTAAGACCCTGTCTCTAAATAAATAAACAAATAAAACCCAGAAGAACAAAATGGATTGTTTCTAAGTGCAAATATTCTACTTTATCGGTTGGGCATGGTGGCTCATAGCTGTAATCCCAGCACTTTTGGAGGCCGAGGCAGGTGAATTGTTTGAGGTCAAGAGTTCAAGACCAGCCTGGCCAACATGGCAAAACTCCATCTCTACTAAAAATACAAAAATTAGCCAGGTGTGGTGGTATGTGCCTGTAATCTCAGCTACTTGGGAGGCTGATGCAGGAGAATTGCTTAAACCCAGGAGGTGGAGGTTGCAGTGAGCCGAGATCGTGCCCCAGCGTTCCAGCCTGGGCGATGGAGTAAGACTCCATCTCAAAAACAAAAACAAAAACAGAAAAACAATAAAACCCAAATAGTCTACTTTATCTTTTACAGCATAAACATTTCATTTTCCAAGTTGCATAGTAACATTTCCTTGTCTGTCATCAAACTCCATATCTGTGGGTTTTTTTAGTAGGGGCAGGGCCTATGTCTAATTCATCTCTTATACTGAATTCCCAGAGTAAATACAGTAACCTGGGAAATAGTAGGCACTCAAAAATGTTTCAGGAATGAAATTTAACAGGCAAGAAAACAACTTGAAAATCTAACGTGTTGATTCCTAACAAAGGAAAAAATGGATCAGGTGGTGTGACAGTTTAATACACGTGTTTTTCATTTTAAATGTTTTAACACAATTGTAAACAAGAGGCACACATCATCCTATTCTGATAAATTTAAAATATACAAAGTTAATATTAATGCACAATTATGAGGATGTATATCTACCAAGGGCTATTGATTGGCACCTCAAAAGGTAAGACCTCTTTGTCTTTCTAGTGAAAATGTATTTTAATCTAATTGTATGCCATCAGGCATTTTCCATTTAGCTAAAGTTAGCTAAAGTTAACACGAATATCAAATACTTGGCCTGAAGTTCCATCTACTTAGTTTGATTTAGAGCAGCCGTGTCCCACTTGCGGCCCACGGGCCACATGCAGTCCAACATGGCTTTGAATATGGCCCAACACAAATTAGTAAACTTTCTTATAACCTCAAGAATTTTTTTGTGATTTTTATTTTTATTTTTTAGCTCATCATCTATTGTTGGTGCTAGTGTATTTTATGTATGGCCTAAGACAATTCTTCT
This sequence comes from Homo sapiens, assembly GCF_000001405.40. Taxonomy (NCBI): domain Eukaryota; kingdom Metazoa; phylum Chordata; class Mammalia; order Primates; family Hominidae; genus Homo; species Homo sapiens. The sequence goes on from NC_000014.9 coordinate 36,051,293, forward strand.
TCTTCCAATGTGGCTCGGAGAAGCCAAAAGATTGGACACCCCTGATTTAGAGTTTCTCTTTTGGTCTTTTATTTCTTTCTCAGAAATAAAGAATAAATAAGACTGAACATGCAGAGCACTAGTTAGCTTGAACATTGGCCTTTTAGGTACCAAGCATACATTTGGATTTCCTTCTGCCACCCAAGGCCTGTGAAATCATATTGTTAAGCTGCCTCATAACACATCTAGGGGCCTCTGAAATTCTGGTCTGAGAGTTCTGGGATTATTAAATCTTGCCTAAGTTCAGAAGTGCCACTCACTGTTCACATGTGGAGAAAAGGGTTTATAGAAATTATTTCCTTCAGCAGTAGATTAAAATATTTATTTTAAAAAAAGCAAAATCAAGGAAAAGAGGAGTAGACCACACTAATAATCCACTATATAAAGGTATGTTCTTAATCTTCAATTGAAACATTCATATGTGAATAGCTAATCTTCAGGACATTGGCTCTCACAATTTTTGATGATGAATAATCCAAATTCATTGCTTCTCTTCCTATTAAAATTTGTCCTGTTTAAATAAGTGCTCTAATTCCTGTTTTGCCCCAGGTAGCAATTTAGCAAACCCATGAGTAGAAAGGAAGTTCCAAAGAAGACTCTTAAATAAATGCATTTGGCTACTTATTTTGTACTTTAGTAACAGCTCACAGACTGAAAAATCAGAATTATTTGGTAAAAGTAAGTGTGAATATTTATTCTTTATAGATTTTATTAATGCTTGTGGTCTTTTCAATGACTGCTGTGAGTAATAAAGATTAGCCTTTTACGAGGTTGAAGACCTGTACATAAGAAGGACTAACATTGAGAGCACAAGATGTCAGATTAAAAGATAAAAAATATGCATAGAAATTCTTACCCTTAAACATTTAAGGAAGATAGTCTGCAAATAAGTAAAAATCAGGTCTTTTAAATGATGATGAGGATGATGATATGGTGATGATGATGATACATAAAGGTAATGACAATAAAAACCAAAATCCATACTCTGCACATACATTTGGAAAAGATAATAAAATAAAGTGGAAGAATTCAGAAAGGTGACTAGTCTGAGCCAGCTTCTCACCTCCTTTACATACTTCCCCAACTCCAATCAGAACACTCCAGTACTGAAATGGGAAATGATGAACCAGGGCATTTAAAAAACCTCACCTCTAATTTCATTAAGACCAATTGCAAATGACTTATCTCAGAGAAATGAAGCAACTTCATCCCAGCCATTTCAATGGGGCGTTGCGTTTCAGAAGCACACACAAAAAATTATGAAAATGAGTATGCATGAAGGTTTAATAGCTAATTTTCCAAGTTGATTATCTTGGCCAGTTCATTGGGATGCTCTTGCTTCTTTGCTAATTTAATTTGTTTCATCCTTTTTATTGTTTCCTTTAAATAGCAATTAGGGAAGATAGCACTCCATTTTGCCTCCTACTTGCCCTTTTGCTAAATCATGATTTCACCCTGTGCCAGATAGTTATGGGTGTATGAAAAGATGGCACTGGTGAAAGGCAGAGCGGTGAACACACTTGACTCAAGCCTGAGGAATCCAGGAAAAAGTTGCCAATGATGAAAATTGTGTGTGTGTGTGTGTGTGTGTGTGTGTGCGCGTCCACATGTGTGTGTAGTGAATACCTTAGAACAATTCCTTTATTCACATATTCAGAAGTGTAAAACATGCCTATTTGGAAGTACAGATTCACTTACATAATGTCTACCAGTGTGCTGCAGTTATTTAAAAGCTAGCTATCAACTTGGTAAGATATGGGAACTTTTCTATTTTGTACCTACTGTTTTAAAACTGCTGTATATATTTGTACACGTGACAAGCAGCTATTAAATGTTATAATGATTTTTTATTATACTGTCATTAAAAGGCATTTATCAAGTGCTTGTTTTAATGTAGCCCTATCTTAGGTGAGAGAAAAGAGGGCCTCCTTGATATGTAACACTCCACTGATAAAATTTGCAGTCTGTTCTTAAAACACTGTATATTCTGATGAGGAAAGTACAAAAGGTCTCAACATGTATTAATTTTATGCCTTTTTTTGTAGGCAAAAGAAGTAGGAAGAACAGTTTCTGTTCTCAGGCAGGTCTATTTGGGGATAAAAATAGAATATGAAATAGAATGCAATAAACAAATTACATAGCTATACTTTTTGAAGTCCAGGTCGGGCAGTGAGGTTAGGCTGGAAGACCTCTTAAGTTGTGAAAGCTTGGTTAAAGATAGGAGTTGACATGGCCTGAGTGTCAGCCAGTGGGGTTCTCTGTCACCAGATGGCTTTGTTAATTTGCAAAGTCCACAAAAAGTCATCAATAGTCATTGCTCTCTTTCTCTACCGAGTCCCTTAGTCTTCGGGCTCATTTCATCCAAATTAATGAAAGGAAAATCTATAAACAACAGCTTTATTGGGAGTTAAATCTCTAAGGAAAAAGCAGAAATTTGTAGATCTTCAAAGCAGTGTTTGCTCTCAGGTATCTCCTTTTATGTTTATTTATTTATGCCCTATTAGGAAGTATTTTCATTGTTTTTCTTAGAAAAAGTTTTCCAGACACTAACAGCTCACAACATTTCAACAGCAAAGTTATTAGTTGAGAGAAGGGTTTTCAGGAGTTGGGGATTCTAGAGTATGAGGAAGAAATGTTGGTATCCCGCTTCATTATAGATGGATGGCATAGGTCATAAATGGGAGACTCTGGCTGCTAAGCCAATATCAAAACCCACTGGACTGGCATTTCCTTCTACAGAGTTTATTTTCCTTCCTGTTGTCTTCCTGTCCCACGGAAATCCCTGCCACCATGTAAAGCCCACTGGCAGCTAGCTTAGGCTCCAGTCTTCCCCCTTGGGTAGGAAAGGGAGTGAAGGGAAGGTCACTCCTGAGTTTCCATGCTTTCCTCTTTCTCTCCTTGAGGTGGTTCTTCTGTCTTCTCCTTTTCTTCCTCTCCTCCCTGTTTCTCTGGCAGCTTCTCTTAAGCCTTTTCTGAAGGTGTTACTATCACTCCATCCCAGGTAGATATTTTGGAAGCAAGATGGCTGGCATCGTCCTCCTGGCCAAGGATCTTCCTAAAGCCACCAGAGGATTCAGACCAGAGTCAGAGCTGTGTGGCAGACCATGTCCTGCAGTTGCATGGTCATGACTGTGTGTACTCTCACAGGGGTCAGTGACACCCAGTGACCCTGGTGGGAACTGTCCTGCAGCCAGAATTTGCAAGCAATGCTCATATGCAACATTTAGGGCCAAAGGCTGTCTGGTGAGGTTGTTCATCACAGCAGAATGACCCAGTAGGTCAAGGATCCAGAATGTGAGTGGCTCAAAGCCAGGAAGACAAATCCTCAAGTCCTTGAGTAGTCTGATGAGAACTTTATGGACTGAGAGGCACTTCTCTCAATCCAGCAGGCAGGGCAGATGACTGCCAAGGCATTCTGCAATACCTTGCTATCCAAATAGACTTTGGGGTCCAGTTTTCCAAGATTGAGTGACACTATTGTAATGAGAATCTTCACTGGAGCATCAGAAGAACTGATTTCAAGCCAGTTTTGTTGGTCAGCACGGTCAAAACTTCAGAAGAATCTTGTGCTCTGAGGCTTTCCAAAGCTTTGTTCCCCAGGGCAGTAACAGCTTCCAGTGTTGGCAGAGTCTTTAGTATTATCACCAGGGCAGCTGCACTGTGGCCTGTAGCCATCTTTCTCTTTTAGTACGATCCCACCTGTCAGACTTCTTGAATTTGCACTTCAAATTAGAGCCACAATCAAATTATCAGTCACGTTGTTTATTTTTGTCACCAGAGAAAGGACAGAGTCCTGTTCAGCAGAGTTGGGAGCCAGGTACTGATCTCTCTTCAGCAAGGCCTCACTGAAGGACATTTCATCAGGTGCTGGCTTGACCCCTGGGAAGGCCATTTCACACAGATGGAAATCAAATGGGATATGTGGCACAAAGAGCCTGAACCCTCCTCTTGGGCCTCTTCTGGAACCAAAGCGCCCACCACGACCATGGCTTCTGTCATCTCTCATGGCACCTTAAATCCCCCACACTGGAGGCTGCACTAACCACCCCTTTCCTCTCAGATACCTCATTTTAAATCATGGTAGGCTTAAACTTTATAAGCCTTTAGCATTACACATTCCATTGTTTATCTTTCATTCTCTAGCATTTATGAAGGTAGAATTTTCCTCTCCAAATTGTAATGTGATGATGAAATAGCAGAAAAGATCTCACTTTTCTCCCCTTGGAAGAAATATGGAATTCAGAAATACAGTCTAGAATCTGTCCTCAGCTCAGCCATTCCTGATTCAGTGTTACAATTGTCCAGAGAGGGCAAATTGCCTTTGGAGCTGAGAGGGTCTGTTACAAGATTCTCTAGTTATTCCTGTAACTAGAATGCATTAGCCTTAGAAGAGGTGTTTGTATACTGGGCGAGGGATCCTAGTTTGAATGAATGAATGAATAAGTGAGGAATCTAAAAAGCCATTGGGAGGCTTAAAGAATGGCAGCTCCTTCTCTGGCTCTGCTGTGAGTCATCATTGGGAAAATAAGCAGCCTTCACTTTAGTAGAGGGCAAGGCAGCATCCTCAGTGGAAATCCTGCCATGCAGTTGGAGTTAGTGTTCTGGGAAAAGGCTGAGAGTTCAGCAGAGTTTATGAACTTGGGAGTTGGAATTCTAGAAGAGCAGCTATGGGAAGATGATTTGCTAAGGAAGAACGTAGAACCAAATTGGAGTGTGTGTGTGGGAGGGGTGGGATGACTAGAGAGGCTTATATTTTGGCAGCTTAGGAAGACCTGGGTGAAATGGAAGGTCAGATGAAACGATCTCAAGCTTCCATTGTGAAATTGTTTCCATTCTGCAGCTTCAGGGGTATGTGTGATCTTGTCATCTTTCCTCTGTCCTATAATCTCTCCACAAGGCCTGTGCTCCATACAGTCCAGCACATAGTAGGTGTTCAACAAAAATTTATGGATACCATGACTTCATTAAGAAGCATACAGACAGGAAATGCAGAATACAGGCTTAGGTCTTCATTGCTCCTAACTGCTAGACCTTCTGTGTCTCCAAATTATTTTTGTTAAGTTAGTTCAAATACTTGCAGTGCTTTCCTGTAGAAGACGGATTCAGCCAGTTCAAAACTACCTCTAAGGGCAGAACTGAGGACACTGGTAGAAGTTAGTGGGAAGTAGATTTTGGCTTAGAATTTTCTAATAACTAAATTTCAGAATTAAAAGGGTACTGTTTTTTAAAAAGTAGTGAGCCTCCTAACACAGGAAGCATGCAAGTAAAAAACTGCATGTCTATGTCTTAGGGATGTTTTAGAGAGGATCCCTTCCACCACCAAGAGTTTCGTATTATTTCTGTTATTGTGTTAAGTGATGGTCTAATATGATAAAATACAAGTAATCTATTTTGGAAAGGAGACATAGATACAATTATTGAAAAGCACAATAGAGAAAAAGATTGCATCTATATTATTGTTATATAACCATATGCCAATATGTCTAGTACATAGTATTAGAAAATGTGTCAGGGTGTAATAAGTAACTTTTTAGAATGCCCTATGCAGAATGTAGAAGCAAATCTGAATTAAAAATGCAGAAACTGAAGAGGACTGGAGTCATTAGGGAAGGCTTCATGGGCAGCTGGTTCTTTAACAGGGCCTTGGAAAAGGTTAGAATGAGGACAGGCAAAGGGGAAGTCCCTCCAGGGAGGACTGTGCAGGAGTATTAGTGGGAGGAGGTGTTGGGAGGAGGCAGGATGATTGGCCTCACTCAGGGTCTCTGTACGTATGTGCTTTGCACAGCGAAGATGGGAACAATCAATGGTCATTTGAGGAAATGACACACACTTAAATCCCTCTTGTCTGAAATCCTGCAGTATCCTGAGTTCCATTGGCCTGCGGGCTGAGAGACCTGGGAGTCCCAGCTGGGTTCCTAACTAGCTGTTTGGTCAGACACATCACTTAACCACCCTGAGCCTTATTTTTCTCAATTATAAGCCAAGACAGTTGGTTAAATCAGTGCTTCTTAAACTTTAATGTGCAAATGGAGAGATTGTTAAAATGTAGCTCTGATTTCATGGGTCGGGGCAGGGCTTGAGACTCTGCATTGCTAACAGGCTCAAAGGCGATGGCGATGGTAGGGTCAGCAGACCACCCTTTGAGCGGTAAGGGGTTGTATGACTTACGTGCCTCCGTGATATGAGCACTCTACAAACTAGTTTTAATTATGGTCTCATACTTTTTTTTTTTTTCATAGTTGTTTTCTTATTAGGTAATACGATTGAGAAGTATCTAGCACAGAGCTGAGTCCACAGTGGGTACTCAGTAACATTTGTTTATTCACGTCAAGTTTCTCCCTTGGATACTCTGCTTACCTTAGAAATGCAGTCGTTTTTGTTCAGTCCTGCATTTCAAACATGTAGTGCAGGTTCAGCAAATCTAATAAAACTCAAAGAAAAATCTCAGTGCTTTTTAGATCTCTTCTCTTATCTCATGACTCCTGTTTCTTCCAGTAGGAAAGGAAGTAATGTGCTGTCTAAATATCTGATTGTTGTGTTGCTTTAGGGAAAAACAATTAGATTGCCTTGCCATTTGCCAAATAGATGGAATGAAGGTTTCACTCCATTAACACTCATTCCATGAGTCATTCTAAATTCTTGACAGTATGCCAATAAACCCCAGTTAATTCACCAAAATTGCCGCTGGTAGCATTTTGCCTCTGCAGGTAACCAGCAGCACTGTAATCACTTACTCCACAAAGATAATGAGGTTGTATGGTTTTTATTTATGCTACCAATTTGTTTTAATATTGTTATTGTTCCTTTTATAGTAAGGCAGATTGGTCTCTGTCTTAAAGGACTGAGAAAGAAGGGATATTAAGGTTCCCAAACTGAATGTAAGTATTAATATTGAAAATAGTATTATTGTTTTTTGGACTGACAGTAGTAATTTAGAAGTGTTCTCAAGAGGTTGTATTGATTGAATATATACTTATTTGATTCTTCAAGATTTTTACCAGACTCCAGTTGGCTTCTAACAAAAGGTTTATACAGATAATGAGATTCCTTCCAGTTCTAAAACACTATAACCTCATGAAATATGACCAAGAGTAATGTACACACAGGACAATTTACACTTGGAAAATGAAGTCGAGCAAGTTGTTCCTGAGGTTTTTTGCTTGCCAACTAATGTAAGACAATATCATTGAAAAGAAAGAAGAGAAAATACAGATACAAGCATTTGTCCTTCAGGGTAATCTAATAACTCAGTAATAAGAATCTGTCACACAAATTTGGTATGAAATCTCTGCAAATTAGAGAAATCCATTACAACAATCAATCTAATAGAATATCAACATACCTCTGAATTTGTTTTGTAAAGAAATATGCTGTCTGTACCCAAGCCATATTTAAGGGTTATTCCATAGTTTATTTTGGTTGAGAAAAACTAATTTGAGTCACTAGACTTTAGATAAGTGTCAGAAGTCCATATTTAACTCGTTTAGGCAAAAGGGATATTTAATGGAAGGATCTTGGGGTAGCCGACATGACTGAAAGAAGAGTAGGATGACCAAGTCACCAGCCGGGCAGGAAGGAATGCAGTGGGGCCTCAGGAACCCTCAAACCAGGAACCAGCTTGTCAGGACTTTGTCTCTCTTTTTGGTTTTTACTTCTCTTGGTGCCGGCTCTATTTTCTCCCACTGCAGACCAGCTTTCTCCACTTGGCAGTTAATGGGGCTGTTGACACCTTGCATGGGAGTTCTTTTACAACTTCTTCTATCAGAGAGACAGACTGACTCTCCCAGATTAATTTTTTTAAAAGGCTAGGGGAGAACTCTGGGTGGCCGGGTCAGGTGGCTGCTCAGCCTTGGATGCCAGCTGTGTCTAGGAGGGCACGATCAGGTAAGAACATGCCACATTTTCCTGTAACCACATGGTTGGAGTTGGGAAGGGGGAAATTAATTGAACATGAGGGAGGAATACATTTGCTAAAAGATGGAGGCCAGTGGCTGGGCAAGGACTCCCAATGTGTTGGTCCATAAGATAGTTTGGAGTAGCACCCTATCCTTGCTTTAATTCTCCTTGCCCCTCTACTGCTTACAGCAGGTTGGGAATTCTATGCTAGGTGTTCTATAGTCCTATCATATAAGCTGCAGGGGTCTTGCACTGTCTACTCCTTAGAAAACAAAACTGCCTGTGTTTCCTGGGCCCCACAGTTGTCTATGTGGTGGGTCTATTACTGCTTTTGTAATCGATTAGCCTGAGTTACAGAAGAGGGAAAGGACAGGCTGACAGATGGTATTTGCAGTAGGTGCAGGAGAAGATTTGAGTGTCTCCTAATACAAGTCCCCTTCCTACTCCTCCCTCCTGTCTGCCCTCACCAGCCAAGGAACATGTGTGGTCCTCACAAGTAGACTGCAAGCCACCCAGGAGGCAAGAACAATAGCATGCATGCCTTTAAATCCTGGGAATCTCTGAATACGGTTCTTACACAGCATGAAAGTGTAACACATATTTATAGATCTGATGTTAAACCAAGTTTAACCTGTATAAAAATAAAAGAGATGTAGCTGAGTTACATTGTGATTTTTAAAGTTCCTCAAATGTGAGCATTTTGCATGCAGTATGCACATTGCTATTGTTTCCAAGTGTAAATAAGAGGGCAGAGTCCTATTTATTGGTAATTCTATTGTAGATCTATAATAGATGTATGATACTCTTCGTAAAGACACAGCTACAGCAGTTTTAATTATTCACCCATAATGAATGAACCTGGTCCCTACTTAAGAAATGCAAGATTTGTATGATTCAAGCATATTCTCTCTTACAGGCAGACACTAATGAATCCTATGAAGGTAATAGACTCTTATCATTGAACCAGAGCCTGAACAAATGTGTTCATTAGTCTTACTTGTCTTCTGATGATAGAAAAGCTGAATCTTGAGCTGGACACATGTCCAGATTTGAACTTCTTTAAAACATAGGGGTTATATTTTAACAGAAAACTTTATAATCAGTGGATTGTTATCATTTGTTGTAGAAAAGAATTTGCTTCTGATGCTTATCATGAAGATTCTTATGGATACTTTGCATTTTTTCCTAAATGGAAATCTTTTTATTATTTTTTCCTGATTTTATAAGTAACACATTCTCTTTGTAGGAAATTTAAACACTTCAGAGGTGAATATTAAATTTAAACAATTCAAAACTCCCATAATTATATTCATCAAAAAACACTTAACATTTTGATGCATATTTATTTATATTATTTAACAAGCTATTGTACAGCAATTTGTATACACTAAGCTCCTGTCCATCCACTTTACAATTGTGCTTCATTTACTCCTCTTGACAACCCTATGAGGTATTATTATTTCCCTATTTACAGAGAAGGAAATGGAGTCTCAGAGGCTTTAATAACTTGCGCAAAAGTACATGGTTATAAGTGGCAAAGTTGGGATTCCAACACAGACCCTCGGACTCCAGAGTCCCTGCTCTTAGTTATATACCAGGCCTCTATGCATCCTTCCATATCTCCATGCCTAAAATTTAAAAAAATATATCCCATGTTTCCAAGTTGACCTGCCTCCTGCAGTCAATTTTTCCTTTAATAGCCTCTTAAAATGGGTCGAGACCCCATCCACGGAAAGTGGGAAGTCCACTGTGCCTTTTCCCCAGTATTTCTGTGAATTCCAGGCTGTGTTGTGCTCTGGGACATTCTTCTGAATCCTACTCCCTCACAGCATCTTGTCCATTCATTTGCTGTCTTGTCTCTTTGTCTCTGGACACCTCCTCAATGTACCACTAACATAGATAAATTGGTTATATGTAGAGAACTTTTCCTGAAGATCTGAGGATAAGGAAGATAATTACAATTAGGAAAAAAATTAACACAGTGTTTGAAATGATTGTTCTTAGACCCTGAGGGAAAATTAAAATGTCAAAAATTTAAAAATAGTTCCTCTTTGGACACATTCCAACTCCCAATATTACTCTCCTATCTTGTGAGCTGCTTTGTCTCTGACTCCTCTCAATTACTTTTTTCCTTGTTTAATATTCTTAACCCCCACCCCTCCACTTTTTTTGAGACAGAGTCTCCCTCTGTTGCCCAGGCTGGAGTCCAGTGGTGCGATCTCAGCTCACTGCAACCTCCGCCTCCCGGGTTCAAGTGATTCTACTGCCTCAGCCTCCCAAGTAGCTGGAATTACAGGTGTCCGCCACTACTCTCGGCTTATTTTTGTATTTTTAGTAGAGGGGTTTTGCCATGTTGGCCAGGCCAGCCTCAAACTCTTGGCCTCAAGTGATCCGCCCTCCTTGGCCTCCCAAAGTGCTGGGATTACAGGAGGGGAGCCACCATGCTCAGTCCCCTTTTTACCTAGGTTATCACCCCCAAACCCCAGTCCTTTCTTCCTTTTTTATGCAAAATGACTTAGCTCTACTTCTCAATTTTAAAATCTGTTGTTTTTCCAGTGCTTCTCAATTGGTGGGTGGTGGTGTACGTATGAGTTTGCCTTTCAGAAGCTATTTTTGTTGTGATAACAAAGAATTATTCAGCTCTAAATGTCAATAGCACCGAGGCTGAAAAACCCCAATCTATAAAAACTGTTTATTTTGCTTTTGGGAACTGTTTTCCATCACTTGAATGGTATAATTTTGGGGGAGCCCAAATTACCTAGTAGTCATAGTATATACTATGTAAGTCATAGTGCCTACATAATACCTTCAGAGCAAACCACAGTACCTGCTCTCTGACTCTTACAGTGAGCACCCACAAGGCTGGGTCCAATTTTGGGGGACTCGGTATGGACATTTGGATCAAGTTGGACCAATCCTCACCTGGATTGTATTATTGTATTCTACAGATGCCTTCCTGCATGTGTGGAGGGAGGGAATTGACAGGGATATTCATTGCAACACCATTTATGATAGCAAAAGCTCAGTAACAACCCAAGTGCTCATCAATAGGTGACTGATTAAATTACGGTAAAGCCGTACAAAAAATACAAAGATACGGTAAAGCCGTATCATGGTCATTTGTACCAGTACCAGGTTAACTGGGTAAACTTAGAAGTACATTTCCCAGAACCCCTTTCCTGTAGGATTCTAAGTGATAATTGGCCAAAAGAGGAATTAGTGGGACATTTGAAAGGTGGAAGTGAACAGTACCTGTTTCTCTCTTAAAGGCATGGAGATTGGATGGGAGACAGACTCAGAGAGGCTGGTGGTTGCTGGCAAGCCCTCACTCTTCTTTGCCCCATGTTCAACTTCTCCTCCTGACTGGCACCTTGCTAGAGACCCACAGAGGAAACAGCCTCCCATAGATTCCCCCCAGCTTCCCCTTTGTTGATCCGCTTTGTGGCCTGAAGTACTGTAGGGGCTTCTCATATTGACTAGCAACTCTTCAGAAATGTCAAACTCTTCCCTCCCAGATCTTTACTTCCCCAGCTCCCCCAACACTTGTACAAGGTCTAATTTGTATACTATCTCTCTCAGCCCATAACTTTAAGTGGTTTTGCCTCCCTGATAAACTCTGGCTGATACAACTACATGACCTTAAAAAATAATGCAGCAGCTCCATATACCAATATAAATTCATCTCCTAGATAAAAGGGAAAAGAGCAAGCTGCTAAACTGATGAAAAATATTACAGATAAAGCTAGAGCCCCCTTTGACCAATACCTCTAATCCTGGTCCCCATTTCTTTCCCCCAGAGACTAATACTATTATTAGTTCTAACTAAATTCTTATGGTCTGAGGAAGAGTCCTTAGCAAATTGTAACTCCTGTAGGAGACATTTTGCTAAGATTCTTTTATTAACATATATATAAGTAACATACAATAAAATGCACAGATTTTAAGTGCTCACATGATGAGTTTTGATACCTGTGTAACATCACCCCTTAAAAAGATATGCAACATTTCCACCCTCCACCATTTTCCTTGTGCAATTTTCTAGAAAATTACCCTACTTCTGCAACCATGATCTCATTTCTAGCTCCATAGATTTGTTTACCTGTATTTGGCTTTCGTAGGAATGGAATTATATAATGAGTACTGTTATGAGTCTGGCTTCTTTCATTCAACATGATGTTTTTGAGATTTGTCCATGTTGTTTTATGTATTAGTAGTTCATACTTTTTATGCTTGAATATTCCATTGTATGAATCTACATTCCTGTTGATGGACATTTGTTTCCAGTTTGAGGCATTCTAAATTCCTGTAAGTTTTTTAATATAGCAAAGAGATTGTTGAGATTATGATTATTAGTATTTGAAAGACCGTGCAATCTCTAATTTTCCCAGAGAACTTTACCTCCTTCCACGAGGAATCACAAATTAGGTACAAAGTTATGATTTCTGTTTTTTTTCAGAGCCTTTCCATAGTTGTGGGAAAGAAGATGGGTAAAGTTATTGTTAATCTACAGAGGAAGGAATGATGCCAAGTTTTTCAAGGCTTCCAGAGTCACAGGAGGAGTCACTTGGTAAATCCAGGAGCAGAAACCAGGTACCAGTTGGAAGACCACAATGTGTTTGTTCAGACCTGTGGGCCTCCTGGATCCTTAGCAAAAGACCACACAGACAAGTGTTGAATGCAGCTTTTAAAAGTATGGAAGGGACAGTAAGACAGTTCTAAGCGTGGACTAGAATATAATTTAAGGTTTCTGTGACACGGTGTTAGGACTCTTTCCTAGAATTATGAGAGCTGAACTAACAGCTCCCAGATAACTGAAGCATAATAATTAATCTAGAAAAGCGGCCTCTTCTTTTCTGTGGTTGAACCTAAGTGTAGTTTTTACTTTTAACTAAAACTAGGTCAATTAAGACCATTGGAATTCTGTGACTGAGGATGTGTGGTGTTTATTGGGGATTTAAAATAAGATTTTTGTTCTTTTATAAATTTTAATATAAATAGATTGTTTTCCCTATAGTATTTAGTGTTAATTAATGGGGCTGACACAATTAATGGCATCAAGAACATATAATTATGTTTATTATACTAAGAAATTATGCAATTACGTAGTTGTTTAATAGGTTAAGTGATCTTATAGATATTTTTATCGTTTTTGCAACAGCTTTATCCTGATTTCTTTGTGAGAAAGCTTTTAATGTTTCAAAAATGTTGAGACAGACTTTTGTTAAATTAATCGCATGAAAAATAGTATATCTTTTTCAGTAACTGGGGATTTTCATAAAAGCCATCAAAGATATAATATTAGAAGATCTGCTGTTAAGATAGCTGTTGTCATAAAAAACTGTTGATGAATTTTGAATTTTGACTATTAACTGTCCATGCTAATCAGATATTCAGAGAACAATAAACAGCATTTGCTAAATTCATTTTTAAGGAAGTCTCAGTTAATATAACTGATTCTTTTATATCTCCTCCTAAAAGAAGGTATTTCTTTGAAATATGCTCTTGCTCAAAGTTTAAGATCTGTAACAATTTATCATGCTCTCAGAGTCTAGTCTTAAGCAATTTAATATCATTGTGACAGGTATTTATTTACCATTGAAGTAAGAATCATTATTTGCTGACACTTTTTTTGACACTTTATGATTTATCTTTAAGTAGTCCTATTAGATGTGATAGGAATGAATTAACTTAATTTTATCATGATGCTCATAACTTTATTTCCCCCACAGAGGCAGCAAAGCAGTCTTCGTGCATGCTACACATCTGATTTTTCTCTTCCCAATGCTGTTTTTTTCAGTTCGTGCTTCATTAGTAAAAATATGTGTCCTAATTTAAAACACACTCAATTCTGAACCCGGAATATTCCTTTAAGTAGATACATTTGAGTAGGTCTGTTCTCTTGAAAGATAGCTTTCACCCAAATGCAGTGTCTGTTTAGTATTTTTGTACCATAGAATAATATGTTTTGAATGTTGTTATTTACCTGTGAGTTCTTTACCCTTAGTTTTTTGCTCTGTCTGCAGGTTAAGTGACTAGCCTAAGGTAAGAGCCAGATTTGGAGCTTGGAATCTGATAGCCCTTAGGGTGCTTTATTCCCTGAGCCAATCCACACTTCTACCTCAGTAAAGGAATCAACTGAGGGCTCAGCTTTTCCTCTGCAAGAAACCTGCTCTCTGGGACAGTAAGTCACGACCCCTGTGAAAACATCTAAAAAACATATTCAACTTTGTTATTGCTTCATGGCCTCCTAACAGTACAGAGTGATAGCCTCTTCGTGAGGGAAGTCTATTGAAGGCAGGCTGCTGTGTAATGCCATGGATCTGATTTTTCTGTGGACCACTCTGTCTGTATTAATCATGTCGTTATACGGAGACCATAAGGCATGAATGACATCGCATGTGTGAAAAGAAAATATGAGTTTTGTGATTTGGCTGAATGGAAAAGTGCTGTGTCCAGTGTCACAATACCTTTTCTGACTTCAGCTGAATATTGCAGTCTAAATCACCACACAGTTCAGGTCTTATTTCCATATGGTGGCATCTGATACTGTTCATTTACTGTTTGGGTGTCAGTCTTGCCTCTCTCAGAACATACTGATCTGTTTGTGTTGGGGGATCAAGTCATATCATTAGTATCCCTTAGTACATCTGCTATGGTCTGAATGTTTGTGTCTCCTCCCCTACAAATTTATATCTGGAAATTCTGTCCCTCAAGGTGATAATATTAGGAGGTGGGGCCTTTCGGGAGGTGATTGGGTCATGAGGGTAGAACCCTTGTGAATGGGATTAACGATCTTATACAATAGGCCCAAGGGAGCTCATTCATCCCTTCCACCACGTGAGGATGTGGTGAGAATGTGCTATCTATGAACCAGGAAGCAGACCCTCAGCAGACACTGAATCTACCAGTCCCTTGACCTTGGACATCCTAACCTCCAGAACTGTGAGAAATTCCTGTTGTTATAAGCCAGCCCTTTTATAGTATTTTGTGATAGCAGCCTGAATGGACTAAAACAATGTCTAAGACATTTGGCTGATTTAATTGTTGACTGAAAGAACTTTTTTCAAGGATATGGTACATAATTATATGAATGTCCTTTATTGCCAGCAATACTGACTGTACAACTTATGAAGTATAATAGCATGATGATTAAGAGCTTGGTTTCTGGAATCTGACTATAACATTTCTTCTACTTGCTATCTTTGGAATCTGAGACACATTCCTTAACCTCTTTGGGTCTTAGTTTCCTCATCTGTAAATAATAATAATAAGGGTTACTACCCATAGTGTTGTTATGAGTTTTAGATGAGTTACTATTGGTAAAGCAGAGAACAGTGTCTGGCACATAAGAAGGGCTTGCTATTGCTATTTTAAGAAATAGTTAAGCCTATAGGGTCTTGACATCCAGGTTGGCTATGGTTTGTGGGTTCAGGAAACCTGAAGATTCTATTCACACCTGGCCTAGGATCTCTGTGAAAAGTTTTGAGTTATGACTCCAGAGCTGGCTCTGGAAAGTTTCCCATTGGTCAGATGAGTACATGTGAGAAATGGAATTGAGTACGAATATAGCCATTTGCAAAAATTTTGGCCTGAGGCTAAGATGAGTTACATTGATTGACTCAGAAGTCGTGGCAATAGTCTAGCCCTATGTACTAGAAGTTCTGTTATTTCAGCAAGAAATAGTTAAAGAAAATTCATCAGAGGATCCTAAGGCTCAATGAAATTCTGAATTCAAAATCTCTTTCAGAAAAGTCACTTACCGTTACAGTAGGTTCCAGTTAGTTGAAGTGTAGTCAACCCGAGCTTTGGTTAAATAATCATGTGGTTCTGAACCACGTGGAGCAAATGGTAATGGAGAATGTGGTCACTCATCTCCAAAGCTGGCCCACAGGGAAGTCTCCTTTCCAGCACTCACACTTGTTTGGTCTTCTCCCCATGAATCCAGGATGGTCCTCCAACTTGCTTTTGCCCCCACAGAGTGCAGGGGATGCAATGCTCTGTGGCTTCTGAGGCTAGGTCATAAGAAGGCTCACAGATTTTGCCTTTCTTCCTGGAAGGCTCTGGGGGAGGCTAGTCATGAGGCAAAAAGTCCAACTCTCTGGAAACAGCCATGCTGTGAGGAAGTGGTGTACCAAGGCTGGGGGCAGTGGGAATGGTCCACTTAAAAGTACAGAGATTAAAGGGATGCATTGTCTATAAAGAATTTAAAAAGTTTACTAAAACCAACTAAAAGTTGGTCTTCCTTTTCTTATCAGCATGCACAAGCAATTCTAAACAAGGCTCAGCGATAACATATCCCTTCCCATGAGTGGATCACTCCCACTGCCTCTTTCACACACCCTGCCTCCTGCAAGCCAATGCTGTGAAGCCCAACCTAGCCATGTGGCAAGGGAGATGTCTGCCCAGTCTCCAGCTGCTCCAGCCATCCCAGCTCAGGCACCAGTCACTTGAGGGAAGAAGCCATCTTGGATGTCCAGCCTAGTCTGGCTTTGAGAAGACTCTAGCTCCTGCTGCCATCTTACTGCAGTTTCATGAAGGATCAAATGTCATAGCCATCCAGCCGAGCCTTGGCAAACTACAGACTGTATAAGGAGTTTTTTTAGGGCACTCTGTTACGCAGCAATTGATAAACAAAAAAGAGAAGAGGCATGCAAGAAGAAGAGAGCCTCTTCTCTCTTAAAATAGCAACAAGTGTCCTTGGCTGTGTGGGGTCTCTAGAGATCAGCTAATCTTGATGTTGACAGAGGCCAAAAGTACTTGATTTCACTACCGGATGGAAATTATATCTGTGTAGATGTTGCTAAGCAACAAGAGATCAGAAACCTATAAGGAGTGACCATATAATGCAAAGCATTGAGTCAGCCAACTGAGTTCCTCCTGCACTTATTTTTTAGAACCTGCTTATAAAAGAAGCAATGTCCACAATGTGTGGGGGGAGGAAAGTCTCCTGGGACCTTAAGAGGAAAGCGTACACTTCATCATAATTTGCCTGCAATGATCAGCAAACGAAAAAGTCAATACACAACCTGAAAAATGGTCATTGTTTGTGATTTAAAAGAAGAGTAAGCTTTAGGAATAAATACTAACATCACTGGGAACTCTGTCTCATCCTCACATCCTTTGAAAAGGCATTTGTAAGTGTTAAAATCCTTTCCCCTTGAAATACCACAAAGCTGCAAATATTTATTAAAACATCCAAATCAGTAATGTCTTTCTGAGATTTACAAGGATATTATTAGGTGGTCAGTGAACTTGAGGGTTTTTTTGCAAGTCAGTGGGACCTAAAAACTTTTCCTTTGGCTGGTCAGAGAAGCAGGCTGAGAAAGGGGGACTCTTACTGAGGGTTTTGTGAATAGCCTAGTAGCAGGTGCACACGAAAACACTAATGGTCAGAATAAAGTCTACACCCCTTAACTGTTCCTCACCAGCAATCATTTTCATTATTTCTGCTCAGTGACCTTTCATTCCCTCCATTTTTCTCTGATAATTAGATTTCTTAAATTAAAAAAGGTAGGGGGAGAAATGATAAGCTCAATAGAAGACAAACAGGAATTGAATGGATGTATGCATTTATTTTTAATATGTTTTAGCAAAACCTGTATGTACCTGCCCCCCCCCCGCAACACATACACATCATTGGGCTTTAGAATCCTTGCTGAGATGTGGGTTTGAGGGAGATAACCACGTGTGGTGAGTTGCAGAGCCTGCCCTCCGCCTGCCACCGTTGCTGTGGGGAGCGCACTCTCTGTCGAGCGCTGCTGTAGCAGACCCACCAAATCCCATGTAAGTGGTCAGAGCACAAATGAGGTTGTCGGTGGGTAGTCCTACCCTATTCATGAGCTCTTTCAGAACAATTTTCATTACTTTTTTTAAATACTGTTTTTGGCAAACACTTGATACTTGAAATAAAAAATGCATGAGTCACCTACTGGGATAGGCACAGTGTGTGGTTCATTGAATTTAGCTAAATTGTGAGTCATCCATCAATAGTCCTCTTGGTGAACATACTTGTAATAATTTCACACATTACAAACAAAAATAGGTATGATTTTCAAGATTCTTGAAGCTGTTTCCCTTGGGGATTCTTTGGATTGTGTTTAGAGTTTTTTGTGTTGCTAGGTGGTGAGAAACTTGTCAGCTTTGTTTTCAGATGGATCCAAGGCTTGTGTCTCTGTCACGTGATAAAAGAACTTTGGTTTGGGAGGCTCAGGGGCAGAGTATGAAGCTGAGCGTCATGAAGTGGGGGGAAACAGGAATTAGCGATTAATATTTGTCCTTGTCAGATCATTGACTTTTAAGATTGATTTTGGCATCTGAAAAATGTTTGGCTCCACTCTCAGGACAGAGTCAGAGCAGTAAGAATATGCACCTGTGTCCCCCACCCCCTTTTTTCTGATAGGAGAGAGCTGAGCAGGGTGGTTATGTGTCTGTGCACTACTGCCCTCTGTTGGATGGCACTAGAATTTCTCTGTATCCACACCCCAGCTGAATGAGCGCTCCTGGTTGGCTGGCAGGTGACCCAGGCAAATATGTCATTATTGGACTAAGACCAATTAAAAAAAAATAGTTGGCCTGTATAAACTAAGAGAGACCTCTCTCTGGTGGAGAAATAAGAGTGTAGACTTTCTGACCTGTAGGGTTCTTCTATTCTGGTGGCTGCCGGGCAAGAGGCTGGCATCTGCTGCTGAATGACAGGACAGACTTTGTGATTAAACTGCTAGATCTTTGGCTTTTCAGGAAGTGAAAATAATCACAAGATAAAGTATCCTTACTTGCATTTTTCCCCTTTCATAAGTGCAATAGGGCATAAAAGGGCTTTGGCTTTTGGCTACAATCAGAGGTGAAAGTTTTTATATGGATATAAGAAGAGAAGTTAAAGCTCTTTGCAAACTATGGCTAAAGTGCCATGTCAGTAAGACGTATACAGTGACCCAGGACACTGGCTGGGAAGTTTTCTTTGTTTTGGCAGATTCCTCTGCCCTCCTTCACCTTCTCCAAGGTAGCGAGAGTAAGTGTCCAGGCATGAGCCTTGGGGATACTGTCCTGCCACTACTGGCTGAGTAACTTGGGAAAGTTGTCTGACTCTTGGGCCACATTTTTTCTTTTGTGTAAAATGAGGCATTTGAAATAGATGCTATCTCAGAGTCGCTTCATTTCTGAGATGCAATAAATTATCTTTTCTTCCTAGATGATAATGTAAGCACAAAGAACAAAACTATTTAAAGACCACACACATACCCTCTCAAACAAATCACCTCCCTTTGGGAAAGCAACATGTTCACTGTGATAATTCAGCATCAGGACCTGAGGTGGTGGGAACAGCTTTGGCTGGTTTGCTGCTCTCCAAGGAGCTCCTGTGCCGGCCGCATTGGACAAGCATCTCTGCCCTGCGGCGCAGAGTCTCCAGGACCAGCAGATGGCGGACTTGCACAGTCCACACATTTTCCAGGTTCTCAAGGTAAATGGTACTGATTAACATCCAGAAATAACACCCACTGATGTTTGAACAAATTGCAGCGTTTTCCAGGCCACTAAAACCATGGCACTTTGTGAGCTGGAACATTTGCTAATATTTAAAATGGTTAGAAAGATTGTTAATCTATAATACTTTCGAGTGTTAACAGCCTCTTTCACCCACGCATCAGAAACCCTTAATAAATTGGCCTTCTTTTTTTTCAGGTGGGGAAATTAGGGCAGAGGGTCAATTGGCTAAGATCACAGCAGAACTAGTCCAAATAATTCAGACTATACACCTTGGTGATCTTTTAGAATTGTCGTTCCTCTTGCCCTTCCTTTCTTTAATGCCCACTTCTCTTGGTTGTGGAGGGGAATGTGTGTGTTGACTGGGGATATGGAAGAGGAATTGACGTCTTCTGCACTTTGGGGCATTGCCACCTGCCATGGTCATCAAAGCTCCTGATCGCCACAACCTGTATTCAGAATACCTGTGATAATAAGAACTGGCATTTATTGATTACTTACTTTGAGCCAGGCATTGTTCTAAGCATTTCTCACACACTAATCATTTAATCCTTCCAGCAGCCCATAAAGGAGGCAGAGAGAGTAAGTAACTTACCTAGAATAACAGATCTTTGTATTTTTCTAGGCTCTAAAAGCAGCAATGACTTCAATCTATTTTTTAGTGGTAATCACTCTTTCACCCCAGATATTTTCCAGCTAACAGATCATTGACTGATTTTTAATATTTAAATTGAGAAATTTATTGGAGCTTTGGTGATAATCATGTAAGTAAGCCCTGGTTATAGTAGCTTGTAATGCTATTATTAGTGTTCAAGATTTCCTTTCACAACCTTGTGCTTAGAAGGAATGATTCACTAGAAATGGAAATAAGATGTAAATGAAATGGGGAAGCTTGGCAATTTAATCACTCAAGTAATACATATTTTCAAAGTGCTCACTTAATCCACTAGTCACAAGGCGGCATTAGAGATGTGTTGGGGGGTTTCACTCCAACAACATTTATTTATTTCAAAAACATACATAGTGGTTACTGCATACCAGGCACAAATATTAGTTCACTTAATTCTCCTCACAACTATGATGAGCCCCTTTTACAGATGAGGAAACCAAGGTTCAGAGAGGTAAGAAACATAGCTAGTAAGTGGCAGATCAAGATTTAAACCAGCCCCTAGCTTCTGATCCATGCTCATAACTACGAGGCTGTGCTACCCCTATCAATAGAAATCAGGTATGCTGGCGGGACGTACAGTAATTTAACCAGAGTCAAAGACAGAAACAAACAGTTATAGTGTTGATTTCCTCCTAACAACAATCCTTATATAGCAAATAATTTCTTTCTTTCCCTCTCTCTCTCTCTTTTTATTTTTTGAGACAGCGTCTCACTCCATCACCTAGGCTAGAGTGCAGTGGCACGATCTTGGCTCACTTCAGCCTCCACCTCCTGGGTTCAAGCGATTCTCATGCCTCAGCCTCCTGAGTAGCTGGGACCACAGGTGCATGCCACCATGCCTGGCTAATTTTTGTATTTTTAGTAGAGACGGGGTTTCGCTATGTTGGCCAGGCTGGTCTTGAACTCCTGGCCTCAAGTGATCCACCTGCCTTGGCCTCCCAAAGTGCTGGGATTACAGGTGTGAGCCACTGTGCCTGGCCATTATATAGCAAATAATTTCTAAAATAAAAAGTGAGACTAAAAATAGCTAAGTTAGCTACTGGCCTTGATAAAGGAGAATAGGAATTATAAAGAACAGGAAACTGTAGGGAGACCTACAGATGTTTTGTTTGTTTGTTTTTGAGACAGAGTCTCACTCTGTCTCCCAGGCTGGAGTGCAGTGGCATGATCTCAGCTCACTGCAACATCTGCCTCCCAGATTCAAGTGATTCTCATGTCTCAACCTCTGAGTAGCTGAGACTATAGGCGTGTGTCACCATACCCGGCTAATTTTTGTATTTTTAGTAGAGATGGGTTTTCATCATGTTGGCCAGGCTGGTCTCAAACTCCTGGCCTCAAGTTTTCTGCCTGCCTCAGCCTCCCAAAGTGCTGGGATTACAGGGGTGAACCACTGCACCTGGCCTGTTTTTTAAAATGGGTAGTGATGTTTGTGATACTTAGAACAATAATTAGTTCATCATTTTTACTGAAGACTAAGCAAAAGGAAGTTGTGTGATATCACAGTTGTGTGTGAGTGAACATCTGTTGTTTTTCTCCTTCCCCTTTCTGTGATGATGTCGTCCTTCACGGCATGTTTCCTAGGAGAAAAACCTTCTCCATTTATAAGGTGCATGGAATCCGCTGGGGATCTTGTTGAACTCTGGATTCTGATTTGGTGGGTCTGGGATGCAGCTCCAGATTCTGCATTTCTAACCAGCTACTAATGCTGCTGGTGTGCGGCCTGCTGGGAGTGGCAGGACTCCTTACCTTCCTCATCCTGCTTGGGTGTGGGGTTGCCAGAGACAGTACCTTCCACATCACATTCCTTCTACCTTCTGCATAGGAGTGGTTGTCATGTGATCCAGATTTGACTAGATATGATTCTTATCTGGAATTTGGTTCTCCTGCTCCCAACTCATATACCTAGGAGAAGCCTGGCTTCAGGAGGAGGCAAGGAAGCCAATTCACTGAGAGCTGCAGAAAGAGGAAAGGAGAAGGGGGAGAGAGAACAAGGATGACTGGATGATGTGCTTTGAGTTCTGGAGGCCAGCTCTATCCAGGAACACAAGCCAATAAAGTCCCTTTATGCTTAAGCTAATTTGTATAGTTTCTGTTACTTGCAATTAAAAGGGTTCTGCCTAATACGGAAGTAATTTAGATTTGATATAAAGGAGAATTCTTTACTGTAACAGGAGGGCGCTTTGCAACTCTTGCTAAAGACCATTGGGAACAGAACAGATACTGAGGTTATTTTAGGGAGACTTGCAAGAATAATATTAAAATATTTAATAATTAGCATGGCATGGATGCTGACCAGTCAAAACAGACACCAGCCACAGTGACATTCTGGGAACGCCAGCCTTGGTCACCTGGATGCCATTTGTAGTAGGTACAGGATCTACAGTATTTTTGTGTTGTGAGTTATATGCCTGCATTCTTTAGGCATATAATTTTGCTAAGGAGGCTTTCATTAATGCTTTAAAAGATACAATGTTCTCTTACCTTTTTTTAAAATAAGTTATAAACTTCCATTTTCCCCCAATATTTTTACACAGGGTTAATTCATTGTGATGTCAGGTGATCATCTTCATTTTTTTAGAATAATCTTCAGAATGTTCTCCTATAAAATTAATTTTAATATCCCTAGCCTTTACTTAAATAGGACTATCTTATATTATTCTAAATGTATTAAGTAGATAACTGATTAATATTACAAAAATGGATACCTTTAATCTTTAGGAATTCTAGAATATTAGATGAAGTCGAGAGTGATATTACAATTTGGTTTTACTTAAACATGCTAAAAATATACCAGAAGAAGCCAGAGTCAGTTTCCAGGAGTTACAACTATGGTGTATTCTATCTTTAAAATATGCTGTTATGAAGAGAAGTGGGCTAAAAGGCACAAACATACAGTAAGAGAGAAGGAATAAATTCAATGTTTGATAGCAGAGTAGGATGATTATACTTAACAAACATGTATAGTACTCAGGTGACGGACACCCTAAATACCCTGAGTCACTCACTACCCATTATGTGTAACAAGATGTCTGATCTACCCCACAAATTTGCGCAAATAAAAAAATAAAATACTCTATTAATCTCACCAGGAGTGGAATAAATTTTTGTGCTTGTGGATTGGTGGACAAGGGGAATAATGGTGATGGAAAAATCCTGGAGACGCTTAGGCCCAGTCACTCTTTTAATGCTTTCTTTGCTTACTTAGTTTAAAGGTGGGAGCATTGCATTAGAAGCCCAGAGATCCGGCTTTTAGTCTGACACCTCCCTGAATTCCACTCTGCACCCCCACCTCACCGTCTCAGTTTCTGCTTCCCCGGCCCGCCCTGAAGCCCCACTCTTTTGTTGTAGAACAGCATTAGTAGAGTCTATCAGAGGGAAGAGGCTCTTTCTAGGAATAAGATGCTACACGTTATTCTTAAAGGGAACGTGCTGCAAGCTCAGAGGCTAAGATTCTCCAAGAAAGAGTCAAAAGGCCTTGATACAACAAAGCAGGATTCCAGAGCAGCCTGGCATTGTTCCAGTCTGAAGTATGGGGTGGTTCCAAAATTGGGGACCGTGGAAATAGATTACAGGGATCTGTGGCTCTAGAACACACAACAGACCCTGTGAATGCACTGAATAAATACCTCGCACGTATTGTGCTACTGTTTTCTAATCTATGGAAGTGCTGTTTAAATGACCAAATTACAGTTATTAAAAGTATGAATAAAAGGAATGAATTCATAGTAGCTTTCTCTTATATATATTTTTTAAAGACCTAAGATCTAAAATATGAAATGCTAAGTCTAGGTCATATGGCAGTCTCCTCCTTTAAAAATTTAAGCATGTTAAAAAAAATAAGTCCGTGAAATTTTATAGGTAACTTGGATTTTTTTAAAAAATGAAAACTGAAATTCTTTCAGCAGTGACTGTGTGTGTTTTTTTAATTCCCTGGATTGATCAGAGGGTGCTCGCTCTCTATCCTTAGGACTGTGAAGAATTACCTAGAGGCAAGACAAGAGCTCATTAATTAAATATTTCCGCGCTGGACACTCATCTGCCTGACAGTTCTCTCATTATGTGCCCCTGAGAGGGGGACTAGTTGTCAGCAGCTGATGTAAAATAATTTTCTCACGGTTATAACTGCGTGGGTAAAGGCTTGATAGCAGTTCTTCATGTCTGTTAGGTAAATCATTTGAGGGAAAAATGGTTCTGCGCTGAAGGGAAAGTCAAAACATCTCATGCAAAATCTTAAATAAGTTGTTTTTTTAAATGAGAAAAAAAAAATGAACTTTCTCTAACTGTAAGTATCTTCTGTTTGTGCCCCAGGGATCCCTCTACCTTTGCTGTCTCTTTCCTCAGGTATATTTCTCTATTTATTCATATAGAGAATATGCTATATGCCCTGATGTGCTATATCAGAAATAGCAAGCGTGACTAATTCAGTTATCCTTAGTGAATATTATAAACTGAGAAATTTGGTATTCTTTATGGCCTTTTTGGTGGGCAGGATCTCTGGGTACTCTTTCCGTATTCTTTTGCTTGATAGAGATGAGCACATTTAAAAGCCAAATCTATGTCTATGATCTATGTCTGCCTGCAGCTAACCCCAGTTGAAAATTTTGCTTTGTGATTTCTTTTTATTAGGTTGATGCAAAAATAACTGCAGTTTTTACAGCCTCTGGTTATGTGGTCAATTATTCTGGTTCCAACTAATCACATCCTGTTTCTGTAATTGATTTAAATGCAGTAAAAGGAGGCCCATCTTGAAATGTAAAAAGTCATCAAAGATCTACCTCCAGAAAAGCACTGGATTCATAGTTTTACAAGCCAATTCCTTAAAACTTCAATGAAGGAGATACTATTTTAAATATTTCAAAGCTTCACAATGCATTTTATAATCACTCTGATGCTCAAAGAAAACAACATGTAAAACTTCCATACAAAGATGCCTTAGTGCCCTGCCCACATCCCATGGGGCCAGAGTGGGTTCTGACTTAACCACAGCCAGTCTGTCATTTCTTCTGCCTCAGACTTCCCCAATCCCTGGGAGCTTGGTCAGCCTGCGTGCAGGAGCAGCCCAGGAGTGTGGATGAGTTAGTGTCCCCAAAGAGAACTATCAGCCACTGGGGTTAAAACTCAATAAGGAGGCATTCCAGTGTGCATGGTACACAATTCCTTTGAAGGTCCCCAAGGGGAATGGAGCCCCAGTTGCCCTCAGTAGTCATCAGCTCATCAATGTACCCTTTATTGTCTTTTCCTCTGTCTCTGTTTCATCTCTCCACTCCCTCACTTCAGTTTCCTGGGATTACCTTTCAAGTAGATTACTGTACTAATGTCCCTATATCAGGCTCTGCTTTTTGGGGGATCTGAACTAGGACTGGAGGAAGACAAGTTTACTGAAAACAGTAACTGCTGTAAACAACTAGTATTCTAGGCACAGGTTTCCAGCAGTCAGGGGCATCATGCTGCAGAGGCTCCTGCTTTAAGAGTCAGCTGCTGGACAGAATCCAGGAACTTCAGCTGCCATCCCACTGTTGCTGCTGCTGTTGGCTATCGCTGCTTTTGGTATTACTGTTGCCGCTGCATCAAGTTTAGACTGTCCTTGAGGCTGCTGCCGCTATCAGATATACCATCAGAAACCAGAAATAGGAAGAGGATGGCTTCTTCCATCCTCCAGTCTTCCAGTCTTCTCCCAGTGCCTTCCATTGGCAGAACATACTGGAAGCCAGCCAGAAGAGTAGCTGGAAGATTCAGTTTTCGGTGTCCCTGTCTCCTTAAATATCAAAGCACAAAATGTCATGAATGAGGCCTTAGAGCAAAATGATTGGCTACATAAAACCTATAACCAAAACTGTACATAACTGAAATTCTAGCTTTTTAAAAGTCGGGGACAAGTGAAAGGGTTATCACAACTCTTTTTTTTTATTTTTTTAAGTTCAGGGGTACATGTGCGGGTTTGTTACATAGGTAAACTCATGTCATGGGGGTTTGTTGTACAGATTATTTCATCACTCAGGTATTAAGCCTGGTACCCATTAGTGATCCTCTCCCTCCTCCCACTCTCCACCCTCCAGGAGGCCCCATCTATATGTCCCTGTGTTCTCATTATTTAGCTCTTATAAGTGAGAACATGCAGTATTTGGTTTTCTGTTCCTGCATTATTTTGCTAAGGATAATGCCTTCCAGCTGCATCCATGTTCTTGTAAAGGACATGATCTCATTCTTTTTTATGGTTGCATAGTATTCTTGCAGCCACATTTTCTTTATCCAGTAAATGTACCACATTTTCTTTATCCAGTCTACCATTGACGGGCACTTAAGTTGATTCTATGTCTTTGCTATTGTGAATAGTGCTGCAACGAACGTACAAGTGCATGTGTCTTTATGATACAATGATTTATATTCCTTTGGGTATATACCCAGTAATGGGATTGCTGGGTCAAATGGTAGTTCTGTTTTTAGGTCTTTAAGGAGTAGCTACACTATCTCCACAATGGTTGAACTAATTTACACTCCCACCAATAGTGTATAAATGTTCCCTTTTCTCTGCAACCTCGCCAGCACCTGTTATTTTTTGACTTTTTAGTAATAGCCATTTGGACTGTTGTGAAATACTATCTCATTGTGGTTTTGATTTGCATTTCTCTAATGATCAGTGATGTTGAGCTTTTTTTCATATGCTTGTTGGCTACATGTGTATCTTCTTTTGAAAAGTGTCTGCTCATGTCCTTTGCCCACTTTTTAATAGGGTTGTTTTTTTCTTGTAAATTTGTTTAAGGTCCTTATAGATGCTGGATAGTAGGCTTTTGTCAGATGCATAGTTTGCAAAAATTTCCTCTCATTCTGTAGACAACTCTTATTTTTTTGAGCTGTATTGATATCTAGTTCACATACCATACATTCATGGATAATGTGCAACCACAATCAATTTTAGACAGTTACATCACCTCAAAAAGAAGCTTTGTACCTTCCATCCCATATCCCTTCCCCACCACATTCCTCCCTCTACCTCACCCTTAAGCAACCATTAATCTATTTTCTGTCTCCATAGATTTCTTTATTCTGGACTTAAGTATAAATGCAATCATACAATATTTGTTTTTTTGTGACTGGCTTCCTTCACTTAATGTTTGCAAGGTTCATCCATGATTGTAGTATTTATCAGTACTTCATTATTTTTATGGCCGAATAATATTCCATTGTAGGATTATACCATATTTCACAATATTTATTTAACATTTTCCTTTAAGTTGTGACTAGTTTAGTTTAAAAAGAAGCACGAATCTTGGGAAATTAAGGTAAAATTGTCCTTATTTTCTGATTATAGAATTGTGTGTCTTGAAAAGCCAAAAGGATTACGGAAAAATGATTATAGCTAGAGAGTTCTGCATGGTGACTTTCCTGTATGACAACCAGTTAGCAAACATTTTGAAAACTACTTCATTTATATCTACAAAAGCTTCTGTACTTATAAAAAAAAATAAGATGCAATATACAGGCTACACACACACACACACACACACACACACACACACACACAAGTCTTCTCAGAGACATGCAACTTCTATAATTCAGAAGCCAACATGTTCCTGGAGTAAAGACATATTGTAAATTGAGTGTAAATTAATTTATAAATATGTTACTTTTGTATCAAAATCCTAATAACATTTATATAGAAACTTTGTAGAATAATTCTTAAGATTACCTGAAAGAAGAAATGGATGGGAATATATAAGCAAAATTTTGAAAAAGAAAAGCAGTGAAGTGAGAGTATATTATTAGATATTTAATGTATTATAAATTAAAAATAAATAACAGCTTGTTTCCATAGCAAGAATAATAAGTAAAATGTAATACGAAACCCAGAAGCAGAGTTTAGTATGTATAAGACATTTGTATGTGATAAAAGTGTAATTACAATTCATAATTATTATTATTAACTCATCAATTATTATTGAATGGGACGCCTGACTAGTGATTTTCAACCCTATAGTCATCAAAGTTCCTAGTTGCAGACAACAAAACACATTTTAATAAATTCCTTTCTGCCTAAAATCAGCTAAAGTTTTAGGTAGCCTTCAGAATCTCCAGGAGAACTGGAAGAAAGGAACTGCCAACCTAGAATTCTTTACTCAGCAAAAGTATCCTTCAAAGAGAAGGTGGAATGAAGATATTTCCAGACAAAAACCGGGAGAATTGTTCACAAACAGGCTTTACTAAAAATAAAGTACCAGAGGAAGGTCTTTAGGTAAAAGCAAAATGATTCCAGACAGAAACACAGAAGCATAGGAATAAATGAAGAGTGATTGAAGAGGGAAATGGAACAAATATAAATGAATGTTTGCTATATAAACAAAAAAAGGGCTCATAAGGTTTAAAATGTATGTACAATGAAAATAATAATTAAAAAGGTGGTGGTGGGTTAAATGGAGTTAAAGTATGCTAAGGACATAACATTGTCTGGGGAGTAATAAAAGAATTAGTTTCTACTCTAAAAAAATCAAGAATGCATGCTGTCAAGGAGGGTAACAACTAAAAGAATAGTAAAATAATATATAATTAACAAGCTAATAGAGGGGAAAACGGAACAACAATATATGTAATTCATTAAAGACAAGAAGAAGAGAAAAAGTAACATAAAACAAGTTGAAGAAACGGTTAAGTAAAACAGGAAAACAAACAAGTTGGTAAATATAAGCCCAAATTTATCTGTAAGTACATTCAATATTAATAGACTAAATATCCAATTTAAAAAGAAAAGTTACCAAACCATATTAAAAATGAATTCTGCCCAATTATATTATACTTAGAAGAGATACATCTTGAATGTAAATACAAAGGAGGATTGAAAGTTAAAAGAAGGCTGGGTGTGGTGGCTCACGCCTGTAATCCCAGCACTTTGGGAGGCTGAGGCAGGCAGATCACGAGGTCAAGAGATCAAGACCATCCTGGCCAGCATGGTGAAACCCCGTCTCTACTAAAAATACAAAAATTAGCCAGGCATAGTGGCACACGCCTGTAATCCCAGCTATTTGGGAGGCTGAGGCAGGAGAATTGCTTGAACCCAGGAGGTGGAGGTTGCAGTGAGCCGAGATCACACCATTGCACTCCAGCCTGGGCAACAGAGCGAGATTCCATCCCCCACCCCCCCCAAAAAAAGTTAGAAGAAATACCATAGAAAACCTAAGCAAAAGGAGTTATTCTGATATCGACCAAAAACAAACATTACTATAAATGAAAAAAAGACATTTTAAAATGATAAATGGTCAAAGAACCCCAAAATAAAGCAATTACAAAATTGTGTGCATCTAATAACCTAGGTTTCAAATACAGAAAGCAAATTTTTTAGAACTAAATGAGAAATGGAATCATAGTGAGAAACTCCAAAATTATAGTGAGAAACTCCAAAACAAGTCCATCAGTAATTGACAGAACTAAAAGATGAACCTCACAAAACTCTAAGTATATAGAAGATTTATTAATATGATTAATGAAACTAACAAAATCAATGTTATCCACAGATAGAATACTGTAACCAGCAACTGCAGAGCATGGAACATCATCAATATTGCACATATGCAGAACCATATAGCATTTCTTGACACATTTTACAAGATAAAAATTGTACAGATATGTTCTTAGGCCTCAGTGCAGTTAAGCTAAATAACAACAGAGCAATAACAATAAAATGCCCAAAGGTTTGGAAATACACTACTAATTACACAAAGGTCAAAGAGGACAGTACAATGAAAACTAGAAAATATTTTCAGCTGAATGATAATGAAAATACGATACAGCACAACTTATTGTAGAATATAACTAAAACCATGCAGAAAGGAAAATTTTTAGCCTTAAAATGCTTATATTATTTCACTGAAAAAGTCATGATCAAAGTGTCATTTTAAAGAAATTAGAAATGCTACAGAAAATTGGGCCCAGAGAATGTAAAAAAAAAAAAAAGGAAAAAATGAAGATGAAAACAGAAATTAAAGGAGTAAAAAACAAACATACAATAGAATAAAAAATGCCAAATTTGGTTATTTGGAAAGATTAACAAATTGATAAGCTTCTAGCAAGACTGATTGGGGAAAGAAAAAGAGTGAAGGCACAAAATTACTACTATCAGAAATGAAAAAGGGGACATCACTGCAGATTCTACAAAATTAGTAAGAAAATAGGAGGATATTACAAAGAACTTTATGTGAATAATTTTGAAGAGGTAGATAAAATGGACAAAGTGCTAGAAAATAAAAGCTTAGCAAGAATAATACAACAAGATATGGAAAATCTGAGTAGTCTTATAACCATTAAAATAAGTTGAATATCTTCCCAAATGGAAATCGCTAAGCCTAGATGCTCAAACCTTCATTTAAAAAAGCATCATTCTTAAATTATCCCAGAGAGTAGAAAAAGAGTAATTCTGCTTAACGTGTTTTATAAGGCCAACATAACCTTCATACCCAAACGTAACAAAGACATTGTAAGAAAGTATACTCAATCTTTCTGTGAACTAAGATGCAAAAATTCTAAATAAAACATTTGCAAATTAAATCTATTGATTTATAAAACAATATACATATATCTCAATCAAGTTACTTTTACACCAAAGTTGCTTTAATATTAAGGTAACTTATAACATGAAAGAATAAAGAAAAAATATGATTATCTTAGAAGATACAGAACAAACACTTGACAAGATCCAATGATTATTAAGAAAACTTAGGAATAGAGGTAACTTCTTTAATCTGAAAATATATGTCTTCAGAAAACAAAAAATTAGCTGGGTGTGGTGGCGCATGCCTATGGTCCCAGCTACTCAGGAGGCTGAGGCAGGAGAATCACTTGAACTTGGGAGGTGGGGGCTGCAGTCAGCTGAGATTGCGCCACTGCACTCCAGCCTGGGTGATAGAGCAAGACTCCATCTCAAAAAAACAAAACCCTATAGCAGCTTCATACATATTGGTGAAATACTGAAAGCTTTCTCTTTGACATCAGGAATGAGACAGCCTGCTTTTCATCACTGCTATTCAACACTTTCTGGGAATCCTAGACAGAGAAAAAGGCAAATAAAAGAAATAAAAGTTATAAAAATTAAAAATAAATAAACATAAATCTTTTGTTATTTGCAGGTGGCATGATTATGTGTGTAGAAAATCCAAACAAATCTGCAGAAAAGCTAAGAATTAATGAGTGAATCTAGAAAGGATCTTACGCATGATGTCAATATAAAACAGCAGTAAACAATTCGAAAATAAAATTTTAAAAATATCACAATATCATCAAAAACATTAAATAACTAGGAGAAAAATCTAGCAAAAGATGTGTAAGACTTCTCTATAAAACTTTATAAAAACTGTAAAACTAAATAAGTGAAGAGACATGTCATTTTTACGTATTGGAAAACTTTTTTTTTTTTTTTTTGGTGAGTCAGAGAGTCTTGCTCTGTCACCTAGGCTGGAGTGCAGTGGCTCAGTCTCAGCTCACTGCAACCTCTGCCCCCCAGGTTCAAATGATTCTCGAGCCTCAGCCTCCCAAGTAGCTAGGATTACAGAGGCGCCTGCTACCACACCCAGCAAAATTTTGTATGTTTGGTAGAGACGGGGTTTCACCATGTTAGTCAGGCTGGTCTCGAATTCCAGATCTCAAGTGATCCACACACCTTGGCCTCCCAAAGTGCTAGGATTATAGGCGTGAGCCACTGTGCCTGGCCTGGAAAACTAAATATTGTAAAGATATAAATTCTTCCAAATTTATCTATGTAGATTCAGTGTGGTTTCAAATAAAGTTGCAGTAGACAGTATTTATAACAAAAGTAGGTGACGTGGTGTGTGAGGGATGGAGATGGCCACCCAGGGAAGACTTGCTGCCTAGATGCAAGGACTTATTAGCTACTTCAGGAGCTGTCTCAGCTGCATAGAGCTGCCTTACCTGGGATCATACATTCCCAGGGCAGCCCACATGCAATGACGGAATGAGGTGAGATATAAACTCCTGGCCATTTTGGCACAATATGGGAGAATTCTGACAGCATTCAACAGTCAGGTTCTGGGAGAGGATTGAAATTGGGAAGGGGCACATGGAGGAGCTCCAGTACTGGCAGGCAAAGTTCTATTTCTTTTTTTTTTTTTCCCACTCTTCATAAACATAATTTTAATTGCAACATAGCAATCTATTCTAAAAATTCCCTCCCTCCTTCCCTGCATCCCTCCCTCCCTCCCTCCCTTCCTTCCTTCCTTCCTTCCTTCTTTCCTTCCTTCCTTCCTTCCTTCCAATAATTTCAATCTTTATTTTAGATTCAGGGGATACATGTGCAGGTTTGTTAACTGGGTACATTGCATTATGCTGAGGTTTGGGGTACAGTTGATCCTGTCACCCAGGTAGTAAGCACACTGCCCAACAGTTAGTTTTTCAACGCTTGTCCCCTTTCTTCCCTCCCCACCCAGTAGTTCCCAGTATGTATTGTTGCCATGTTTCTGTAAGTGAGAACATGTGGTATTTGGTCTTCTGTTCCTCTGTTAATTTGCTTGGGATAATGGCCTCCAGCTGCATCCATGTTGCTACAAAGGACATGATTTCATTCCTTTCGTGGTTGCATAGTATTCCATGATGTATACGTACCACGTGTTCTTTATCCAATCCACTGTTGATGGGCAGCTAGGTTGAGTCCATGTCTTTGCTATTGTGAATAGTGCTGCAATGAACATATGAGTGCATGTGTTGTTAAGTTCCATTTCTTGACGTAGGTGGTGTTTGACTCATAATAATTCATTAAGCTATGCATTTGCCTTGTGATATTTTCTGCATCTATGTTTTACTTTATAATAAGTACCTCATATCATATGGAAATGTCAATTCCAGGTTGATTATAGATATAAATGTGAAAATTAAACGTCTGCAAGAAGTAAGAAATAAAACTTCTAGAAGAAAACAAAGAAGAATATCTTCATGACCTTGAGAGTGCAAGCATTTAAAAAACAGGACTTAAAAAGCACTAACTCTAAAGGAAAAGATAGATAAATATGACTAAGTTAAAATTAAGAACTTTTGTTCAGCAGAAGGCAACATAAAGAGGCTGAAAAAGCAAGCCGGAGAGTGGGAGAAGATATTTGCAAAATATTAATACATACCCTCCAAAAAACTCAAATCCAAAATATATAAAGAACTCATCCAAACTGATGAAAAAGTAACCCAATAGAAAAATGGGCAAAAGACTTGAGCAGGCACTTCATAAAAGAGGATATCTAAATGGCTAATAAACATGTGCAGTCTCCAGCCTGCTGGCCGACCCTGCAGAATTTGGATTTGCCAGCCTCCACTATCATGCAAGCCAATTCCTCAAATCTCTCTCTATATACACATCCTATTGGTTCTGTTTTTGTGGAAAACCCTAATACAACATACAATGTGTAATTATTTAGTACATCATTAAGAACAAAAGCCTTTAGAGGTGGCAACTATATACTGTTTCTTGAATGTGTTAGCCTCCCCCTCCTACCTATACCCAGCATATAGCATATGCCAGGTTTTCACTAACTACCTATAAAATTGATGATTAGGCCAACTGCAGTGGCTCACGCCTGTAATCCCAGCACTTTGGGAGGCCGAGGCAGGTGGAACACTTGAGGTCAGGAGTTCGAGACCAGCCTGGCCAACATGGTGAAACCCCGTCTCTACTAAAAATACAAAAATTAGGCAGTGTGGTGGTGCACGCCTGTAATCCCAGCTACTTGGAGGCTGAGGCAGGAGAATTGCTTGAATCCAGGAGGCGGAGGTTGCAGTGAGCTGAGATAGCGCCATTGCACTCCAGCTTGGGCGACAGAGCAAGACTCCATCTAAAAAATATAAATAAATAAAATTCACAAATGAATGCTACAGAGGGGGGTCTTAAAGGAAAAGGCTTTCATATAATTTAGGGAGTGTTACACATATAAAGTTGACTCAAAACTTGGGAATGGTTTTTATTTAATTTTTCTTTCTGATTTGTTACTAAACACATAAACAGAAGGCCTGGGGCTTTCTAGAGATTATAACAACTGGAAGCAGAGGAAACTTCGTTCATTAGTTGGGATATAGGCAGAGAATGTGTGCTTTCCAGATTTGGCATTGGAAAAATAACACTTAGGAAATAGGAAAGTGGTTCTGTGTGATCACCAGCCATGAGGGCCTTGAAAGG
This sequence comes from Homo sapiens, assembly GCF_000001405.40. Lineage (NCBI taxonomy): Eukaryota > Metazoa > Chordata > Mammalia > Primates > Hominidae > Homo > Homo sapiens. The sequence goes on from NC_000014.9 coordinate 36,085,534, forward strand.
TGCTCTCAAACAGCAACACAAATAATATGTGGATATCTTTCTGTCTGTCTCAATCAATCAATCAATCAATCAATTTAATCTATCATAGTTTTAAGTGACCAGGAGCAAAAGATGGGAAACCCAGAGGGACAGGAGAAAAAACTGAAACCAAAACCAAAACACCATGTTTGCTCTACATTTCCAATTTGAATTAAAATAAATGGAGTTTAAAGCATTTTACAAAGGATCAAAGTGATCAGATCATGAATTAGAAGAAATAAAAATGAAGTTTAGAAGTGACAGATGGGAACCTGGCCTGGAAAGCAAGCTGAAGCTTTCTGCCAGTGAAGAGGTTCAGAGGAAACGATCAAAACATTGTGAACACTGAAAGCTTTTGCCACAGTGAGAAGAGAGAATGCCCCAGAAACTCGAGGCCATCCAAAAAAAACGACTTATTGTCTATAAAATAATATCTGAAGTGTCCTTTTTCCCTCCTCTGGCCGAAAGCTTACCCCCCTTTCTCTTACTCATCTCATCTTACAAGTCAAATTGCTCTTACCTGTGATTGGCCGAGGGAGGTGATGATGCCTTCAAATTGAATACATTTGGTGTATTCTCTAGTGATGGCTTCTATGACTCCAGCAAAGGCTGCTCTGATGCTAGAGGCTGGGAACTTTTGTCGGGAGAAACAACTGAGAAGGAAGAGAACCAACTATCCTAAAAAGTAGTCAGTGAGCTGATACTATATTCTTGGCATCACTTATAGGTTCCAGGGATGAATCAATGACCCAGACGAAGTTTCTGTATTCATAAAGCCTGAATTATATTGGGAAGAAACAGACAATAAACACATATAAAAATATAAAATAATTTCAGGTAGTGACAAATGCTAAGATACAGAGGAACTGGGGGGTGCTGTTTATCGGGATTAGGTGGGGAAGCCCTGACGTTAAAGTTGAGACTGAATGATTAGAAGGAGGCAGCACATCAAGCTCTCCATGAGTAGAATTCCAGACAGAGGGGATAACATCAGGAACAAATACATGTGTTTAAGGGACAAAAAGAAAGGCAGGTGTCAGGAGCATGGTGAGTGAGGGGAGATGGCAAGAGATGAAGTTGGAGAGGGATGCAGAGGTCAAATCACATGGGGCTTTAGGGACCAAGATAAAGAGTTCAGATTTTATTTTAATTGCCATGGAAAGCCATTGGCAGATTTTTCAGCAGGAGAGTGATAGGATCTGATTTATGCATTCCATCCATTTTTGACCCTTTCACTTGAACTTTGGCTAGCAATTTTTTAGCCTGGCAGTGCCATTAGAGAGCCTCAAATTACTAGCTGTAAATCAAATTGATGGGAAGTGCTGTCATTCTTAGAAAAACGTTGAAGTCAACATAGCAAGAACCAACTCAATTTAAAAAAGAAGAGATTTTAACAGACTCTTCAGAAAAAGAAGATATATGCATGGCCAATAAGCATATAAAAAGATGCTCAACATTATTAGTCAGGAAAATGCAAATTAAACCAATGATGAGGTACTACCATACATACACTATAATGGCTAAAATTAAAGGCAGACAATATTGAGTGCTGACAAGGATGTGAAGTGAGGGAACTCTCACACATCACTGGTGGGAATGTAAAATGATTCAGCCACTTTGGAAATGGCTTGGCAATTTCTTATGAAGTTAAAATATTTACTTTTTTTGCCATATGATTCAGCAATCCACTGCTAGGCAAGTGAAATAAAAACATATGTCCATACAAAGATGTGTATACAAATATTCATAGTAACTATTCATAATAGCCAAAATCTGGAAGCAAAATCTGGAAACAATTGAAGTGTCCATCAGCAGGTAAATGGATAAATAAATTACAGTGTATTCATGCAGTGAAATACTATGAAGCGATACAGAGGAGTGAACTACTGCTATAAACAGTACAAATGAATATAAAAATTTTTCTTAACAAAAGAAGATAGACACAAAAAGAGTATATAAAGCAGAACTCCACTTATATGGAAATCAATAAAAGGCAATGATTGATGGTAACAGAAGGCAGATGAGTGGTTGCCTAGGGGTTGGGGGTGGGACTGTAGAGGACTTGAGGAAACTTTTTGGAATGATGGGAATGTTATATATCTTGACTGTGGTGACGACTACATGGATGTATACATTTATCTAAACTTATCAAACTGTGCACTCAAAAGAAGTGTATTTTATTGTTTGCGAATCTAAAAACATAGCAGGAAATACTTTCTGTATATTCTCATTAGGGAGCTGTTACCTCTTAAAAAAAATCATGTAACCTGTCTCTGTCAGCCTTGACCCAGTGAGGAGGTGAAGACCCTGGCTTAGTCAATATGGAGACACGACTTTCTTCCTTCCTTCCTCCCCTTTCCTACTTCCAACTCATTCCCTAGGGCATCCTCTGTCCTCTGCTCTGACCTCTGAATCTTAGGTCACAGAATTTCCTGCCTTGGTTGTATAATTCACATCCTTAGACTTTATTAGAGTGGCCCGTCATCTTCCAGGAGCTGTGGATCTAGTTGGTGTAATCAGTATTTCTTTTGGGAAAATTGGCTAATTCATCCTCTTACACCCTTTTGATTGGACCACTTTGTATCAGGTTATTTTCGAAGACTTTCAGTACTAATCTTTTCTCATTTTTGATCTAGTTCTTGCATTTTCCTGGAACTATTCAGCTTACTATAATTCTCTGTATTACTCATTCCTTCCTTACACTGATAGAAATATGTGAGTATACTTTACAGACAGATATATCCTTCATAGAGGCAACAGAATACCCATAGATGCCAACAGTTACATGTGCTACTGCAGAATAATGAAGAGAAGACTTTTCTTTATGAGCACCCTAACTGTGAGGTGCCTAAAATTGGGTCTACCACTTGAGTAAGTGGCTGAGTTAAATATTTTGACTTGAATTTCATAACTTGTCACAGTGATCCCATTGGGAGTAGAGTGGTAGGTTGCCAAGAAGGCAATTAATTATCTCTCTGCCGCCCTGTGTATTAAATTTTGTTCCCTCTCCCTAAAGAGAGGTGATGCTATGGCTTACAACTACTGTGCTCTTGCAGAGCTCTCCACACCAATTAGAAGGGTTCTGTGTTATGACAGTCTTTTATAAGATGTTATGACACTCTTTGATAGAAAGCCGTTGTCCCATTGAAGCAGAAACTTCATCAAAAGCACTAAGAATCGAGGGTGTGCTCTAGATACCCCGAATGGGAGGGGACTCTGTGCTCACTGGGTCCATCAAACAAAGCGCCTCCCACATAGGTCTTTCCATGTGATCCAGCTATTTCCCTACATTTATCTCCTAGCCCCACCCTTATTTAAGTACACAGTTGGAAGAAGGTCTGTAATACTGCATTTAACTCGCTACTGGGAATGCTTTATTGTGTTTATTTAAAATTCTTAAAGCTCTCTTCTGTGAAAGGCAAACTTGCCCTTAGCACATGAGTGGGTAAAGGGTATGGGATTACTTCTTGATTAGAGTGATGCTTTTTGTTAGGAAAGGGTGAAAGTCACTGCTATAAGCCATGTCATGACATTACTGGGAATCGTGGATTTTAACATCTCCAACTCTAATTTCCTTTAGGAAGCCTTGCCTGTGGTCTCACATCAAATTTTCCTATCTGGACAGTGAGAAGTTTAATCTCAGAGATGTGAGACCAAGTTGCTAATTACTTAGCACCCGAAATTCTTAGATACTGTTATGTTTCCATTATCAGGGCCAAGAACTGAATAAATAACTCATTGCATTGGTTGTCTCAGTCTCATTTCTCCCTAACTTTCTTTAGCTTTAAGTACAGCCAATTCAAATAACAAATAATAAGCAAACAAAACATCATCAAACTGGAGATTCAAAACTTGCTAACTTTCTTACCCCTGGACCTTTTCAGATCAAGGGGTCTTAAACTGAGCACATGGAATCTCTCCTTAAGAAAGTGTAAAGTTTTATGGGAAGATGTGCAATTAATTCAACCACTTGCAGTCCTAAATATATAGCTGGATACTTCTTAACCTTGGTGTATCTATTCTTAATCATATTTGTTGTATCTTTGAATCCAAAAAGGTTCTGGTTAGACCAATAGTGAAGAATTACGTTGAATTAAGTAATAGTTTTCAGAAGTGGATAAGATGTTAATGTTAATGGTGCTATCCAATTGCTCATTTTCATCTTGGAAAGTTTCCCTATTTTTATTCAGAGGAATTACTCTGATATGTTTACCTATAGTCCTTCCCGATCCTGATATACTGTCTAGGACAGTATATATGTCTATGTTTTCCTGTTCATCAGTACGTAGCAGTCATTACTATGCTGGCAGGTGTTTTGTTTGTGTGTGTTTTGTTGTTGTTTGGTCTAATATTTGATATGTAGAAATGTATCATAAAAGGATGAGGCAATGGAATAGACCTCTCAGAAACAGAACTAAACTGGCCGGGCGTGGTGGCTTACGCCTGTAATCCCAGGGAGGCTGAGGCGGGCGAATCACAAGGTCAGGACATCGAGATCATCCTGGCTAACACGGTGAAACCCCGTCTCTACTAAAAATACAAAAAATTAGCCGGGCGTGATGGCGGGTGCTTGTAGTCCCAGCTACTCAGGAGGCTGACGCAGGAGAATGGCGTGAACCCGGGAGGCGGAGCTTGCAGTGAGCCGAGACTGCGCCACTGCACTCCAGCCTGGGCGACAGAGCGAGACTCTGTCTCAAAAACAAAACAAAAAAAAAAAACAAAAAAAAGAAAAAAAAAAAGAAAGAAACAGAACTAAACTGTAACTCAGGAAGCCTGAATTCTAGTCCAAGCTGTGCTTTGTACTGGCTATATCATTTTGGGCAAATCACTTTAATCTGTATCTTCGTTTCTTCATTTTAAAAAATGGAGGTGATGATGTTAACTTTAAGTATTATGTGGAAGCAAACACAGAGCCAGGCATAAACTAGATGTTGAATAAATGTTTGTTAATTCTACATCTAAAAATATTAATGTTCTGTAGCTCTAAGTTTTTATACATTCTACAATAGCTCTAAATGTTAAAAAAAAATGCTTGTGTTTCTCAAAACCAGAAAGTGGCAGAAGTTGAGGATTATTGTGATAAAGTTAACAGCAATGAATTCTGAAGAGCATGCATTTGTTTTTAATCCTTACATGATTCTAAGATGGTGGTGCTTACCAACATACTAGGGTCGAGGTAGGAAGAAGGGAAAGATACAAAAATGAACAAGATATTATTCCTGCCTTCTGGGAGCTTACAGGCTCAGACCTACCATCAACATGATAGAAATCTTGGACACTGGTGCATTTGTTTTACGCTCTATGAGCATCTCAACTTCAGTAGAGAATTGTTAATTTATTTGAAGTTGTTTTACATTTGTAATGGTATAAAATATATTTTATAGGACTTTCTACTTGTATTTAGTTAGAAGTTTGTTCTTACTTTAATCTAGAATAATTGCTGTCATGTTTCCAGCTACTTTCCTTTAAAATTCCCCTTAATCATTATCTACCCTTGTTATCAAGAGCTAGTCAAACCAATCTCATAGTGTATGTGTTTGTGCGTGTGTTTATATATTTTTTCCCTCTTCATTTGTTTACTCCATTAGTTGTGATACAGGCTAAATTGCTGTAACAGAGACCCAGAAATGCAGTAGCTCTGTCCTATGAGGTCATTTGAGGACTGGGCTGGTGAGTCAGCTCTGCTCTGTTGAACATGTGGCTTCCATTTTAGACATCCAGGGTAGCTGTGTTAATTATTGACATTTCTCAGCCAGAGGGAAGAGGGCAGAGGAGGTCCATGGCAAGGAGCTTTATTTATCATTAAGTAGGTGACTCAGCAGCTACACACAACACTTCTATTCACATTACGTTGGCCTGAACTTCATGTTACTACTTCTAGCTGGAAGGGAGGCTGGGAAACGTACTGTCTAGATGGGCAGTGGGGGATTCTGTTACTTAAAGGAAAAAAAGAGAATGGGCACTGGCTGATAACTAGCAGTGTCTGCCAGTCACTTACTCCTCAATCAGTATTAATTCACATGTGAATACCAGTCTCTCATTCGTTCATGTTCTCATTGGCAACATGGGGATGTGACTGATAATTCCAGTAAGACAAGAATACAAGAATGTTACTGGTCCTTGGAATTAGTTTCTTATGTCTGTTTGTCTGTCTACCTACCTATCTATCTACCTTATTCGTCCTGTGGGTACACAATTATCTGCAATTCTGCTGTATGAACCTCTTGGTTACGGGTAGGTTCATTTTTGCCAAAAAATCTGTATTTCATTGGGAAAGTTAACTGCATGCAAATGAATAACTAGGAGTTAACTAAGAGTAGAAATAATTATAAAACACTTGTCAAAAGTGAAGTGCCATAGCAATGCTAAAAAATGACACTAAGAAAAAACTGATTGTCGTGACTTCAAAGGAAGTGTGAGGTTGGAGTGTTTTGACGTGTATAGCATTTAAATGATCTAAATAGGTGTTTAGGTGCTCACATGAGAGACTGTTCTAGCTACTTAGGGGGAAATAAGAGTCTGTTCTATCCACTCAATGCTTAGATGTTTCCGTGAGAATTTTATCATCTTTAAATATTATTTAAAAAGTAAAGATTGTGTTGTTCTTGGTTAAATTTATCTAAAGGAAAAACATTGCCTAACAAAAATAAGACATTCTTCTTAGACTGCTTTGTTTCTAGAGCCTCTGCCTCTGATATAATCTGTTGCCTCTAGATCCATGTGTTGACCAGACATACAGGAGTTAGTGCTGTAAACCAGCAGTGAACTCTTGTCAGAGATGGAACTTTGGGTTAGGCAACTTTCTTGTTTTAAAAACATGTCTTTATATATTTATTAGATATAGGAGGCCTCTCCAAAGGCAATAATCTGGTTATTTGAATGTTAAATGAAAGAGAAAGGAAGAGATTATATTGCTTGTAAGTATCAATAGTTTAAAAATAAGAAAACATAAATAGTTTGTATAGGAAACCTTGGAGTGTTTGAGATATCCCAAAACTCAACACCATCTACACTCACGAATGCTTTGGTTTAAAATATTTATTCTGGTGTGTTATTTAGCACAGTGGTAAAACCTCTGGCTCTGGGCTCAGTTAGAGTTGAGTTCAAATCTATCCTGTGATCTTGAGCCACCAAGATCTTCTTTCTCCATACCTGAGTTTCTTTACTGGTAAAATGGGTACTGGAGTAATAATAGTACATTATAGCGTTTTCTTTCTTTCTTCTTCTTTTTTTTTTTTTTTTTTTGAGACATAGTCTTGCTCTGTCGCCCAGGCTGGAGTGCAGTGGCACGATCTTGGCTTGCTGTAACCTCTACCTCCTGGGTTCAAGTGATTCTCCTGCCTCAGCCTCCTGAGTAGCTGGGATTACAGGCTCCTGCCACCATGCTCAGCTAACTTTTTGTATTTTTAGTGGAGATGGGGTTTCACCACGTTGGCCATGCTGGTCTTGAACTCTTGACCTCAGGTGATTCGCCTGCCTCAGCCTCCCAATGTGCTGGGATTACAGGCCTGAGCCACCGTGCCTGGCCTCTAATAGGGTTTTGAGAAGTGAGATGAAGCATGTGAAGTGCTTACCGTAGAATATGGTAAATGCTCAACAAATGTCAGGGATGATTTTCTGCTTTTCTTTGCTCAGATATTCTGTGAAGGGCAGCATTCACAGTATTTTTCTGTGGATGATTTCAAATCTCAGACTCACTGGGGTTCCATAGAAATATTCTTTTATGATGTGGCAGTATACCTTTGTGGTTGGGCCCAAACATCTTCCACTAATCTCTACCTGTGTACCTTGGGTCGAGTTAGTTAACCTTTCTGTGCCTTGATTTTCTCATTTGTAAAATGGAGGTCATAATAGTACCTACCTCATAGGGTTCTTATAAAGACTGACTAAGATATGTGAAAGTTCTTGTGACCATTAAAAGGTAGGTAAAGTGCTTAGTTTGACACACAATAAATGTTCAACAAATGTGACAATATTAATTTTAAGGCTTAAAATTGTTAGTTGTTTTTTTTTTAGTGAATTGGTAAATTTAGTGAATTTGGGTGTCTAGTACCACATTTTGAATATAGTTCAATTCCTCATTTTAAGAACAGTTCTTTCAGTACCCCGTGGTCTTCGAAGCAGTTTCTCAACTACAGGGTGCACTATCACGAATAAATGACAGAAAGAAGCACCATGCTGATAATCTAACGTTCTAAATTACTGTTAAGTACTTAGTTCTAACACCCACCCTCAGGTTTGTTATAGTAGAAGCTAATTAATAAATATGGATGTTTTTATTTTCCCCTTTCTCCTTTTTAACTTCCTAATGAGGTAAACAGATGGCAGACAACTGGCACCAGAGGTGAAGAGAACTGGCAGTGCAATGGTTAACTTCCTTTCCTAAAGGACATGTGGGCTTTATCCTAGTGTCTCAACTCGTTACTTATAGTGTTGATGGAGAGGCCTGAAGAAAAGGATCCCAGGGAGAGAGCAGGTGTGTTGGGCTGCTGTGGTTCTCCCTCAAAACTAGCTGTAGACACAATACAGGTGACCTGGCAACACTCAGAAGTACCAGCCTTTGAGATGCTGGGAATCCACATAACCTTGTGAATGCTTTGAAGGCAGGAGGGTATCTTACTAGATTTGGTTTCTCTGGCATCTAAGTAACCCTGGCATATAGTAGGTGCTTAATAGCTTTTTGCTGATCGGATACCTGGAAGTAAAACATACATCTTTATAATTTTGTATTAGATTTGATTTTATTTAGACGTTGCCAGTGCTGGGAGATTATACTCTGCTACTTGATACTCAACAATTTTGTAAAGGTTTATATTTACTAAAGAAACTTTCTATTTAAAGAAATCTGTGAAAATCCTTTTGTAAAAATTGATTAATTTTTAATACTGTATGCTTTGTAAATTTCTGTCTCTGTGAATAAAGAAGCACGAATCTAAAATAAACTGTTACCGAACAGGCATAATAGCCAGGAGAATCTGAAGTAGCCCCTTCTTTCATTTAAAATGTAGATCTGTCTTACTCCTTGCTTTCTTCTTTCGGGGCTGCCTGCCACTAAATGTTAAATGGTAACATCTCTACTGGCAATTGAAGAAAATAGACCTGAAGGCACTATAGACTCTTTAGAATGAAAGTATTTTATTTCACCATTCTCTTGTTATTTAAAGGTGTAAGGCTTAATTTCCATAGAGCCTATTCCTAAGTAAGATTTTAAGGCATCCCCTTGGGGCAGAGGTGAAAGGGGTGGGAGAGATAGGGGAGATAGGGTGAAATTTGGGGGTTTCTTTCAGAAGTTGTGCATAGGGGGCTCTCAGAGCGGCTGTCCCCTGGCTCTGCTCCTATTGGCTGTGGAAAGTGGGGTGGGGTTAGCCATTTCTGCAGTTGCTGCTGGGGCAAGGCAGGGACCTCTGAAAGAACCAGACACAACCTCCCTGATGTGGATCACTCTGTGTGTTCTCCAAGAGCGCACTCTGGCCCACGGCTTGACTTGCCTTTATTTTTCAACAAAAGGAGGAAAGTGAATTCCTTCTAGAGCTTGTTTAGGTGCTCCTTGGCTCCTTGGTGCTGGGCTCTGGCAGGATACAGCCACTGAAGTGTAGTGCATTTTAAAAAACTCTTTCTGGGAAATGAAAACATGATTTTGAAGTAGTCTGTAGTATTGAAATGCAGCACTCTGCTTCTTTGCGAAGCAAGACTTACTGGAGGCTCACTGGTACAGAAGGGCCCTCAAGGCAAAGAGGCTCAGAAACAGCAGGAATGGGATCTTGAGAAAGGTACCGCTCATCCTATGAAACAAATTGCTCTAATTAAAAAAAAAATGTGTCATGTTAGCAAGAGGAACTCAGCTGGCAATGTGACGGTGGAAGTAAGTTGTAAAAAGCCTCCATAGAAATATCTACTCTACCGACTTCATAATCTCTGCTGCTTTCTGAGGTGTGATGAAAAGGATCGGAAATTGTTGGCCGGTGGCCTCCAACACTTCTGGCCATTCCCTTCTCCCCTCACCCTCTTCTCCCAGGAAAAAGAATCTCTCTTTGAAAACATTTCCCTTTTATTTTCCTTTTCATCATCCTGTCTGAGTACATGGCTTCAATAGAGAAAGATGCTTTAAGACATTAACATTTTATCAACTTAAGGCTCTTTCAGCCATCGCCCACAAATCCCTATGGAATTTTGAACACTTAAGGTTAATTAGTTGTGCATTTGTTAAAAAGTCTGTGCCCTTAATAATAAAATAGGACCATCAAAGGGAAAAAAATAACATTTATTTAAATATATACAGTGTTTGAGATCACAAATTTCTATGTCTGCCTGGAAGCACTATCCTCTATTTTCATTAGTGTTTATATTCTTGCTTTTATTTGATTCTATTTGCATGAATTAAAATATTTTCTTTTATTTTGCCATTTGCTTTTAGAAATGCTAAAATTTAGCCAACTTTAATTGAATCATATTGTCTATTGGTATAGGAAATTCTCATTCTATTTCATAATAGAAGAGAAACACCAAAAGCAAAATGCTATATTGAAGCAAAATACAGTCTACCTGTTTGGGGATTATAAATCTCTGTAGGTTCTTAGAAGAATTATCCAAAATTCCCATAGAGACATAGTTTTTTTATGCCAGTGGTTCTCAAAGTTTAATGTACCTATGAATCACCAAAGGGATTTTTGTTAAAATGCAATTCTGATTCAGTAAGTCCTGGGCAGGGTCCAAGATGATACAGTTGTGACAAGCTCCCACATGCTGCTGATGGTTCTGGGATAGAGACACACTTTGTGGAACTAGCACCTACAGACATTTGCATTTTAGTTTCTTTGGTTTCAGCTGTATGCTTTCACTGGTTGGTGGAACTCAAAGCTTAGAAGAATTTAATAAAACTTACATTTTTGGTACTGACTTAGCAATGATAAGCTTTCTTTTCTTAAAGGAAGAGAAGCCGAGATTCACAGATGAGTTCTCAGCTGGCCCTGGGCCCTCACGTCCCTTCTATAGATGTCTAATGGGACTCTGGAGCTTCTCCTTTGTTCTCCTAGTCATGTAGAATTCAACTTTGCATTCTAGATATCAATTAGAGATGGGTGGTTTTTTTTTTTTAAAAAAAGTGTACTCCTATTTTAAGATATTTCCTTATCATGAAGCTTTTACCAAGAGCCCTGAAGAATATTCAATAAATCGAAGGCCTTAGAGATAAGCGTTTCTCTGTATATTTTTGGCTTATTATAATATAGAAATAAATATTTCAGCTAAATAATGATAAAATAATCTTTTTTAAACATTAGCTCTTTAAATGTTGTCTCTCCCATTAGACTATTAATTCCTTGAAGGCAGGGTCTATGTGTTAGGTTGTTCTTGCATTGTTGTGAAGAACTACCTGACACTGGGTAATTTATAAAGAAAAGAGGTTTAATTAGCTTACAGTTTTGCAGGCTGTACAAGCATGGCGCCAACACTGCTTGGCTTCTCGGGAGGCCTCAGGGAGCTTTTACTCATGGTGGAAGGCAAAGTGGGAGCAAGCACTTCACATGGTGAAAATAGGAGCAAGTGACAGAGAGAAAGAGAGCAAAAGGCGATGGGGTGTGGGGAGGAGCCACACGCTTTTAAATGATCAGATCTCGCGAGAACTCACTATCATGAAGATGGCACCAAGCCATGAGGGATCCATCCCTGTGATCTGAACAGCTCCCACCAGGCCCCACCTCTAGAATCGGAGATTACAATCTAACATGAGATTAGGGCAGGGACAACTATCTAAACTATATCAGTCTATGTATGTTTCACCTATGTACAGTTGTATAACTGTAGTTGCCAACAGGTTTTAGACAGAGCTGGCAAACCATAAATACTGGATAAATGGAATTCAAGTATCAAGTTGACATCAAGTCTGTCACACAGAAAGATCTCTGAAAATGACAATGGCCATTCATGGAGAAGGCTAGGGTTCTTTTTCTTCTTAGGACTTGCGGTTCCTCAGACATGTGTAGGCCTGCCTTTGACTCTGTGTTGCTCTCTGAATCTTAATTTTCCCACTTTTAAAATGGAGGTGAAACATCTGTCATGGGTAAGGAATGGTAAGAGTGAGCTACAGGTGTGGCTGTTTAGTGACTTTCCCAGTGTGCTTTGCTGGAAATAAAGAGACAAATGGCATATACAAAACATCCTTGGTAGGAGCCAGCCTTCCTCCCCACCAGGCAGAGACTATGTTCAATGTTCATTACACTGTGTTTTACTCACCATGCAGAAAGATAAATTTTTTTTAATTTTTTATTTTTTTGAGACAGAGTCTTGCTCTGTCACCCAGACTGGAGCGCAGTGGATCGATCTCAGCTCACTGCAACCTCTGCCTCCTGGGTTCAAGCGATTCTCCTGCCTTAGCCTCTCCAGTAGCTGGGATTACAGGCATGTGCCAGCACACCCCTAATTTTTATATTTTTAGTAGAGATGGGGTTTCATCACGTTGGCCAGGCTGGTCTCGAACTCCTCACCTCAGATGATCCACCCACCTCGGCCTCCCAAAGTGCTGGGATTACAGGTGTGAGCCACCACACCTGGCCCATAAGATTACATTTTTTAACCTTCCTTGTAGGTGGGTAGGGCTGGAATGATATGATTTGGAAAATGAAATGTAGGTTAAAATGATGATATAATTTCCAGACTTGATCCTTAAACACATCTTGCATTGGCTGAGTATAGTGGCTCATGTCTGTAATCCCAGCACTTTAGGAGGCCGAGGTGGGTGGATCACCTGAGGTCAGGAGTTCAAGACCAGCCTGGCCAACATGGTGAAATCCCTTCTGTACTAAAAATGCAAAAATTAGCAGGCGTGCTGGCACGTGCCTGTAATCACAGCTACTCGGGAGGCTGAGGCAGGAGAATTGCTTGAACCCGGGAGGCGGAGGTTGTAGTGAGCAGGGATCGCACCACTGCACTCCAGCCTGGAAGACAGAGCAAGACTCCATCTCAAAAACAAACAAACAAACAAACACCATCCTGCATCAACTGCTAGCCTTCTCTTCCCATTTTCTGGTAGCATTGGAAGCCACATGCTCCAGATGGTGTAGTCACAAGATGAAAGCTGTTTAGGTCCCTGAGCTTGGAGGATAGTCACCCAAGAGAGCCACATAACCCATATGGGACTGTACTGTGAAAGAGCAAAAAAAAAAAAACCAAAAAACCTTGATATGTGAAGCCACTGAGATTTTTGTGGTTACAGTGGCTAGCATTAATAATCATTAATAATTCTAATTAATATGCCTCTTGATACTTGTAAGAGATTTTTAGTCTGGGGGAGGGAGGAGAAGCAACAGAGAGGATAAAATGAGATAGAAGGGTTGTGATGCTTGAGAGACGGGGATTGGGGGTGAGCATACCATGTTCAGAGTCAGTCTACTTCTAAGAGAACGTCGCCTTACCGTTCAACAAGAGCTGTGTTTATTGTCCGTCCTACTGGCATATTGTGAGCACTTTCTTTTCACAGTAGTCAGTAGGTCCCCCCAGATGACTGGCTGTGACACTCATCTGTATTTCAAAACTCTGTCTGGGGCCAGGCGTGGTGGCTCACATCTATAATCTCAGCACTTTGGGAGGCTGAGGCAGGAGGATCACTTGAGCTCAGGAGTTCGGGATCAGCCTGGGCAACATAGTGAGACCTCATCTCTCTCTCTGTATAAAAACTTTGGCTGGTTACTGTCCAACATAAATAAGTTGGACTCCTCTCTCTCTTACTTCCTCCCTCCCCAAATACGGAAGGTTCCTGGTCTTTTGTGAATCAAAGAACATGAAGGTGGATCCCTGAATATTCAATACAGAAGGATGGAAGGAAAACATCATTGGTGTCCTTGGAAAAAGGTATACAAAACTAGCTCATAAGCAAGGAGAGTGTGAAAAGGCATAGCCCTCTTATAAAAATAGCTAACATGGCCAGGCGCGGTGGCTCATGCCTGTAATCCCAGCACTTTGGGAGGCTGACGTGGGTGGATCACCTGAAGTCAGGAGTTCGAGACCAGCCTAGTTAACATGGTGAAACCCCGTTTCTACTAAAAATACAAAAATTAGCTGGGTGTGGTAGCATGCACCTGTAGTCCCAGCTACTCAGGAGGCCAAGCAGGAGAATTGCTTGAACCTGGAAGGTGGAGGTTGCAGTGACCCAAGATCGCACCACTGCACTCCAGCCTGGGCAACAGAGCAAGACTCCCTCTCAAAAAAAAAAAAAAAAAAAAAAAGCCAACATGTAATGGTGTTTATTATGTAACTGGCACTGTGCCAAAAGCTAGACACATATCGTCTCATTTAATCATCACTACAGCTATATAAGTTATTTGTTTTATTTAATAAAAGAATAAACTTTTTATTTTTTTTAAATAAAAGAAGTCACAGAAAGGGTAAATTGCCCCGATCCCATGGTTAGTAAATGCAAGACTCAATGATTTCTCATTGCTTTTGAGACGGATAACAAATACCTTAATGTGCCTTACAAAATCCCATATGATCTGGTTCTTGTCTATGAACCCATCTTACTACTGAAGCCAGACATACTGACCTTCTTTTAATTTCTCAATCATGTAATGCTTTTTCCCACTCTAGTAACTCTCTCCCCCTATTCCCCCACCTTCCTTTTTTTTTTTCCTTTTTAACTTGGGGGAATTCTTCCTTGACTAAGTCCCGACCTGAAATTCTGTCAAGTTCTCTTTCTCCACACACTCATAGTACCTTGCACTTTGGTTCCTAGCATTATCAGAAACATTTATTTGTATTATCCTTGGACTGTTGTCTGTCTCTTCTAGAATGTGATCTCTGTGAGGCATTATCTCATGTGAGGCATTAGCTCATTATCTCTATTTGGCCCGTATTAAGCTCACAGTAAATGTTCAGAGAATGAATAAAATGAATGATCCTTAGATTTTTTAATTGGTCCCCAGAATAAATATTGATGGAAGATGAGATGAGAGTGGGAGAATAAGTGAAGAATATTGCTATTTGAAAAGAACTCTGAGAACATATCACTTGCTGGTATTCTTAATAGTTTCATTGTGTTGGAAAGAGATTTCTGTTTGCTTTTTAAATATTTTCACAGTTCTGCAATGATAGGTACTTTTGATATTTTTTGAAGACAGTATTATTCTATAAAAGTGGAGGATGGTGGTGCATGCATGTAGTCCCAGCTATTTGAGAGGCTAAGGCGGGAGAATTGCTTGAGCCCAGGATTTCATGGCCAGCCTGGGCAACATAGTGATACACTGTCTCTAAAAAACAAAAGTAAACAAAACCCCCACCAATTTAAAATAACAAACAAACGAAAACTTGGAGTTTTCAAGCTCCTGGTGGTCCTGAATTTATCACAAAGGATTCTTGAATTTATAAAAATATTGGCCAGGCGCGGTGGCTCACGCCTGTAATCCCAGCACTTTGGGAGTTTGAGGCGGGCAGATCACGAGGTCAGGAGTTGAAGACCAGCCTGGCCAACATAGTGAAACCCCTTCTCTACTAAAAATACAAAAAATTAGCTGGGTGTGGTGGCAGGCACCTGTAATCCCAGCTACTCAGGAGGCTGAGGCAGAAGAATCGCTTGAACCCAGGAGGCGGAGGTTGCAGTGAGTAGAGAGTGCACCACTGCACTCCAGCCTGGGGGACAGTGCAAGTCTCAAAAAAAAAAAAATTGGCGTTTTGTGTAGATTGAGTAAATGACATGCCTTTACATATGTGTACATATCTACACTATTCAAAAAATATATGTAGATGCTACTGTAAATAAAACAATGCCAATTTATTTAGTAGCATGAATAAATTTCACAGTAATTTTATATAATTATGCTTTCCCTCTATCAGCAGATACCTTCACTCTAATTGTTTCACATATTCTTAATATGAAAAAATGGTTCTCATACTTAAATGGTGAAAAGAGAACTAAATCTTCTAACTATCACAAAATTAATTTTAGAAATGTTATTAAAATAGAAGTGATCTTTAGGTATCAATGTTTTAGTTTTATATTGTATTTTTACATTCCTCATGGAGACTGGCTTCTTAACTCAAGGCCATTTCCAAAATTATGTTTGGTTCTTCTTTTTATGAGATATCTCTGTGTTTGTTTGTTCTCTCCTTAGCTTTTTGGTGGTATAGAGAATACTCGTGGACTAACTACTAAAGGCAAAAATTGATATTTAAGGGAGGTTATAAATTAATTTTGACCTGTTACAATATTAGGAAAACATTGTCATGTTACAAAAAATTTTCATTTGCTCATAATTATCAATTTGACTATATTAGTAGGAATTAAGAAAAGTGGAAAAGTATCTTTCCAATAAATCAAAGTTCTTACGGCATTTCTTCAATACATCCTATGCATGTCTACAAAGTAATTTTTCTAGATTTCTTATTTAACATTTTAGTTTCTGCTCAAACATCTGCAATGGCTCTAATCGCCTACAGATCAAAGCCCAAATATTTTAGCTTAGTGTGCCGTGTTCTCCTCAATTTGTCTCCAACTTATTTTTCTATTTTTATTTCTCAATATGTCCCTGCAAATCTGCTAGAGTGTGGAGGTTAAGCATTTGACTGAAAGCAAGAGAAATTTGGATCAAGCCCTAGTTGTACCAGTTGCCATCAGGCATTGAGCTGAGGGCCTAACAATCAATATCACATTTAAACCCCACAGCAGCCATATGAGAAGCGTTATTATCGTGATCTTTACTTCGCAGGTCAGAACACCGAGACTTCAGGGAGTTAGGCAACTGGCCCGATGCCACGCCAGTTAAGTCTATGGCCTGGAGAATGAGACAGGTTTTCAGTTTCTGCAAATGGTTGAAACATGGTCAGTTTTTTAATCGAAAACTTGAGGCATACATGGTAACTTTGAACATATTTGATTTAAAAAAAAAAACAAATCCAAATCTAAAAGAGAGAATGTGAATACTGCCATAGAGTTTATCAAGTGGAAATTAACTTATTTCCACACTTTTATCCTAGGATTTGTTTCTAAATAAAGCCTGACATTTAAGGTAGAAGGATGATTGGATGGGATCAGAGTGCAGGGGGGAGCCAGCAGCGAGTGGAATGTGGAGCCACCTTAGGCCCTCTGTGACTTGACATGCCACTTGGTCTCCCTGAGCCTTACTTAGTTTACCATATTCTAGAATGTGCACCCCAAGGGTCTTCTTTCTGACCTCACACCATTATTATCAGGATATGTAAAACTACTAGAAAATGTATCAAATGCTGGGCAAATAAAAAGTACTATTACTATCTTCTGTTCAAGATGTGACTATTTTTCCCACAGCAATAGAGGATGGAATCATACTAATTTCTACCATGGAATCATACTATTTTCCACCCTGGTGATAGGAATACTTTCTTAGGACATAACTTTTTTTCTATTTTCTCCTACATGATTGTATACATACTTGAATTTAGTTTAACTTTCCACTGACACAACTCCATTTTGACTGCTGAGTAGATTAATCAACTGATTCAGAAAATCACTAGAAGCTTGGTTGGCTGATGAATAGGACAGAGATTAATAAGCAACTTATTTGTAAGTTTTAAAAATATAACCAGGAAAACATTAGCCAGTTGCAAAAACCTTGTCCTATTTTCTCTTTATCTATACCCTACCTCACTGTTCACAAGCTCTAAGCTAAGCTAAGGGAATGTGTGCAGACTAATCAACATTCCCACCTGTGTAGCAAAACAATTGGTCAGTGGATGGAAGCGTCGGTACAGTTCACAGGATCTGCTTGATCTGGTTTCTCTTTTTATCTTAAGTATATGTGACAGCCTGATTGTAGCATGTGAAGTAAAACTGTACTCATGTGGTTAAAAAAATACAAAACTTAAGTTTCTAGTGTTTTTGCATAAGAGGCAGTATAAGACAATATAAAAAGTACCATATCCGTAATTGCTACACATTGTTTTGCTTTTGTATTTGGAATAGATTTTGTGAAACCAAGTCAATTTTTTCCTAATGTTTAGTCCTCACATGATATAATACATAGTAAATAGTGCCGAGTACTAAGATTTGAAATACAAGCGAAACGATTCACAGAATACATTCATTCCAAATACTCATAAAAATAAATGAAGAGTAATAAATGAAAATAGATAATCCACCTATTTTACTTAATTCTCATACATAGCATAATTTCACATTTAGAAAAGAAAAAAATACAAGATATAAATACACTCCATAAAGCTGAACCGAAGCTTTGAAGAACTTTTTACTATAAAATTATTTTATAAGCAGAAATGTTTGTCCTGAATATCAAGATGAACACTTGAATGTTTGTTTCAAAGAATTAAATCATTTCAGTGCTGTCCTAAAGCTAGTTTCGAAATTATGGAAAGGTTTCTGAAACCAAATGCATTTCTTCTTTGGAGGATATAGATACACACATGCACATGCACACACACACTCTTAAAAGAACTTGGCTCATTTTTCGAAATGCAGAATACATTTTTCCAACTCCATTATTCCTCTCCCTCTGGCTTGTTGAGATGAACACTTTACTAGGATAAAGGATTTCTTCTGTAAGGAAGTCTTATTTCAGATTAATTGGAACCAATGGAGAATGCAAACACCATTCACTTTCTAGCATGATATGCTGGTGGGTTGGAACCCATCTGCTGCTGTTGCAGAAAGTACTTGGCCAAAGTTGCAGTTTGGAAAGAGATGGAGGAAAATGGACAAGGGAGCACTTCTCAGAGTGCAAGCTTAGGCTCCATACAAGGAGCTTTCCCTTCCTACAGGATGGGTAGTGGAATGGCCTCACAATTTTTACCAATTTTTTTTTAGAATTGCTGTGGACCAGAAAATGCTGTATATGTCCTATTATTTCCCATTAATTTTTTTTTCTTTTTTGAGAGGGAGTTTCGCTTTTGTCACCAGGCTGGAGTGTAATGA
Source organism: Homo sapiens (assembly GCF_000001405.40). Taxonomy (NCBI): domain Eukaryota; kingdom Metazoa; phylum Chordata; class Mammalia; order Primates; family Hominidae; genus Homo; species Homo sapiens. The sequence goes on from NC_000014.9 coordinate 36,104,444, forward strand.
CGCAATCTCGGCTCACCGCAACCTCTGCCTCCTGGGTTCAAGCCATTCTCCTGCCTCAGCCTCCTGAGCAGCTGGGATTACAGGTGTGCACCACCAAGCCCAGCTAATTTTTGTATTTTCAGTAGAGATGGGGTTTCACCACGTTGGCCAGTCTGGGCTCGAAATCCTGGCCTCAAGTGATCCGCCTGCCTCTGCCTCCCAAAGTGCTGGCATCACAGGCATGAGCCACCGCCACCAGCCTATTTCCCATTTTAAATAGTAACATTATCGTGAGTATCCTGTCCTTGTTTCTCTATTGTATAGTAAGTGCGGTGAAAGCAGGGAACTTGTCTTTTTTAATTCATAGGTTATCAGACCAAGGGGAGCACCCAGGAAAAGACTGAACACCAACTGGAGAGCCTAGATTTTAAGCTGGTTGCAGTAATTGGCTGAGACTTTAGGTTTTTTCTTTGGGTTGGAGAGTTTTAAGTGTAGAAAGAAGAATGAAATATTTTAGTGACCAGAAGGGCAGAGAAAAATCCTGCCCATTCACCACACTGTTTTTTCTCTCTAGACAGGAAGTTATTTAGATCACTTTCAGTCTGACATTTTAATAAAAAAGGCTGAAACTGGAGTTATGGTTGTGGATGAGATGGAGTAAACATGTTTCACCTTTTCTCTCCCACTGAATATAACTATAAAACCCAAATAGAATGCATGATGGCAATTATTGGAAGATTCTGGAAAGTAAATAGGAGCAGGCAGATTGGAACAAAACAGAATTTGAAGCATAATCTAATTTGTGGTGAATTTACTATTTTCGATCTTCGATGTACCCCAACTTGAACTCAATGTGCCTGTTAACCTGGAAGTGAGCACTATAGTTCAGATGGGAAAGGGTTTCAGGAGAAGCCTCTGTCCTTGGTTTGAAGCCTAGGAAAGGAAGCCCCTAATGCTCAGGGAGAATGTGAAAATGCCCTCATTCCTGTTTTCCTATCTTTTCTTTTCTTCATTCTTTTATTTCCTAGCCCACTCAAGCAATTCTGAATGGTAGCAGTGGCAGCAGCTATGAAAACCCCAAAAGCCAAAACTCTGAGGAAGAGGACCACTCCTTTCCATTTGGTGGAGCTGTTGTTCCAAGACAGTGGGACAAACCCCTGTTGATTCCCTGCCTCTGTTCTTCTGCTTTGGCCAGGACACAGGTTTAGTCATGAAAGTGTGTGACACAGAGTGTGACACAGCAGGGTAACTAGAACTCCAAGTGTTTGTCTAGTGGACCATGTAGGGGAGGCCCAGGGAACGGGAAAGTACTGGAGAGATCTTGGGAAGGGAGGGGCTTGTGAAATCAACCCTATAAAGTTGTTCATGAGCACCAAGCTCACCTTTAAGCTGCACAAATATAGGTCTGATCCTCATTTGCATACCAAAGACTTTGAGAACTGAACTAATAGACTGTCCAAGTCTCAGACTGACCATTTGGCAGTACACACTTAGGAAAGATCCAAAAAGCATGACAGAAGCTTTGAAAATTGAACTGACTTTGGCATCACAGTCTATAGAGAGTGTACTGAAACTTGTAGCTTGTACATACTCAGTCAATTGCCTGCCAAAACCAAATATCAATATTCTCCACAGAACTTAAACAAGACCCAGAGTGCCATGATATAATATTCAAAGTGTCTAGAATGTAATCCAAAATTACTTAGTGTACAAAGAACCACAAAAATCTTGACTCACATGGAAAAAGACAACCAATATATGTTAATACCAAAAGTATACAGACATTAGAGTTGTCTGACAAAGACTCTAAAGCAGTTATTTCAACAATTTTTGAAGGAACAGTCGTGCTCTTGCAACAACAGTTAAATTAGAAAGCCTCAGCAAAGAAATTGATAATATAAACAAAAACAAAATGGAAATTTTAGAATTAAAAAATACAATTACCAAAAAAATTAAAAGGCTTTCTGGATAGACTTAATAACAAAATGGAGATGAAAGAAGAATCAGTGAACTTGAAGATAGATCAATAGAGATTACTGGATCTGAAAAAGATTTTTGAACAACTGGAAAAAGAATTAGTAGAGCTTCAGGGACCTGTGGAGCAATAAAAAAAATCGAATTTTCTGATCTTCAGAGTCTCATAAAGAAAGGGAAAAATGCAATGCTGAAAAACATTTGAAAAAATAATGCCCCAAATCTTGCAAGTTTGTTAAAAGACAAAAACTTACTTAAGTTTATACTTATTAAGAAGTTGAGCAAACCTCATACAGTATAAACTCAAAGAAATCCATGTGCAGAGACATTGTAATCAGACTGCTGAAGTCTTAAAACAGCCAGATTAAAATAATGCATTAACATGTAGGGGAATGATTATTTGAATGACTGGATTTGTCATCAGAAAGCAAGGAGGCAGGGAGGAGGAGGCACAATATTTTTAAAGTACTGAAAGAAAAGAAGCGTCAACCTAGAATTTTGTTTCTAGCTAAAATATTCTTCAGGATTAATGGTGAAATGAAAATTTCTCAGATGAAGAAAAAAAGAGTTTATAGGCAGAAGACCTATTCTAAAAGGATTGCTAAAGGAAGCTTTTCAAACAAAAGTGAAAGGATACTGAAAGGAAAGGTAGAACATCAGGAATTAAAAAGACATGGAAAACATCTCGGTAAATATAATAATAGAATATTCTTATCCTGTTGAGTTCTTAAAAATATGTTTGGCTGTTAAAAGCAAAAATTGGAATTTGTGTGATGAGGTTCTCAATGAATGTAGTTGTAATTCAAGACAACTGTAGCGTAAGTGGACAGGCTAAAGGAATATACAAAGCGGTAGGGTTTCTGTGTTCCAATTGAAATGGTGATATATGGAGTCTAAAAAACCCGCAAAAAATTAAATGTGTATCTCAAGTGAAATGACTACAAATACCATACAAAATAAGAATAGATACACTAAAATGAAATATTTTAAAAAGCCTTAAATAACCAAAAGAAGGCAGAAAAAACACAGGAATCAAAAAAAAAAAAAAAAGACAAAATAAATTGAAGAATGGGAACCTAAATCCAAACATATAAATAGTTACATTAAATGTAAACGATCTAATTGCACCAATTAAAAGACAGATAGAATAGATTTAAAAACATGACCTAACTTACGTATTGTGTACAAGAAACTCACTTCAGTTTGATACATAAGTAGGTTAAAAGTAAAAGAATGGAAAAATATGTACCATGCAAACACTACTATAAAGAAAGCTGGGGTAGCTATGTTAATTTCAAATAAAGAAGACTTTAGAGCAAAGAAAATTACTAGAAATAAAAAGTGCTATTACATACTGCTAAAAGGATTAACTCAAGAAGAATATACAAATACTAGATGTATATGCCACTAATAATAGAGCTTTAAGGTATATAAAGTAAAAACTAACAGGGATGAAAGGAGAAGTAGACACATCTATAATTATAATTAGAAGCTTCAACATTCCTCTCTCAGCAATAGGTATAATGAGTAGATGGGGAATGAGCAGGAATATAGAAGAACTGCAGAATGCTTCAACCAACTGGATCTGTCACAAAACACTCTACCCAAGAGCAGCAGAATAGACATTCTTTTCAAGTGTATGGAACATTCACCAAGACAGACCATCACATAGATTATAAAATAAGCCTTAAAAATTGAACCTCATTGAAATAGTACAAAGTATCTTCCGAGTCTACAAGAAAATTAAACCAGAAGTAGTGGCAGAAAGATAATATCTCTAAATACTTGGCAATTAATCATCAAATTTTAAAATAATGGGCAAAAGAGAAAGTCTCAAAGGAATTAGAAAATAGTTGGAAGTAAATGAAAATCAAAATACAAATTGTAGGATGAAGTTAAATGTTTAGAGGGACATTTATAGCACTAAATATGCATATTTTAAAGAGAAAAATGGCCTTAAAGAACTTAAGCTTCTACCATGATACACTTGAGAAAGAACAAATTAAACTCAAATCAATAAGAATGAAGGAAATTATAAAGACAAAAGCAGAAATCAATGAACTTGAAAACAAAAAATAGAGAAAAATCAAAGAAACTAAAAATTGGTTCTTTGAAAAGATCAATGCAATTTGTGAAGCTCTGGCAAGAAAACAGAGAATGCAAGTGATTGATATCAGGAATGAAAGAAGGGACATTACTATCAACTCTAACATTAGAAGGAAAATAAGAAATACGACAAACAGTTCTACTCACATAAATTCAACAAATTAGATGAAATGAATTAGTCCTTTAAAAACCACAAACTCCCAAAACTCACCTCAGATGAATAGGTAGCCTCAATAGTTCTATAACCATTGAAGTAATTGAATTTGTAGTTAAAAACGTTCTGAAAGAGAAATCTCTAAGCCCTGTTGGATTCACTGGCAGTAAGAGGATTTTGAACGTTCACAACACAAAGAAATTATGTGTTTGAGGTGACAGATATGCTAATTACCTGATTTTATCATTACATGTTGTATACATGTATTGAAATATCACTCTTTTTCCCATAAATATGCACAATTATTACATCAACTAAAAGGGAAAATATCTTTACATGAATCCCAGGTGCTCTTAAAAATACTTATTTGAGTATTAGGAGATATACCTAATGTAAATGACGAGTTAATGGGTGCAGCACACCAACATGGCACATGTATACATACGTAACAAACCTGCATGTTGTGCACAAGTACCCTAGAACTTGAAGTATAATACAAAAAAAGAAAACTTAAAAACATCTTATTTGATAAACCATAAAATGCTCAAACATTACAATGGGCTTTAAAATAAATTCAAAGGAAAATACAAAAAGAAAATTGGTGATGATGAAAACAGGTGAATATAATTATTTTGAGAACTTTTTTTTGTTTTTGAGACAAGGTCTCGCTGTGTTGCCCAAGCTGGAGTGCAGTGATGTGATTATGGCTCACTGCAGCCTTGATCAACCTGAGCTCAAGCAGTCCTCCCACCTCAGCCTCTTGAGTAGCCCTGACTACAGGCGTGTGCCACCACGCCTGGCTAATTATTTGTATTTCTTGTAGAGAAGGGGGTTTTGCCATGTTGTCCAGGTTGGTCTCTAACTGCTGGTCTCAAAGTGATCCACCCATCTCGACCTCCCAAAGTGCTGGGATTACAGATGTGAGCCACCGTGCCCAGCCAAGAACACTTTAAAAACGATAGTCATTGTAACAAACAGAACTCAACAGATGGGATACATTTTTTACTAAACCCAAGGAAAGTAAATTGAAAAGTGATGCTGAGAAACTAATCCCAAAGATAAGACAGATAAGGGGATAAAAAATATGAAATAAAAATGAAGAAACATAGTATATAGGTTGAGGGACTCCAGTACATGTCTAGTGAGAAGCCCAGACATAAAGAATGGAGTGAAAGGTGGAGAGGCCATAGCTAAAGAGATAATAGCTGATAATTTTCAGAATTGAAGAAGGACATTAGTATTCACAATGAAAGTACACATTGAGTGCTGAGCAAAGTAAATATATGTTGAAGGGTGACAACAAGAAAAACTACCTCGTAATTAGATACAAATGTACATAAGAATTTATACCAACCAATCTCTGACACTTGCACATATTACATTTTATTAGAGTAAGATTTGTAAATGGAATTAGAATTGTTATTATTTTCATTTATGTAGCCTCCAAAGCCCCTAGAAAAGGGCTTTGCTTATTGTAGATATGCAGTATATTTGTTGAATAAATGAAAGAAAACTTAGGGAAGAAAAATAACTTCCCTCTATCTTGCTTTCCCGTATCTGTGGTAATTAATCAGGGTATAACTGCCTCATGCTGACTTTTTCAAGTGTGAATGGGAAGGAGTGGGTGTCTGAACTTGTATCTTTCTAAATCATTTTTCATGGCTTTTCTACTCCTAAGGGAGGAATTTTTTTAGGGATCTGAGGTTAGGATGCTTTCTCTGGCTTTGTTTTGAATTCAGATCATAGCAGGTAAGAGTCTATAACTTAGTCTCACCTTCCTGAAATGACAGGCTTGGCTTTAGTGCAACTTTGTTTTTAACTGCCTGTGTCCATCCATCCAACTACTGAAGTCAAGGCACTAGGGTAGTTCGGTCTGAGGAAGATCTGAATGGAAAAACCATTTGCATTCTAAGCTTTCATCAGTGAAAAGCAATGTGGTTTCCTCATGTGTTGTGAAATAAAAATATGCTTTTAAGGGGACATAGTTTGTCTGCCATGACGGAGTTCCTGGACCTGCCACCCTCATGCTATTTCAAGGCCTCTCCAATCCTGTCTTCTGTCTTGGGCAGCAGCAGCCCTCACCTCCCAGTGAAAACCTTTTCCATATTATTTTTTATGCTGCATTTTTGCTTAAAATGCAATATTCACGTAATTTAGGTGATAATGTAGGCATGGTTTTCCCAATATTTCCCTCATCTTTCTTCCTGATAATGAATATTTAGACTAAAACCTAATCATCTACTTTTTTAAAAATCCACTGGAATCACGATTAAAAAACTAAATTGCAGATTTCCAGGAATTTCCATCCCCCACTCCTTTCCCGTGAATTTTCCTCCTGTGGATTCCAAGGTCATTGACAGAATATTGAGCTAATCAAAAGCAAAATGTTTCAGTAGCTTTCAAACACTGATTTCAAGGGGTTGTTTGGATTTTCTCTATATTAGTATTATGATATTTCAGGATTTCCAGTTAGATGTATGGGAAAAAATAATTTTAAATTAGTGTCTAATTAGAAACAATTAGAAACTCATTCCAATCTGTAAAATTCAACAGGGATCTTTATTCAAAAAGCCATTAAAATCAATGTGTTATTGACAAAAAGACTTTGTATTTCTTGTCACTTACACAAAACTTTGGAATTTTCTTTCTTTGATCTTGACAATCAGTAGCTTTATCTTGTTAATCATAAAACATTTTCTTAATAGAAAGATTTATCTAAATTATGGGAAAATCAATAGTTACCTGAGCATGAATCTTTTTTTTCTCTCACTGAGGAAAAAATATGAGAAATAGAAGTGTTAGTGGCATATAGTTTACACATTTTTCTTAATAACTTGCAAATAAATGTCACATTATTTTTGTCTATGTAGAATGCTAAATACTGTGATGTCATGGAGGGTTTTGTAGGCATAGCCCTTGATGAACAAGGTAATTTGTATGTTTGTGTGCGAGTTATACCCAGATATGATATTACACCTTAGTCCCTGTCTTTGTGGTTGCTAAAGTTATGGGTTCAAATTAGAAAAAGGTGGTGGTTGGGAAGAGAGGTCTTTAAAGATTGCTCACTCCTGTAATGTGTAGATAAAGACTAAATATTTTAAATCATAATCCTAATTACAGGTATCATTAATAAAATGTAACCCTCAATCAACAATATCATATTTTATTATAGCATTGAAATAAAAAACACGGGGAAGTTGTAGCATTTCCCACTGTTAGTTTATAAATAACAATATTTAAGCATAAAATATTAAACCAACATAATTAAGGCTCTTATACCTCAAGAGTCAGTTAGCAATAATACTGAAAGTATCTATATCACTAAATGGTAGAGGAACAGACTCCCATGTAGTCTGGCTACACTAAAATAGAAATGTCTCACTTAAAGTCGGTGCCATGTTTTCTAAGGAACCAATCAGGCTTATGCAGTTAGTTAGAATAAGATGCCTGAAGTGTGAATGTATAAAGTTGACTGTCATACACCGTGACCTCTGCAGCTCTCCAGTGCTCAGTTCATGCTTCTCTTATAAATGTAGCTTCTTGAAGGCTTGTGTGAGAGCTGTTGAGAGTGAGGGTAAATTTCCTAATATTTCTCCTGCTTCAGGTAGAGAGTTAAAAAAAAAAGGGGGGGTAGGTGGGGTGGGGAGGGGCTTAAAACATTTCTTTTTTGCAGATATTTTTGGAAGGTTCAAAAGTGGAGAGGTGAAAGTCAAATATGTCACATTTCATAGTACTTGAGCAGCTGCAAATTTCCTACTATAGAAAAAAAATGATGGTCTTGTGGATGGTTCAGATGTACACCTCAAGATAATTGAAACTTTCACCAGGGGTTTTGGACTTTCTATAAGAAAAAAAAACAATAATTGGAAATTGTTCATTGTGAATACATTAGATTTCTACAGACAAAACATTCATGAAGTGCAATTATAGCTAGTATTGCTATATTAGTATGAATGTTAATAGCATGTTTGTTTTTGAAATGGGTTATGCATTCTGATAAATGTCTGCTTTAATCTAGTCATCTGTGTATCACTTGTCTAAGTACTCTCATTTAAGATGCCATATCCCTTCTTGTAGCAATAAAGGGGTAAAGCAACATTAATATTAAATAATTAGAAAAACAAAAGGGGAATGATTAAACATATTTACATAATTGAAATAACACTGTGTCGCAGTGGGAAATCGGGACAATGTTGTCTCCTTTCAAAGTAATTCATAATTCAGATTTTTAATTATGGCATATTCATTCATTTAAAGATGATTCTGGATGAGAGGGCCACTAATGAAATACAATCATTAGCATCTAAACAAAGTAATTTACAAAGTCTCCTTTAGGGGAAAAGATTTCTAGAACATCATCAATCACACAAGATATGCAAAAACAAGCAATTAAACCACACACAAGAACTACAACAGCCTTATATATCAGTAATGTACACATGAAAACATAACTGATTACAATGATTAGAGTAGGGTAGTGTGGTTAATTTGTATTTTATGTAGTGATTCCATGGAAGAATGCACCCGGACAGACACATTACACACAAGAGGAACTTCGTTTCATTCATACATACTTAAAACACATTACCAAAACTCCCCAAAAAATCCCACCTTGAAATTTGAGTCATTTCCTGGACATCCATGTGGGACCAAAATTCTGCCCAGTTTAATAAAACATCTTCCTTTCTCTTGCCCCTGTTTTTGCCTGCCGCCTGCTTTTATAAACTGGCAAAATGTGGAATTAGGAGAGTATTTTGTGAGAGGCAGGTGTTACATTGGTTTCTCATTATTTGCTCAAATCCTGCTTTAGGGTTCCAGTGACAAAGTGCTTCCTGCCCTCACGGGGTCAGTGATTTACTGGCTCTTCCTCCACATACACAAGTATGGATCATTAAGCATGCAGCAGGCCTAACTGGATAGTATGATTCTCTGACTTTTAATGCCTGTATACAGTATCTTGTTAACTGTACCCACAAAGGGGCTGGTTTCAAACACTGCTCCTATGGGCCGAATTCTAATCTTGTTGAAAACCTGCACTACTTCCTTCTGCCGGCTGTTTTTTCTTTGTGAAGGTAGAGGAAAGGCTTTGGTGTCAAAGGAGAAGAAATTAGAAGAGTGCTGTTGTGTGGGGAGGGGGTACTCTACTGAGGAGCTGGCACCCCGGTGTAGGCTGAGCTGCCTTTGATAACCACCAGCTACAGAAGCCAAAATATGCTCTATTTAGTACTCGAAAGATAAAAATACTGGTTAATTTTCAACAGTGCTCCTTCATTTGACTTTACAATTCACAACAGTGAACATTAATGCAGGAATGGCTTGGTTGAGGAGGAGTTTAAAATTAGAGCCCCTCTTCTCATTAGCCCCAACAGCCTGACCCAGGGTGACTGAGAAGCAATTTGTCACCAGATTCTCATTTTTCTCCTGTTATGGCTCCTTGTAAATGAAGCGCGGCAATTTATTGTAGCACCTCTAGGAGTCAAGAACATAATGTGTAAAACACATACAAAAAAATCTTTCTTCACATTCATTAACACCCGGCACATAGAGGCTGTTCACTTTTCCCTCTAATGAAGGAGGGGGATCTTAAATCTGAAGCTTTCCATCAAGTGAAGAAGTCCTCTTCAGGCCATTAGACAGAGGCTGAGTTGGATTGAAGAAAGGTCATTGACAAAAACCGAGAATGGCAATACGAGGAAAAATAGAAAATGGATAAAAGGAGAGACTTTACAAGCCTCAAAGAATGGAGAGTACATTTTTGGCATCAATGATCAACCCTTCTCGTCTCCCAGTGTGTTTTCTGTTGTCAGTGAAGAAAAGAATATCTGGCTTTTTATTTAGCTGGAAATTGCTCTAGTGTTTGGTCAATTCTCATTTCTTCACCCTTGATCTGACCTTGCAAGAGGCATTAAGTTCGGTTCATTTGAAGAGTGTATTGTCTGTGATCTTTAAAACATGTCTGCTTCTTGCCCCTACCCCCGGGCTTTAAAAAAATTGTATTGTCCATGGTTTTAATTCATTCTGATCGTGTAATAGGCTGCTCTCGCCCAGGGCTGGCCGTGTGCTTTTATCTTACTTGCGTGATTAATTCTGATTAATGATTTTGTTGTGTGGGGGTCCCACAAATTGTGCCTCCAGATGAACCTAATAACAAATTACTATACTGAGAAAATTGCAAGAGAGTCTGGGAGTCCTTATCTGGATAAGATGCTGAACGTTGGTGTCTAGTGTACTCAGATGCTCTTCCCTACTTTATAATGTACTGATAGGCACTCAATATTTCTGGTAATAATGGTGGTCTTTTAAAATTCATTTCAGAAAAGTAAAACTTTGAGTTTGTAGAACCAGATGAAAATGTCAGTAAAATCTGACAGATTTTCTTTTGAGAGTTTCTTGAGTGTCTATATTAAGTGCCAGCCAGGTACCGTGCCAGGCAGATAGCATGAACTAAGTTGCTCCTCACAACACCATATGAGCATATGAAAATAGAAAGAGGAGATTACATATAGTAATATGGAGTCCAGATATTATTATCTTCCTTCCTCCTCACTATGCAGATGAGGAAATTGAGGCACAGGGAGGTTAAATTACATGCTGAAACTAATAGTTAGAAAGGGGCTGAGCCAGGATTCCCGCCCAGGTTGTATTTTGCCAAAGCCTGCACACATCCTCTTGGCCTTATGAGCTACCACTGAGGGCACTTTTTGTTCTAAACTCCAATAACACCTGCCTCTTCTTGTTTCAATTAAACTTAACAAACATCTTTTTTTTATGTTACACATTAAAATTTTCTCTTTAAACTATTGAGGTTTACAGTACTAAGGTTCTTAAAATTCTATTTTACTGAATGTATCAAATTTATTTTAGGGAATTTAATAATACCGTCTCTTTTCTGCTTAACCCAAATAGTCAACTTTCATTTTTATGTTGCTTTATTCTTCTATTGTTTATCCTTCTTAATCTTACTCTTAGTATATCTGATACTTGGTTTGAACTTGCTATATAGTCAATTGATCTTCGGTTTTTAATATTTTATTTGTCCTTATTTATAAAAGTAATGTCTACTGACCAAATATGGTTAATATTTGAAGGACAAAATTTGACAGTTAAAAAAGGTGAAATTAAAGAAAATTTGAGAAGAATTCAACCACATTGTTCTGGCTTTTGGGTCTTCAGTCAGCACCCAAGTAGAACAGGCTGGTGGCACTGTCTGGTATTCATAGCTCATTCCTAGATGGGATCTCAGATTTTACCTGGGCATCTACTGCCACCCGAAAACTCCATGAGATACAGACCTCAGCAACTTAACAGTGAAAGAACATTAGATGGTTCAAATGGCACAGCTGAATGTCAGTGCCACCTCATGATTGTGATTGCACGCATCTTTCAAAGTTCAGCCGGACTGTAAGTTCCACATGGAAGGGAGGGTGTCAGTCTTACTGTGTTCCTAAGGGCAGAGCATAGTACCTACCAACCAGTAGACACACAAGTTATTATCGATGGCAAAATTCTTCTTTAACTAAAGGAGGCCTGGAGTGTCTGCTCTCTATAGGCTTTAGATAAACTTGAGCACATGTGCATTAGCCAGAAACTGATGGTCAACATTTTCTGATTGCTTATTATTTTACTTAGAACCATTCAATTACTTTTGAATTGCTGTCACGTCCTCCCATAATTCTTATTTTCTTCAATGGCATGTGATTCTTTGGGGGACAAGAAGTTTTTCCGTATAATGCTTTGTGTATAGTAAGCACTAAATAAAAATTATGGATTGATACTCTAAACATTTATTCATCCTTTGATTGACTCAGAAAACATATATTTGGAACTACTGTATGCTGCCAGGCTCTGAGCTAGGTGTTGGAGATAAAAAGATGAAAAATTCATCTTCTTAATAAGCTCAAGAATAGTGGGGAGAGACAAATACATAAACAGATGCAAAAATGGAGTTTCTTCACTGATGGTATTCCATGCTGAGGAGCCACAAGCTCTGTTTACACATCCAGTATTCAGGACTGTGGAGTTGCTATAGTCAATTGAGCTTTGGTTTTTGGATAATTGACTGGATTTATTTCTCACCTTCCAAAAATCTGCTTTAGTGTGAAGACGCCAGGATACAGATTATGAAGTCAATCATGCTGAGAGTTTGAAACAAATACATTCAATATCTTCAGAATTGTTCCACTCAGTTAAATCTTTATTCAATTTCTATATGATGTCACTTGGGTATTTGAAGGCTGTTTTCAGGTCCCCATAAGGTCTTCCCTCTTCTAGTTCATTCGGCTTTATTTCATATTTCCCACTACTGTAAAACATGAAGACCATAAGAGGCAAATTTATAGTGAAGCTAAATTTTAAGGTACCTCACTCACATAGGGCCCTAGAGATGTGCTCACATGGGCATATATCTTTGTAAAAGTGCTTTCCCTTTCCACTTGGAGTTCCCATTGGTCACACTTCCCCTCAGGTAGAGTATTGTCATGATGGCCTTGAACATTTCTGGGGTGTGACTAAGGGAAAATGGATTTGGACATGCATATTGTCTGGATTCAGTGGGATCCATTTATGTGGCTTGAAGTCACTTCTGCGTATACTTAAGTTATTCCAGCTACTGTAATCCTGATTTGAAATTTGAAATGAAACATGAAATTCCAAGGAATACTGAATAGCCAAAACAGCCTTGATAAAGAAGAAAGTTGGAAGACTCACATTTCTTGATTTCAAAACTTATTACAAAGCTACAGTAGTCAAACAGTGTAGCAATGGCGTAAGGAGAGACATAAACCAATGAAATAGAATTGAGAACTTAGAAACAAACCCTCACATATGTGGTAATTGGTTTCCAACAGGAGCAACAAGACCATTCAATGGTTTCTTCAACAGATAGTTCTAGGAAAACTGAGCACCCATATGCCAAAGTACCACTAAAGTATTCTTCAGGCAGTAAATAGGTGGAAAAGTATTGTAGAGGTGTATCGAGGCCTTATGTAATATAAATATTATGTTATTATAATGGATTTTGTGGTACCTTGGTAACTTTTCCAAATTTAATATTTCTTATTCTAAATAAATATCTACTTTCATATCTAATTTTCTCCTTATAAGTATTTTTCTTAAAGAAATCCCTTTTCTCTACACCAATTGTATAAGCTCCCTAAAATCTGGCTCCCTAAAATCTGGATTTGCATCTAGAGATCAGGCAGGATCTCCACTAATCCACGTAGCACATGGCATGACACATGAACCAGTTGAATTTCAGGCGCTCCCTCCCTGGGCTGGGTGACCTCACACAAAGTCCATATTATCAATTCTACACAGCAGCCCTGTCACCTGCTATATATGATGTTTTGAGTGGGTTTGATCTCAGTAAAAAGTAAAACTACCTTCTTCTAGACACCACAGTTCTAATATGAATCTTCAAAAGACTTAATGACTGTAGTTTGGGCATTGAGGAAATTAAGCACTCTGTGATTTTATAAATTTAAAAAAATTTATTGAGTACCTGCTCTGTTCAAGGTCCTGTAAGAACCAAAAAGATGAGTGAGACCAAATTTCTCCCTCAAGTCATAGTTTAGCAGGGCTGCTAAGACATATTTATAACTTAGTACTATATCATAAACAGTGACACATCCCAGAGAGGCTCCGAGGAAGCATGATGGGTAGAGTGATACTATCAAGTATTGTCTAAACTGGCACACTCTGAGAGTGAAAGAAGATGCTTTTAATAATTATGCTAAGACCACAGACATAAAGTGGGGCAGCCCCGGGCACACCAGGACCAAGCAGTCATCTGGTTATGGAGAATAGTAGTTGAGGAAAAATCACAGTGGAAAGAGGAATCCATGTTAGATATAGAAACTGAGGCCAGAGAACCAGCGGGTTACAGACATGTGAAGTAACAGATCATAGACTTCTGATCACGACTTGTCTCAAGGTTGACAAGACCATGGTGCTCCCGATGCCTCAGAGAAATGTTCATTGTACGTTATGACAGTGAAAAAACTCAGACAGACACTAATAAGATTACATATCTCTGAGTAGTCTCTATTCTGAAGTCACACATCAAAAAATATTTTTCAGCAGTGGTCAAAAGCATTTTCTTAAGAGAGAATGTTTTCTGATCAAATTTGGTTTTAAAATTGTAACATACTGTCTGTCCTACCTTTATCAGGTTGTCTGCAACCTGATTAGTTGCTTAAAATATTATTATTTCCCTGTGTTCAACCCACAGTCTCAAAGGACAGGGCTGAGAGCAACCAATCAAAACCCAGGGTTTGGAAATGGCCAAGTATCATGAGGAATAATCCATGGACTATTTTAGATACGAAATTCTGACAGCTTGTTCTTGTGACAAAGATGTTAACAAGGAAAGAAAATGGCACTAATTTAATCTATTCTTATAGTTCATTCTAAAATGAGACTAGCATGACACCAAGTTATAATAATAAATACTATAGTAATTTCACAATTCTTCCTACATGCTGTTCACAGTCCTTTCACATGCAAATATGCCATCCATTGCCTCATGACAGCAATTTTAAGTGCATTAAAGAATTCTGAATCTTCTTCTTTTTTTTTATACTTTAAGTTCTAGGGTACATGTGCACAATGTGCAGGTTTGTTACATATGTATACATGTGCCGTGTTGGTGTGCTACACCCAGTAACTTGTCATTTACATTAGGTATATCTCCTAATGCTATCCCTCCCCCCTCCCCCCACCCCACGACAGGCCCCGGTGTGTGATGTTCCCCTTCCTGTGTCCAAGTGTTCTCATTGCTCAGTTCCCACCTAGGAGTGAGAACATGTGGTGTTTGGTTTTCTGTCCTTACGATAGTTTGCTCAGAATGATGGTTTCCCGCTTCATCCATGTCCCTACAAAGGACGTGAACTCATCCTCTTTTATGGCTGCATAGTATTCCATGGTGTATATGTGCCACATTTTCTTAATCTAATCTATCATTGATGGACATTTGGGTTGGTTCCAAGTCTTTGCTATTGTGAATAGTGCCACAGTAAACATACGTGTGCATGTGTCTTTATAGCAGCATGATTTATAATCTTTTGGGTATATACCCAGGAATGGGATGGCTGGGTCTAATGGTATTTCTAGTTCTAGATCCTTGAGGAATCGCCACACTGTCTTCCAAAATGGTTGAACTAGTTTATAGTCCCACCAACAGTGTAAAAGTGTTCCTATTTCTCCACATCCTCTCCAGCACCTGTTGTTTCCTGACTTTTTAATGATCGCCATTCTAACTGGTGTGAGATGGTATCTCATTGTGGTTTTGATTTGCATTTCTCTAATGGCCAGTGATGATGAGCATTTTTTCATGTGTCTGTTGGCTGCATAAATGTCTTCTTTTGAGAAGTGTCTGTTTATATCCTTTGCCCACTTTTTGATGGGGTTGTTTTTTTCTTGCAGATTTGTTTGAGTTCATTGTAGATTCTGGATATTAGCCCTTTGTCAGATGAGTAGATTGCAAAAATTTTCTCCCATTCTGTAGGTTGCCTGTTCACTCTGATGGTAGTTTCTTTTGCTGTGCAGAAGCTCTTTAGTTTAATTAGATCCCATTTGTCAATTTTGGCTTTTGTTGCCATTGCTTTTGGTGTTTTAGACATGAAGTCCTTGCCCATGCCTATGTCCTGAATGGTATTGCCTAGGTTTTCTTCTAGGGTTTTTATGGTTTTAGGTCTAACATTTAAGTCTTTAATCCATCTTGAATTAATTTTTGTATAAGGTGTAAGGAAGGGATCCAGTTTCAGCTTTCTACATATGGCTAGCCTGTTTTCCCAGCACCATTTATTAAATAGGGAATCCTTTCCCCATTTCTTGTTTTTGTCAGGTTTGTCAAAGATCAGATGGATGTAGATGTGTGGTATTATTTCTGAGGGCTCTGTTTTGTTCCATTGGTCTATATCTCTGTTTTGGTACCAGTACCATGCTGTTTTGGTTACTGTAGCCTTGTAGTATAATTTGAAGTCAGGTAGCGTGATGTCTCCAGCTTTGTTCTTTTGGCTGAGGATTGACTTGACAATGTGGGCTCTTTTTTGGTTCCATATGAACTTTAAAGTAGTTTTTTTGAGTTCCGTGAAGAAAGTCATTGGTAGCTTGATGGGGATGGCATTGAATCTATAAATATTGATTCTTCCTATCCACGAGCATGGAATGTTCTTCCATTTGTTTGTGTCCTCTTTTATTTCCTTGAGCAGTGGTTTGTAGTTCTCCTTGAAGAGGTCCTTCACATCCCTTGTAAATTGGATTCCTAGATATTTTATTCTCTTTGAAGCAATTGTGAATGGGAGTTCACTCATGATTTGGCTCTCTGTTTGTCTGTTATTGGTGTATAAGAATGCTTGTGATTTTTGCACATTGATTTTGTATCCTGAGACTTTACTGAAGTTGCTTATCAGCTTAAGAAGATTTTGGGCTGAGACAGTGGGGTTTTCTAAATATACAATCATGTCATCTGCAAACAGGGACAATTTGACTTCCTCTTTTCCTAATCGAATACCCTTTATTTCTTTCTCCTTCTTGATTGCCCTGGCCAGAACTTCCAACACTATGTTGAATAGGAGTGGTGAGAGAGGGCATCCCTGTCTTGTGCCAGTTTTCAAAGGGAATGCTTCCAATTTTTGCCCATTCAGTATGATATTAGCTGTGGGTTTGTCATAAATAGCTCGTATTATTTTGAGATACGTCCCATCAATACCTAATTTATTGAGAGTGTTTAGCATGAAGGGCTGTTGAATTTTGTCAAAGGCCTTTTCTGCATCTATTGAGATAATCATGTGGTTTTTGTCTTTGGTTCTGTTTATATGCTGGATTACATTTATTGATTTGTGTATGTTGAACCAGCCTTGCATGTGAGGGATGAAGCCAACTTGATCATGGTGGAAAAGCTTTTTGATGTGCTGCTAGATTTGGTTTGCCAGTGTTTTATTGAAGATTTTTGCACTGATGTTCATCAGGGATATTGGTCTAAAATTCTCTTTTTTTGTTGTGTCTCTGCCAGGCTTTGGTATCAGGATGATGCTGACCTCATAAAATGAGTTAGGGAGGATTCCCTCTTTTTCTATTCATTGGAATAGTTTCAGAAGGAATGGTAGTAGCTCCTCCTTGTACCTCTGGTAGAATTCGGCTGTGAATCCATCTGGTCCTGGACTTTTTCTGGTTGGTAGGCTATTAATTATTGCCTCAATTTCAGAGCCTGTTATTGGTCTATTCAGGGATTCAAGTTCTTCCTGGTTTAGTCTTGGGAGGGTGTATGTGTCCAGGAATTTATCCATTTCTTCTAGATTTTCTAGTTTATTTGTGTGTAGAGGTGTTTATAGTATTCTCTGATGGTAGTTTGTATTTCTGTGGGACTGGTGGTGGTATCCCCTTTATCATTTTTTGTTGCATCTATTTGATTCTTCTCTCTTTTCTTCTTTATTAATCTTGCTAGTGGTCTATCAATTTTGTTGATCTTTTCAAGAAACCAGCTCCTGGATTCATTGATTTTTTTTTTTTTTTGTCTCTTTGTCTCTTTTTTGCCTTCTTTGTCTCTTTTGATCTTTGTTGGTTTAAAGTCTGTTTTATCAGAGACTGGGATTGGAACTCCTGCTTTTTTTTTGTTTTACATTTGCTTGGTAGATCTTCCTCCATCCCTTTTTTTGAGCCTATGTGTGTCTCTGCATGTGAGATGGGTCTCCTGAATACAGCACACTGATGGGTCTTGACTCTTTATCCAATTTGCCAGTCTGTGTCTTTTAATTGGAGCATTGAGCCCATTTACATTTAAGGTTAATATTGTTATGTTTGAATTTGATCCTGTCATTATGATGTTAGCTGGTTATTTTGCTCATTAGTTGGTGCAGTTTCTTCCTAGCCTCAATGGTCTTCACAATTTGGCATGTTTTTGCAGTGGCTGGTACCGGTTGTTCCTTTCCATGTTTAGTGCTTCCTTCAGGACCTCTGTAGGGCAGTCCTGGTGGTGACAAAATCTCTCAGCATTTGCTTGTCTGTAAAGGATTTTATTTCTCCTTCACTTATGAAGCTTAGTTTGGCTGGATATGAAATTCTGGGTTGAAAATTCTTTTCTTTAAGAATGTTGAATATTGGCCCCCACTCTCTTCTGGCTTGTAGAGTTTCTGCTGAGAGATCCGCTGTTAGTCTGATGAGCTTCCCTTTGTGGGTAACCCAATCTTTCTCTCTGGCTGCCCTTAACATTTTTTCCTTCATTTCAACTTCAATGAATCTGACAATTATGTGTCTTGGAGTTGCTCTTCTTGAGGAGTACTTTGTGGCGTTCTCTGTATTTCCTGAATTTGAATGTTGGCCTGCCTTGCTAGGTTGGGGAAGTTCTCCTGGATAATATCCTGCAGTGTTTTCCAACTTGGTTCCATTCTCCCCCTCACTTTCAGGTACACCAATGAGGTGTCAATTTGGTCTTTTCACATAGTCCCATATTTCTTGGAGGCTTTGTTCATTTCTTTTTACTCTTTTTTCTCTAAACTTCTCATCTCGCTTCATTTCATTCATTTGATCTTCAATCACTGATACCGTTTCTTACAGTTGATCGAATCGGTTACTGAAGCTTGCACATTCATCACGTAGTTCTCGTGCCATGGTTTTCAGCTCCGTCAGGTCATTTAAGGACTCCTCTACACTGGTTATTCTGGTTAGCCATTCGTCTAATCTTTTCTCAAGGTTTTTAGCTTCTTTGTGATGGGTTCCAACTTCCTCCTGTAGCTTGGAGTAGTTTGATCATCTGAAGCCTTCTTCTCTCAACTTGTCAAAGTCATTCTCCATCCAGCTTTGTTCCATTGCTGGCGAGGAGCTGCATTCCTTTGGAGGGGGAGAGGCACTCTGATTTTTAGAATTTTCAGCTTTTCTGTTCTGTTTTTTCTCCATCTTTGTGGTTTTGTCTACCTTTGGTCTTTGATGATGGTGACATACAGATGGGGTTTTGGTCTGGATGTCCTTTTTGTTTGTTAGTTTTCCTTCTAACAGTCAGGACCCTCAGCTGCAGGTCTGTTGGAGTTTGCTGGAGGTCCACTCCAGATCCTGTTTTCCTGGGTATCAGCAGTGGAGGCTGCAGAACAGGAAATATTGCTGAACAGCAAATGTTGCTGCCTGATCCTTCCTCTGGAAGCTTGATCTCAGAGGGGTACCCAGCCGTGTGCGGTGTCAGTCTGCCCCTACTGGGGGGTGTCTCCCATTTAGGCTACTTGGGGGTCAGGGACCCACTTGAGGAGGCAGTCTCTCCGTTCTCAGATCTTAAATTCCGCACTGAGAGAACCACTACTGTCTTCAATGCTGTCAGAAAGGGACATTTAAATCTGCAGAGGTTTCTGCTGCCTTTTGTTTGGCTATGCCCTGCCCCCAGAGGTGGAGTCTACAGAATCAGGCAGGCCTCCTTGAGCTGAGGTGGGCTCCACCCAGTTTGAGCTTCCCTGCTGCTTTGTTTACCTACTCAAGCCTCAGCAATGGTGGGTGCCCCTCTCCCAGACTCGCTGCCACCTTGCAGTTTGATCTCAGACTGCTGTGCTAGCAATGAGCGAGGCTCCGTGGGTGTAGGACCCTCCAGGCCATGCATGGGATATAATCTCCTGGTGTGCCGTTTGCTAAGACCATTGGAAAAGTGCAGTATTAGGGTGGGAGTGACCCGATTTTCCAGGTGCTGTCTGTCACGGCTTCCCTTGGCTAGGAAAGGGAATTCCCTGACCCCTTGAGCTTCTGGTTTGGCTCTTGCTCGGTGGGCTGCACCCACTGTCCTGCACCCACTGTCCAACACACCCCAGTGAGATGAACCCGGTACCTCAGTTGGAAATGCAGAAATCACCCTTCTTCTGTGTCGCTCACGCTGGGAGCTGTAGACTGGAGCTGTTCCTATTTGGCCATCTTGGAACTGCCCTCAGAGTTCTGAATCTTCTCATACTTAGCTCCTAATTACATTGCAGGAACATACACAGAATAGTACCGTATACTGGCACTTGGTTGATAGCATTTCTCTCTACAGTGGGTTCCTCTCTTCTCTTGACAGAGCGTCTGTGTTCAGGAACATAGGTTGCACCAGTAAGATAATCACTAGGAGTAGTGAAAGAGGGAAGTAAAATTTGCCAGAAATGAAGTCATTGTGAAATACCCAATACACCTTTGTTTTGCAATAGAAATCTGCATTTATATAAAGTTTCTTTTTAAATGGAGAATTTTAAAAGATATGTTTAAAGATTTTTAAGATAGTTTTTGAGGACATGCTTGAAAAAGACCACATTATAACTATGAAGAAAAGATATTCAAGATCAATGCTCTTGGGTATCCCTTCCTTGCCTTTGGGGCGGTCAACCGGCCACAGGTGCATTGGGTACAAAGCACAGTACTGGTATTGGGTGAAATTCCAAAGAAAGTAGAAGTGTTATGATTTTTTTTAGGACCTTAAAACCCACACCAATTGAGATTTTCTCTTATGTGTTAGTGGTTGCTAGTGGCTGACTCACAGAATGCTTAGATCTAGTGGGCTGGATGAATATGGTGTTTTTTGGTGGCTTCAAAGGGAATGAAAAGTCTGGAGAAATCATCTTTCCCAGATTTAATATAGTTTATGACCCATGGTACTATCTAATGAAAGCTTGTTTAACCTGCAGCCTGTGGGCCACATGCTTCCCAGGCAGCTTTGAATGTGGCTCAACACAAATCTGTAAACTTCCTTAAAACATTAGGATTTTTTTTTAAGCTCATCAGCTATCATTAGTATTAGTATGTTTTATGTGTGGCCCAAGACAATTCTTCTTCAAATGTGACCCAGGGAAGCCAAAAGATTGGACACCCCTGGTGTAAAGGTAGCCCAAAGTAAGTATATTGGAAAATCCTTCACTTCAATGAAATTATTGGAAGTGGTGGTCAATTTCATTACCTGCTTTTGTTTTTAAATACTTTCTCACGTTTGGTGGTTTAATGGCAAGTGGTTGTGAAGGACTGAATGAAAATGTCTACCTTCTGGGAAATGACTTTGGATTGGGTCCCTCCCACCCCTTCTATTCAAATCTCTATGAATCCAAAATTGTTAATGAAGGAACATTCCAGGTGGCAATGCTTCTCACCCATTTCTTTAGCATCTTTCCCACCAGGAGCATGAAGACCAGGCTCTGACCCTGTCAGTAACTTCTCTGTGTGCTTGTTTAATTAATTAAAGACTGTAGGTATATCACAGCCTCTGAATTTGGCTTAATAGCCTTAATTATGCAGGAATACACTGTGTAAATTAGTACACACCAGACATGACATAATTACCAGGGCAGGGTGGACAGCATTTTGTTGAAGTGCTGCTTTAAATGACTCATTTCAATGCTGAAAATGTATTTTTTTTGTATTTGAGAGCTAATGTAGTGAATTGTTCTTTCCGAAATCTGGCTCCAATTGCTTTAAAAAGCCAGGTAGGAGGAAAATAATAAATTCTGTGTCTTCTGGGATAAAAACCACATTTTGTATTATACTGCTGGGCAGCACAATCACTGTAATTCTGGAAGGTTGCTATTACTGTATGAGCAAACTTTTTTTTTTTGTATTACTACTGTTTATTTTAATGCAGGGGCATGTTCTCTAGTAGACACATAATGAAAATGGCCTTGTATTAAAATTGTTTACCTGCTGTTTGCTGAGAGGAGTTGTAAAATTGGAAATAGAAAAGACTTCCTATGCCACCTAGCCCATCCCAGGAAGGGCAAAGAAAAAGATTAGATCCTAATGCAGCTTTTCTTGGGGAGTCCAAAATAGGCCACTGTCTTCACATGCCTCACGGAGTAATTTCTCGGAGGCAGGATGAGATTGTTTGTGTCAACTCAGGAGGAAAAACAGTATTTCTACAAATGTTGAAAAAGAGGGGTAGCAATTTATTGACAAATTTATTGACTGAGGTCCCATGTTTGAGGACTTTAAGATCAAAAGAAATTTGTAACATTCCCTAAATTGATTGTGCTGAATTATGCAATCAAATCAAGTAGGGTTTTCCTACTAATGTATCCAGTTATGTGGGTCAGTACATAAACATTGAGAGGAAAATGATATTCTCTCTGGAGATAAAATGTAATATAACAATGGCTTGTTGAATTTTACTTGAATTTTACTACTTCTCCTTTCCTTCCTAAATTTTCCAGAGGCAATGAGAAGAAGCAAGAAATGGCAAAAATGTACATAAAATCAGGAAGAAGCTGATGAGACATAAGAGGCCTAGATAATTTACATTAGAAATGAACCCCTTATCCCTCAAAGGTTGAAGTGACATTGTAGTAATAAAGCTGAATTCGCCCTTGGCAAAATTGTGGAGCAGTCCTTGTTGTCGCTTCTCCTGGTTTTGGAGACATTTCCATCTTTTTCTCCACCCTTTCTCTCTCCTGTTAGTCCCCACCTACCCCCTGCTTTTCCACCCTGGGACCCAAGTACCCCGGAACCCCACCTAGTCAGCCAGAATATTCACCAAACTAAATTGGAAAGAAACTGATGTTGGCTATTTGCTCATTTACTTTATAATTTCAGCTTCTCATTTTGGCACACCCCTTCTGTCAGACAGACCTCCATTGTGATTAGAGAAGCTCTTACTTAGCAAGTCTTTGTCACTTGAGAATTTCAAGGGCCTTCATACTGTGACTGTGGTCGGCAGCTGCTAATATGGCCCCTAGTGATCCCTACTTCCTGGTGTTTGTCCCTGTGTGTCATTCCTTCCGCTTGAGTGTGGCTGGAACTAGTGACTTGCTTCTAACAAATAGAATATGACAAATATGATGAGATACCACTTCTGAGATTAGGTTGCAAAAAGACCATGGCTTCTTTTTTAGGCTCTCTCTTACTCTCTCACTGGCTTGCTCTGTCTGAGGGAGACTGGCTGTCATTTTGAGTTGTCCTATGGAAGGGAACAGAAGGAAGCCTTTGACCAACAGCCAGTGAAGAGCCAAAGCATGCTAATGACATGACTAAGCTTAGAAGCTGATCCTCCTCTGTTAAACCTTCAGATGAGAACACAGACCTAAATGACAGCTTCCCTGGAATTTCATGAGAGACCTTGAGCCAGAGACATCCAGCTAAGCTATGCCCAGGTTCCTGACCCACAGAAAATGTGAGATAATAAATTTTCACTGTTTTCAGCTTCTAAATGTGGGAATGATAAACAGTGAACTACCTCATTGATAACATAAATTTAAGTTAAAACGATAATTAAACTGAACTCAGACTAATGAGTCCTGGTGGTTGGAACACAGGGCTAATGAGGCTAAGTTTATAATTTTTGACCCACTTATGAAGCCAAATAGTTGCTTAGCTTTTGTCCCGATCACAGGTTACACCACGTTAGGCTACATTATAAAGTTTACCTTTCATTCCAAGGGTATTTCCACATTTAGTTGACTGTGGAACAGTTTTTCAAGCAGAATTTCATGAAACTAGTGCTCTAAGGAACACAGTTGGGGAAACATTGGCAAGCTATTGTCTTTTGTTGGACATACAAATTGTTTGCAGTTTTTAGCCTTTATAAATAATTCTCATCTTGGAGAACATCTTGAATCATTTCCTAGAATACATCCCTAAAAGTAAAATGGCTGGATAAAATAGCGTAAATTTTTTATATAAATTCTCAAATTACTCTTCAGAAACATTACACCAATTTTTTATTTCAATCTTAGTGTGTTTTCCTCAAACCCTAACATTGGAAATTATTTTAAAATATTTGTCAATTTGATGGGTGAAAACTATATCATGTATTTTATAATATATTTTATGTTTTTGACTACAAATGTAATTAAACATTACACTTTTCTTTGGCAAATTGCTTATTTTTGTTCATCTTTGCTCATCTTTCTATTCATGTGCTTGGCTTTCTTCGTTATTGTGTGGAAGTTTTTAATATGATTTCATGTGAATATAGTGCTTTGAAGCCAAATAGCAGGGTAAGAGTTTGGAGAACCAACAAAGGACAGAGGTTGGGGGCACATTATTTTAGACAGCATGGTTGGTAAGACTACTCAGAAGAGGTGACATTTGTTTGTCGGAAATACCTTTTATTTGCCTCCGTGCAGGAGATTGTGCATTTGCCCCTCTAGGTTCACTCTCTGCCCTTCCCACAGAGCTCCTCTCTGGGAGGCTGGCCCATAGACACTGCGACAAACACTTTCTCTGGCTTCTCATTGGGCTTAGCAAATGAGGAGCCCAGCAGGAGATCAGAGGGTGGAAGGAGAGTGAGACTGGGATATTTCTTTCTCTGCTCCACTCTCCTCAGTGGTCACCTTGGCTGATTGTAGTCCTTGACTGAAGGTCATTTCTTCTCCCAAGGTAGCTCTTTCTAAATGACCCTCTCATTCTTGGTTCCAGCAGCCACGCTATCCCTTCATCCCCCAGCTCTAAAAATAGTAGCAGTTCCATCTCTTGTAGTTTACCCAACCCCAAGCACGCCTTTATCACTAGTCCTTTGCAAATATACTATCTTTAAATTATCCTAATTTGAGTGTACCATCTGTTTTCCTTTTGGATCCTGTACTGGAAACTGTTGGCACCCCACCCAGATCCCTTCTACCAGGCCAGTGTACCTGTCTTCCTGCTACTGTGACTGTTGGCTGCTTATGGCTTACAGTTGCACTCTTCTCCAGAGAATTGCCTTTGGCCCCTGGGAGCCACCTTGCTCAGAAATGCTTGGGAAGTTAGGCCCTCCTACCCTGGGGGCAGCCTGCAGTCAATGCTGACTGATTGGAGGGACAGGGATACAAAAGCCTAAGCCCTTAGCCAAGGTAACTTGAGAAAAGAACAAAATGTGATGAATCATTTTACCAGATTCTCGGCAGTAATACGAAACCTCATTTAAAACTGTGAGGTACTTTCCCAGCTAGACAAATTGACTGACAAAGAAGAGACAGAAGACAGACCATTGTATACTTGGGAGTTTTTTATATGAGAAAGGGGATAAAATCATCAATAAATGATGCTGAGGAACTTGGCCATTATATAGTACAAGATAAAATGAGATTGCTATATCACATCATTCACAAAAATACATTCCAGATAGCTTAAAGACCTAAATGTGATCAGCAAAGCTCTAAAACTTTCAACCAAAAAATGGGAGAATATTTTTATGCCTTTAGTAAAATATATTTTTAATTGACCAATAGAAATTGCATATATTTATATACTTATTGTGTACAACATTGTTTTGAAATACGTATACATTGTGGAATGGCTCATTTGAGCTAATTAACACATACATTACATCATGTACTTATCATTTTTTGTGGTAAAAACAATCTAGTCAGTGATTTTCAAAATGTTATTAACTATACAACCATATTGTACAATAGCTCTCTTGAACTTACTCCTAAGATATAATTCTTAGAGAAAGCACGAAAGGAAAAATTAATACATTCTGATACACTGAAACATAAAACTTCTGTATAAAAGGGGACAGAGATGAAAATAAAAGTCATAGACTGAGAAAAGACACTTGCAACTCATATTACCAATGAAATATTAATACGCAGAATATATAAAATGCTCTTAGAAATCAATAATATCAGATATAAATATTGTTAAAATATATAATGGTAAACTGACAGAGGAAGATAGATGGCTGATATGGTTTGGCTTTGTGTCCCCACCCAAATCTCACCTTGAATTCTAATAATCCCCATGTGTCATGGGAGGGAGCCTGTGGGAGGTAATTGAATCATGGGGCGGGTTTTTCCCATGCTGTTCCCTTGATAGTGAATAAGTCTCATGAAATCTGATGATTTTATAAACAGCAGTTCCCCTCACATGCTCTCTCTTGTCTGCTGCCATGTAAGACATGTCTTTCTCCTCATTCACCTTCTGCCATGATTGTGAGACCTCCCCAGCCATGTGGAACTATGAGTCCATTAAATTTCTTTTTCTTTATAAATTACTCAGGCTCAGGTGTGTCTTTATTAGCAGTGTGAAAATGAACTAATACAATGGCCAATAAATATATGTAAAGATGTCCAACTTCTTTAGTACTTAGGAAATGTAAATTAAAACAAGGACAAAACATTTTATATTTACAAATTTATTAAGTTTGATAATATTCACTGTTGGTGATAATGCAAACAAAACAAGAACTCCAAGGCGTGGTTGCAGGGACGGAAAATAAGTATAAACACTTTGGAAAGCTATGTTGGAACTACCAAGTAAGGTTGACAATGCATATTCTCCATAGCCCAACAGTTCTTCTTCTGGGAGCTTCTCAGGGAGAAACTCTTGTTCAAGGAGACATATACAAAGATGTATATTTTTGAGTTGTTAATTGTTACAAGGCTAAGAAAATCTTATTGTCAAACAGCAGGGGGATGAAAAAATACACTGTTGTTTGTTGGTCCAGCAGAATGCCTAAAATGAAAATGAATGAATTGGATTTGAATGTATCAACATAGCAAGTCTCAGAGATATAATGTTGTGGCTAAAAAAAAAAAAAGTTGAATATAGAGTATCAAACATTTAGGAAGTTTATCCAAAGGAAAGAAATAAACATATATGAGTATGATAATACTTATTTCAGAAAAAGGGTTACTTCTGAGTAGACAGGAATGAGGAAGAGATGGAAGGTGGGACTGTAACTGTATTTGTAATGTGTTGTTTCTTTGAAAATAATGACAATCTAAAGGGAATGTAGCAAAATATTAGCACAGACAATCTCAGTGGTGAATATATTAATATCATGTGCCTTGAGTGTAAATATAACATAACTTTAAAAGACTACATATTAAGGCCATGATATATAAAAAATTTAAATGAACAATGAAAATAGTAAAGCTTATAAGTAATGCCTAAGTTATTTGTCTTAACATGGCTCTAAAACACCAGTTAAAGTCTTGATGGAGAAGATACTTGATGTGAGGAATTAATAAACAACACCTGGGTCTTTGAAAGACACCTAAGCCTTTTGCCTCAAGGTGGGACAACCACGTGGTGATAATCATACTCCAGAACTCCCTTGAGGTCAGGCTGGGGCTAGACTATAGCTGAAACCACATCTTGAGTTTCTTCCCCTGCCTTATCCTGTTCCCCTTACATCATTATAATTTACTCAGGAGAGAAGTCTGTCAGTTAATCACCTGTATAGAGATTCCTGTTTCAAGCTGTATTTCTAGAGACCCTGATCTAAGATAAAGTTTGATTGACACAGCCTTAATTCTTGAAACAACATTTTCACTTGGTATATAATTCTAGGTCATAACTGTCTAATCTTGAAGTTGTTATTCTATTTACTTCTAGCCTCACTGCTGCTTTTGAGAAGTCAGGCATCAGTCTAATTGATATTACTTTGTTGCTGGTTTGCCTTTTTACTGTCTACTTTAAAAATAGTTTTATCTTTGGTATTCTGCAGGTTCATTACAATATCTCTACATGTGTGTTTCTTTTTATTTACCCTTCTAGCATTTGTTTGGCTTCTGGAACCTGGGAATTTATGACTTTCATAATTTGGGAAAATCCTTAGCCATTTACCCTTCAAATATTGTCTATTTCTATTACCTTATTTCCAAACTTCAATTATATTTATTACTATAGCCCCCTATCAATCACTTTGTTATCTTAGGCTATAATCTGTGTAATTTCTTCAGAGTTATTTTCCAATTATTAACTTTCTGTTCAATCATTTCAAATCTGTTCAAAAATATTATTTACTATATTTTAAATTTCTAGACTTTTTAAAAAAACCTAATCATTTTTGTAGTGTCTTATTTGTATTTTTATTGATATATCATAATTGTACATGTTTTTTGGGATACATGTGATAATTTGACAGATGCGTACAATATGTAGTCAAATCAGAGTAATTGGGATATCCATCACCTCGAACATTTTTTTTTGTGTTGGGAACATTATAATTCTTCTTTTTTAGCTATTTTGAAATATATAATAAATTATTGTTAACTATAATTTCCATACTATACCATCAAATAATAGAACTTATTCCTTCTAACAATATTGTTGTACCCTTTAACCAACTCATCTTCATTCCCCTTCCCCACTTCCTTTCCCAGCCTCTTGTAATCATCATTCTGTTCTCTACCTCCATGAGATTCAGTTTTTTAGCTTCCACATGTAAGTGAGAACATGTGATGTTTGTCTTTCTGTGACTGGCTCATTTCACTAACATAATGACCTCCCATTCCATCCATGTTGCTGCAAATGACAGAATTTCATTCTTTTTTATGGCTGAATACTACTTCATTGTTATATATACCACATTAAAAAAATCTACTCATCTATTGGTGGACACTCAGGTTGATTCCATATTTTGGCTATTGCGAATAGTGCTACAATAACCATGGTAGTACAGATATCTCACTGACATACTGATTTCCTTTCTTTTGGATATATGCCCAGCAGTGGGATTGCTGGGTCATATGGCAGTTCTGTTTTTAGTTTTTTGAGGAAGCTCTGTATTGTTTTCCATAATGGCTGTATGTAGTAAATCATTTATTAAATGTAGTATTGACACTCTTATTTTAAGGGTATTTATTACATAACCATTATATTCTATATACAATAATTCTAATATCTACAGTATTTGAGAGTTTTACTCTTCTTTCAGTGGTTTCTGCTCACTCTTAGTATCTTATTTACTTTCGTATTTTATTTTTGTGAGCATATATATTTTTATACATTTTGCAGGGATTTTGTTGAAGCCTGGGATTTAGGGTAGGTTCCTTAATAGATGGTTTACATTTACTTCTGTTGGGAACATGGTGACACTCCCATTCCAGCATTAGTTTAAAGAAATTTCTCAGCTTCAAATTAATTGGATCATAGAGGTAGAGAAAATTCTGGCTCCAAACATATGTGAAGAACAGATTGTTATGTATTCTAGAAGAACATTTTTTTCTTCAATTTGGGGTCAAGTCTTAGACATGCATTGTTTTTCCTGTTTTACTTTGGGAGGAAAGATTTTCTTTCTAGCTCGGATGTTCCTTGTAGGTGTAGTGTTTTTTTCTTTAGGGGGATCTGTGTACCTGAAATAGGAGGAGGTCTCCAATCTAACTTTCTCTTTCAATGGGCTCTAGGTTTTGTTTAAAAATTGAGATCAGAGCATCCAATTCAACTTTCTATATGATGGAAACGTTCTGTATTTGTGTTGTCCAACATGGTATCCATCAGCCACTGTGATTATTGAACACTTGAAGTGTGGCTTATGTAATTGAGAAATTAAATTTATAATTTTTTAAAAAATTTAAATAGTCGCAGGTGGCAAGTGGCTACTGTATCGAACAGTGCAGCTCTGGACTATCAGCGATCAGCCATTGTCCCAGGACAGGCATCGTTTTCAGTATTCTCTTACCTTTTGAGATTAATGTTTTTGCTTTAACTTTTTGGTTTCTACGATTTTTTAAAAAACTTCTCAATTAAACAATTAAAGTATCTAAAAATGCATTTTTAAAGCAATTTTAGCTGTTCTCCACTGGGAAAGTTTTTTTTTCAAGGTATGTAGTTTGCTGTGTTGCTGGGAATAGAAGTTGTAGATGATATATAAGCAGATTCTTGAATGTGATGAGGAAGTGATTCATGCAAAAATGAGATATAGTGGAGAAAAAAACCGCAAGGTCCCTGGGGGAAGGAATATCTTTGAATATTTAAGAACTATCAATACTGCAAGTGTAACTAGTGTGGAGTAGCAAGGGGGAAAGAATAGTAGACGATAATGTCAGAGAGGCAGGCTAGAGATAGGTCTTTTTACAGTCTTATAGAGCATGGAAAGCATTTTGGATTTTTACTTCAACTATGGTGGGAAACCATTAGTAGTTTGAGTGGGGGTTAGTGGCGTGATGTGATTTATGTTTTCCAAAGATTACTAGGATAGTTCCATGGAATATAGGTAGCAAGATCAGTTGGGTTTTACAGTAGTTTAAGTGGGAGATGATCAACACTATATGGATTGTCTCTGTTCTTAAAACACACAAAGAGCACCACATACCATGGCACATTGATATCAATAGCATGCCTTTTACTACCAACATTGTTCATGCCACAATGCCCTCATCTGTACACCTGCTCCAAGGCAGGCCACTTGGAAGATGAATTCATGCAATGACGGATTTTAATGCCATAATTTTACTAATGCAAACTCTGCTTCCATTAATTATTTTCAACAAGTATATTTTAGTAAATTCCAAAGTCTTCTTGTTTAAGGTAATTTCTCATTCAGTTCCACAAATTACCTGGAATATATCATTGAATTAAATAGAATATCTGAGAGGAAAGGCTGTTTATGGGCAGGGCATCGTTTATTGAACATAAGTGCCATTATTCATCATTATGCTCATTACAGTACAAAGGATTTATCTGCTTTTGACATCTGGCCTTTTAAAGTAACCCAATTTTGGCCGCATGTGAAAGGTGAAGAAGAAGTACAGTCCATTTCTCTAATGACAGAGCTGTAGAAGCTAATGGCAGCATAAGCCATTCTAGACAACTAGGAACAACTTGAGTAGTACTTTTAATTACTTTTAGAGGAAAACCTGAAAACGTATCAAGAAAGAAAAATGGAAGTTTACTTTATAATGAAAAAGCTTTTACTTCTTGTTATTACTACCATGGATAGGGGAGAGAAAAAAGGAAGCATATCTTAATATGAATGGAATTTAGTTTGTATGTGTGTGTGCATGTGTGTGTTTTCATGGTTAATTTACCCTAAAGAGCCCCTGAGTAGTGGAAAACTTGTAGGAGTAAGAACACGAGGAATAAGAAGTTGAAGTCAAGTATGAGTTCCCATTCTGGCTGAATAATTTGTTGAGTGGCCTTAGGCAAGTCAGTTTTCCTCTTTGGCTTCATGTTCTAATATTCCACAGTTTTGCAGCCTCTTTTCCCTTAAAGAAGGTTGTCAATTACTACTGGAGAAGTGTCTCTCTTGTAAATAACTGCTTGACAGCTGTGATGTCTGCCTCTGCACCTGTGAACCACAGAGGCACTGACTTCAAAATTTTCTGTCTGCTGCTCATGCTGTATGTGTCATAAGCTTTAGTAATAACTTTGGATAATGAAGGTGGTGCTGATAATGAAATTGAAAATGCACAAACTTGTTATTTGCTGTATTTTAAATCTCTTTTATTAGGAAGTCTTTTAAAAAGTCTTAAGAGATATTGCTACTGTGAGCATAACCTACTTACAATACCCAATCAATGTCTTTTGCCCCAATTTTTATTAGTAGTTGTATTAGTCAGGGTTCTCTAGAGGGACAGATATATATATATATGTGTGTGTGTGTGTATATATATATGTGTGTGTGTGTGTGTATATGTGTGTGTGTATATATATATATTTATGTATTAAGTATTAACTCACATGATCATAAGGTCCCACAATAGGCTGTCTGCAAGCTGAGGAGCAAGGATAGTGAGTCCCAGTCCCAAAACTGAAAAACTTGGAGTCTGATGTTCAAGGGCAGGGAGCATCCAGCATGGGAGAAAGATGTAGGCTCAGAGGCTAGGCCAGTCTAATGTTTTCATGTTTTTCTGCCTACTTTATCTTCTAGCTGTGCTGGCAGCTGATTAGATGGTGCCCACCTAGATTACGGCTGGGTCTACCTTTCCCAGCCCACTGACTCAAATGTTAATCTCCTTTGGCAACACCCTCACAGACACACCCAGGAACAATACTTTGCATCCTTCAATCCAATCAAGTTGACACTCAGTATTAACCATCACAGTGGTAGACTCCCTGCAGAGCACTGTCTCTGTAAAGAAAGGACAGGATGAGGATTAACCATTAGACATTTAATTTTGGTGGTGTTTTAAATTTTCTATTTATACTTTAGAAGTAAGTTTGTAACATTGCTTATCTAGGATTAATAAGAGGTAAGAGTAAGAAGATATGATTATGAGGAGGCATGGGTAAGAGAGAGGGTAGCCAGTTTCAGGGTTCAGGTGGGGATGGTTGGAAGAAGAATAAGAGTAAGAATGGAAGTATGAGGAAGGGAGATAGGGCAGGATTTATTCTATTTACCCAGTAATTATGCTTATAATACAGGCCCCTTATCAACTCATTCATTTATTTATTCAACAAATACTTGTTAATTGATGTTATGCTAGGTGCCAGGGAATAAAATGCAAATAAGATATCATCAAATAGTGAAGAGAGTTCTTCATAGGCTTACAGAAGAGATACAAAACAAAATTATTTGGGAGTCTAGAGAGAAAAGAAAGTTCTTTATTATTCTTCAGTAGGTCAGGAAAGAGATATTGAATGGCTAGAAGTTTTTCATTTGACAACAAATACTTAATGAGCACCTATTATGTGGCAGGCTTTATTCTTGCTATTGAGAATATAGCATCAAACAACACAAAGTCCTTATTCTTGAGGAGCTTTCATTCTGGAAGGGGAAGACAAGAAAGTTACATGCAGTGTTTCTTTTTTCTTTGTAAGTGTTATAGAAAAAAAAGCAGAATAACAAGGTAGAAAATGGATGGTGCTATTTTATTAGGGTGGATAAGGATGGCTTCACAAAGAAGATAACATTTGAGCAGAAACACAAAGGGAGGAAGGAGGCCATGCAGATATCTAGGGTGTGAACGCTGCAGGTAGAGGCAACAACAAGCACAAAGGCCCTGAAATGGGAGCAGCTTGACATATTTTAGGTACAACAACGAGGCCAGTGTGGCTGGAACACAGAATGCAAGGGAAGAACAATAGAATATGAGATCGTAGAGATATCAAGGGGACCGTATTCTGGAGGGTCTTGCAGCTTATGTAAGAACTTTAGATTATACTCTGAATGAGATGGGCAATACTGGAAAGTTTTGAGTAGATGATGATTATGGTGCTGGGTATAATTAACAGATTATGTGTGCATTGGAGAAGGGGGCAAATAAGGAAGGAAGCTGGGAGGCTCTCACAACAATCCAGTTGCAGGGTGATGATGGCTCATATCTGAGTGGTAGGAATAGCATAATGAGAAATGGTTGGATTCTGTGTGTATTTTAAATGTGGAGCCCAGGAGATTTGCTATTGGATTGGATATATTCTGTGAGAAAAAGAGAGGAGTCAAGGATAACTCCAAGGTTTCTCACATGGAGATGGAGCAACTATAAGATAGATATGTGATCTTACATAACATGGAGCAACTAACATGGTGAAGGCTGCAAAAGGAGCAGGTATGGTGGGGGAAGTATGGGGAATTAATACTTATATCTTAATATGTGGAATTTTAGATGTTTATTGGTGAGACATGCAAGTGGAGATGATGAGTAGATTATTGGCCGTATGAACCTAGAGTTCAGAGGAAGAATCAGAAATGCATTTGAGAATTATCTACGTATTGATAGCAATAAAGTCCTGGGACTGGATGAGATTTCCTAAGGAGTGAGTGAAGTAGAGAAGAGGCTTAAGTGTGAACCCTGGATCACTCTGATATTTAACATCTGGGGTGGTGAGGAAGAAATGGTAAAGGAGAGAACAGGAAGAAGTGGCTGCTAAATTAGAAAAACCAAGGTAATTCAAATGGAGAAAAGGACAGTTTTTCTGATAAATGGTGCTAGACAAACTGAATATCCATGTGGGGGAAAAATGAATCTTAGCCCTTAACTCACTCTATATACAAAATTAACTCAAAATAGACCTAAGCATCAGATCTGAAATGAGATAAAGCTTCTAGAGGAAAACAGAAGAATATGTCCTTGGTATAGGCAAAGATTTCTTGGAACACAAAGTTGTAAAAGAAAATAAATTGGACTTCAAAATTTCAAAACTTCTACTCTTCAAATACACTGTTAAGAAAATGAAAAGGCAAACTAAAAACTGTCAAATTATTTGCTGTACATATAACATTTCTTTATGTATTTTGGATATAAAACCTTTGTCAGTTATAACTCAATAAGAGACAGACAACTCACTAAAAAATTTGGCAAAATTTTAGACAGTTCACAAAAGAAGATATGTGAATGACCAAGAAACATACGAAAAGATGTTCAACATCATTAATCATTAAGGATATGCAAATTAAACTACCACTACATACCCACTAGAATGGCTAAAATTTAAAAGATTGACATAACCAAGTATTGGTGAGAATATGGAATTCTTATACATTACTTATGGGAATGTAAAATTATATAACTACTTTGAAAAACAATTTGGCAGTTTAGTATAAACATCCCCTTTCTGTACAGTCTGGCAAATCCACTTGTAGATATTTACCCAAAAGAAATGCATATATGTGGCCGGGCGCGGGTGGCTCGCGGCTGTAATCCTAGCACTTTGGGAGGCCGAGGCAGGCGGATCACGAGGAGTTCAAAACCATCCTGGCTAACACGGTGAAACCCCGTCTCTACTAAAAATACAAAAAATTAGCTGGGCGTGGTGGCAGGTGCCTGTAGTCCCAGCTACTCAGGAGGCTGAGGCAGGAGAATGGCGTGAACCCAGGAGGCGGAGCTTGCACTGAGCCGAGATCGCGCCACCGCACTGCAGCCTGGGCGACAGAGCGAGACTCCATCTCAAAAATAAAAAAAAAAAAAAAAAAAAAGAAATGCATATATGTCCATACAAAGACTGCACATGGATGAACATAGAATCTTTATTAATAAGAGCCTTGAACTGAAAACAATTGAAGGTAATTGTGGAATATCCATGCAATGTAATACTGAGCAATTAAATAAGACCAAACTGCTGATATGTGAAAGAACACGGATAAGCTCCAAAAACATGTTGAAAGAACAAAGCCAGATGTAAAACAGCATATAGTGCACAACTGCATTTCTGGAAAATTGTAATACAGACTAAAATAATCTATAATAACAGAAAATAATAACTGGGCTCCAGTTTTAAAATACATACAGAATCCATGTGTGTCTCATTATACTGTTTTACCACCCAGATCTGAGCCACCATCACCCTGCAACTGGATGATTATGAGAGCCTCCCAGCTTCCTCCATTATTCGCTACCCCCCCAATACACACACACAACATGTGTATCTATGAATATAGATTCTACATGCAATTATGGTCCTTAGTTTAGAACATACACAAAAATCAATTTTATGTGGGTTAAAAATTAATAGGCTATATTTTAGAGCTAAAACTTAAAACTATAGAAAAACTGAATGGATTATGAAGTGTTCCTATATATCCTCCCTTCCCCACAGTTTCCCCTGGTTTCAGCGTCTTGCATTAGTGTGGTATATTTGTTATAATTAATAAACCAATATTGATAGATTATTATTAACTAAAGTCCATAGTTTACATTAGGGTTCTCTTTGTGCTGTATAGTTCTGTGGGTTTTGACAAATGCATAATATCAGGTATCCACCATTACAATACCATACAGAATAATTTCACTGTCCTAAAAGTCCCCTGTGCTTCACCTATCCATCCCTTCCATCACCCTCCAAGAATCCATGCAACCATGGACCTTTTTATTCCCTCTATTGTTTTACGTTTTCTAAGATGTCATGTAGTTGGAATGACAGAGTATGTAAACTTTTCAGACTGGAATCTTTCACTTTGCAATATGCATTTGTTTCCTCTGTATCTTTTAATGGCTTGGTAGCACATTTCTTTTTAGTGCTAAATAATGTTCCATTGTATGGATGTATCACAGTTTGAATTATTCATTTATCTATTGAGGGACATCTTAGTTGCTTTCCATTTGGGGCAATTATGAATAAAGCTGTTATCAACATTGTGTGCAGGTTTTTGTGTGGCCATAATACCAAAACACATTCTAATTCATCTGGGTTAAATACTTAAGAGCATATTGGTATTTGTATTAAGTCCGTGTTTACCTTCGTCAGAAACTGCCAGATTGTGTTCTAAAGCAGCTGTGCCATTTTGCACTTTCCATCCATAATAGATGCGAGGTCCTGTTGGTCCACATTCTTGCCAGCCTTTGATATTGTCAGGTTTTTTGTTTTAGTCGTTCTAATCCATGTGCAGTAGTACCTCAATTTTCAATTCCCTAATGACATGTGATGCTGAACATATTTTCATATGATCATTTGCCACATGTATATCTTCTTTGATGAAGTGTCTGTTCAGATAGTTCATCCATTTTTTAATTGGGTTATCTTTTTGTGGCTCGTCTTTTCATTCTCTTAAGAGTTTTTTAGAGCAGAAAATTTTAATTTTAATGAAGTCCAACTTGATTTCTTTTATGGATTGTACCTTTGATGTTCTAAAAACTCATTATCAAACCTTGGATCATTTAGATTTTCTTCCTGTGTTATCTTCTAGAAGTTAACATTTTGAATTTTAAATTTAGGTCTATGATTCATTTTGAGTTGATTTTCGTGAAAGGTGTAAGGTCTGTGTCTCGACTTTTTTGAGGGGGGAATACAAATGTCCAGTTTTTGTAGTACCATTTGTTGAAAAGACTATCTTTTCTCCACTGGATTGCCTCTACTCCTGTCAGAGGTCAGTTGACTGTATTTGTGTGAGTCTATTTCTGGACTCTTTATTTTGTTCATAAGTGTAAATCAATTTGTCTATTTTTTAAATTAATACCACATCATCTTGATAATTGTAGTTTTAAAATAAGTCTGAAATAAGGTAGTGTCAGTTTTCAGATTGTTTTTATTCTTTGATATTGTATTGGCTCTTCTGAGTGTTTTGTTTTTCCATATAAACTTTAGAATCAATTTGTTGATATTCACAAAACAGCTTGCTAGGAATTTGATTTGGATTGCATTGAATCTATAGATCAAGTTGGGGATAACTGACATCTTGACAATATTGATTTTTTTTAATGCCTGAACATGAAATATCTTTCCCTTTATTTAGATTTTCTTTGATATTTTTCAGTCTTACAGTTTTCCTCATATATATTTTGTCAGATATATAGATATATATATCTATAAACATCCCAGGTAGCTGGGATTACAGGCACATGCCACCACGCCCAGCTAATTTTTGTATTTTTAGTAGAGACGGGGTTTCACCATGTTGGCCAGGCTGGTCTCGAACTCCTAACATCAGGTGGTCTGCCTGCCTCAGGCTCCCAAAGTGCTGGGATTACAGGCGTGAGCCACTGTGCCTGGCCAGAGTTATATATTTTATCTATATATGTATATAGTTTATCTAAAAATATTTTTCTCATATATATGTATATATTTTATCTAAGCCAGATTAATTTATATTTATACATTTTATCAGATTTACACCTAGTTATTTTGGGTGCTTTTGGTGCTAATGTAAAAGATGCTTTGAATTTCAAATTCCAATTGTTTATTGATGGTATGTAGGAAAGTTATTGACTTTAATATATTAACATTGTGTCATGCAATCTTGCTATTTGTCGTAATTGCTTATTAATTCCAGGAATTTTTTTTCCACATAGACAATCATGTCATATGTGAACAAAGACAGTTTTATTTGTTTCTTCCCAACCTGTATGCCTTTTGTCTTCTTTTCTGGTCTTACTGCATTGGCTAGGATTTCAGTGTAATGTTGAATAGGTGTGGTGAGAGGGACATCCTGGTTTCATTCCTTATCTTAGGCAGAAAGCAACTAGTTTCCCACCATTAAGTATGATGTTAGCTGGAAGTTTTTGGTAGATATTCCTTATCAAGCTGAAAAAGTTTTCTTAAATTTTTAATTTGCTGAGAGTTCTGATCATGAATAAATGTTGGATTTTTCAAATGCTTTTGCTGCATTTATTGATATGATTTTTCTTCTTTAACCTGATTTTATGGATTATATTAATAAATTTTTGAACATTCAATCAGCCTTGCATACCTGCCGTATGGTTGTGATGGATTGATTGATTTCCTCGTATTTTGTTGGAGATTTTAACACCTGTATTCATGAGATACATTGGTACATGATTTTTCTTTCTTGCAATATCTTCATCTGGTTTTGGTATTAAGGTGATACTGGCCTATTAGAATAAATTAGTAAGTGTTCCCTCTGCTTCTGTTTTCTGGAAGAGATTGTGAAGAATTGTTATCATTTCTTTCTTAAATGTTTGGTAGAATTCACCAGTGAGACTATCTGGGCCTGGTGCTTTGTGTTTTGGAAGGTTATTAATTGCTCATTCAATTTCTTTTTTTTTTTTATTATTATACTTTAAGTTTTAGGGTACATGTGCACATTGTGCAGGTTAGTTACATATGTATACATGTGCCATGCTGGTGCGCTGCACCCACTAACTCATCATCTAGCATTAGGTATATCTCCCAATGCTATCCCTCCCCCCTCCCCCCACCCCACAACAGTCCCCAGACTATGATATTCCCCTTCCTGTGTCCATGTGATTTCATTGTTCAGTTCCCACCTATGAGTGAGAATATGCGCTGTCTGGTTTTTTGTTATTGCGATAGTTTACTGAGAATGATGATTTCCAATTTCACCCATGTCCCTACAAAGGACATGAACTCATCATTTTTTATGGCTGCATAGTATTCCATGGTGTGTATGTGCCACATTTTCTTAATCCAGTCTATCATTGTTGGACATTTGGGTTAGTTCCAAGTCTTTGCTATTGTGAATAGTGCCGCAATAAACATACGTGTGCATGTGTCTTTATAGCAGCATGATTTATAGTCCTTTGGGTATATACCCAGTAATGGGATGGCTGGGTCAAATGGTATTTCCAGTTCTAGATCCCTGAGGAATCACCACACTGACTTCCACAATGGTTGAACTAGTTTACAGTCCCACCAACAGTGTAAAAGTGTTCCTATTTCTCCACATCCTCTCCAGCACCTGTTGTTTCCTGACTTTTTAATGATTGCCATTCTAACTGGTGTGAGATGGTATCTCATTGTGGTTTTGATTTGCATTTCTCTGATGGCCAGTGATGATGAGCATTTTTTCATGTGTTTTTTGGCTGCATAAATGTCTTCTTTTGAGAAGTGTCTGTTCATGTCCTTCGCCCACTTTTTGATGGGGTTGTTTGTTTTTTTCTTGTAAATTTGCTTGAGTTCATTGTAGATTCTGGATATTAGCCCTTTGTCAGATGAGTAGGTTGCGAAAATTTTCTCCCATTCTGTAGGTTGCCTGTTCACTCTGATGGTAGTTTCTTTTGCTATGCAGAAGCTCTTTAGTTTAATTAGATCCCATTTGTCAATTTTGGCTTTTGTTGCCATTGCTTTTGGTGTTTTAGACATGAAGTCCTTGCCCATGCCTATGTCCTGAATGGTAATGCCTAGGTTTTCTTCTAGGGTTTTTATGGTTTTAGGTCTAACGTTTAAGTCTTTAATCCATCTTGAATTGATTTTTGTATAAGGTGTAAGGAAGGGATCCAGTTTCAGCTTTCTACATATGGCTAGCCAGTTTTCCCAGCACCATTTATTAAATAGGGAATCCTTTCCCCATTGCTTGTTTTTCTCAGGTTTGTCAAAGATCAGATAGTTGTAGTTATGTGGCGTTACTTCTGAGGGCTCTGTTCTGTTCCATTGATCTATATATCTGTTTTGGTACCAGTACCATGCTGTTTTGGTTACTGTAGCCTTGTAGTATAGTTTGAAGTCAGGTAGTGTGATGCCTCCAGCTTTGTTCTTTTGGCTTAGGATTGGCTTGGTAATGCGGGCTCTTTTTTGGTTCCATATGAACTTTAAAGTAGTTTTTTCCAATTCTGTGAAGAAAGGCATTGGTAGCTTGATGGGGATGGCGTTGAATCTGTAAATTACCTTGGGCAGTATGGCCATTTTCACGATATTGATTCTTCCTACTCATGAGCATGGAATGTTCTTCCATTTGTTTGTATCCTCTTTTATTTCCTTGAGCAGTGGTTTGTAGTTCTCCTTGAAGAGGTCCTTCACATCCCTTATAAGTTGGATTCCTAGGTATTTTATTCTCTTTGAAGCAATTGTGAATGGGAGTTCACTCATGATTTGGCTCTCTGTTTGTCTGTTGTTGGTGTATAAGAATGCTTGTGATTTTTGTACATTGATTTTGTATCCTGAGACTTTGCTGAAGTTGCTTATCAGCTTAAGGAGATTTTGGGCTGAGACAATGGGGTTTTCTAGATATACAATCATGTCGTCTGCAAACAGGGACAATTTGACTTCCTCTTTTCCTAATTGAATACCCTTTATTTCCTTCTGCTGCCTAATTGCCCTGGCCAGAACTTCCAACACTATGTTGAATAGGAGTGGTGAGAGAGGGCATCCCTGTCTTGTGCCAGTTTTCAAAGGGAATGCTTCCAGTTTTTGCCCATTCAGTATGATATTGGCTGTGGGTTTGTCATAGATAGCTCTTATTATTTTGAAATACGTCCCATCAATACCTAATTTATTGAGAGTTTTTAGCATGAAGGGTTGTTGAATTTTGTCAAAGGCTTTTTCTGCATCTATTGAGATAATCATGTGGTTTTTGTCTTTGGCTCTGTTTATATGCTGGATTACATTTATTGATTTGCATATATTGAACCAGCCTTGCATCCCAGGGATGAAGCCCACTTGATCATGGTGGATAAGCTTTTTGATGTGCTGCTGGATTCGTTTTGCCCGTATTTTATTGAGGATTTTTGCATCAATGTTCATCAAGGATATTGGTCTAAAATTCTCTTTTTTTGTTGTGTCTCTGCCTGGCTTTGGTATCAGGATGACGCTGGCCTCATAAGATGAGTTAGGGAGGATTCCCTCTTTTTCTGTTGATTGGAATAGTTTCAGAAGGAATGGTACCAGTTCCTCTTTGTACCTCTGGTAGAATTCGGCTGTGAATCCATCTGGTCCTGGACTCTTTTTGGTTGGTAAGATATTGATTATTGCCCCAATTTCAGATCCTGTTATTGGTCTATTCAGAGATTCAACTTCTTCCTGGTTTAGTCTTGGGAGAGTGTATGTGTTGAGGAATTTATCCATTTCTTCTAGATTTTCTAGTTTATTTGCGTAGAGGTGTTTGTAGTATTCTCTGATGGTAGTTCGTATTTCTGTGGGATTGGTGGTGATATCCCCTTTATCATTTTTTATTGTGTCTATTTGATTCTTCTCTCTTTTTTTCTTTATTAGTCTTGCTAGCGGTCTATCAATTTTGTTGATCCTTTCAAAAAACCAGCTCCTGGATTCATTAATTTTTTGAAGGGTTTTTTTGTGTCTCTATTTCCTTCAGTTCTGCTCTGATTTTAGTTATTTCTTGCCTTCTGCTAGCTTTTGAATGTGTTTGCTCTTGCTTTTCTAGTTCTTTTAATTGTGATGTTAGGGTGTCAATTTTGGATCTTTCCTGCTTTCTCTTGTGGGCATTTAGTGCTATAAATTTCCCTCTGCACACTGCTTTGAATGCGTCCCAGAGATTCTGGTATGTTGTGTCTTTGTTCTCGTTGGTTTCAAAGAACATCTTTATTTCTGCCTTCATTTTGTTATGTACCCAGTAGTCATTCAGGAGCAGGTTGTTCAGTTTCCATGTAGTTGAGCGGTTTTGAGTAAGATTCTTAATCCTGAGTTCTAATTTGATTGCACTGTGGTCTGAGAGATAGTTTGTTATAATCTCTGTTCTTTTACATTTGCTGAGGAGAGCTTTACTTCCAAGTATGTGGTCAATTTTGGAATAGGTGTGGTGTGGTGCTGAAAAAAATGTATATTCTGTTGATTTGGGGTGGAGAGTTCTGTAGATGTCTATTAGGTCCACTTGGTGCAGAGCTGAGTTCAATTCCTGGGTATCCTTGTTAACTTTCTGTCTCGTTGATCTGTCTAATGTTGACAGTGGGGTGTTTAAGTCTCCCATTATTAATGTGTGGGAGTCTAATTCTCTTTGTAGGTCACTCAGGACTTGCTTTATGAATCTGGGTGCTCCTATATTGGGTGCATATATATTTAGGATAGTTAGCTCTTCTTGTTGAATTGATCCCTTTACCATTATTTAATGGCCTTGTTTGTCTCTTTTGATCTTTGTTGGTTTAAAGTCTGTTTTATCAGAGACTAGGATTGCAACCCCTGCCTTTTTTTGTTTTCCATTTGCTTGGTAGATCTTCCTCCATCCTTTTATTTTGAGCCTATGTGTGTCTCTGCACATGAGATGGGTTTCCTGAATACAGCACACTGATGGGTCTTGACTCTTTATCCAATTTGCCAGTCTGTGTGTTTTAATTGGAGCATTTAGTCCGTTTACATTTAAAGTTAATATTGTTATGTGTGAATTTGATCCTGTCATTATGATGTTAGCTGGTTACTTTGCTCGTTAGTTG
Organism: Homo sapiens; assembly: GCF_000001405.40. Classification (NCBI taxonomy): domain Eukaryota; kingdom Metazoa; phylum Chordata; class Mammalia; order Primates; family Hominidae; genus Homo; species Homo sapiens. The sequence goes on from NC_000014.9 coordinate 36,146,738, forward strand.
ATGCAGTTTCTTCCTAGTCTCGATGGTCTTTACATTTTGGCATGATTTTGCAGCGGCTGGTACTGGTTGTTCCTTTCCATATTTAGTGCTTCCTTCAGGAGCTCTTTTAGGGCAGGCCTGGTGGTGACAAAATCTCTCAGCATTTGCTTGTCTGTAAAGTATTTTATTTCTCCTTTGCTTATGAAGCTTAGTTTGGCTGGATATGAAATTCTGGGTTGAAAATTCTTTCCTTTAAGAATGTTGAATATTGGCCCCCACTCTCTTCTGACTTGTAGAGTTTCTACTGAGAGATCAGCTGTTAGTCTGATGGGCTTCCCTTTGTGGGTAATGCAACCTTTCTCTCTAGCTGCCCTTAACATTTTTTCCTTCATTTCGACTTTGGTGAATCTGACAATTATGTGTCTTGGAGTTGCTCTTCTGGAGGAGTATCTTTGTGGCGTTCTCTGTATTTCCTGAATCTGAATGTTGGCCTGCCTTGCTAGATTGGGGAAGTTCTCCTGGATAATATCCTGCAGCATGTTTTCCAATTTGGTTCCATTCTCCCCATCACTTTCAGGTACACCAATCAGACGTAGATTTGGTCTTTTCACATAGTCCCATATTTCTTGGAGGCTTTGCTCATTTCTTTTTATTCTTTTTTCTCTAAACTTCCCTTCTCCCTTCATTTCATTCATTTCATCTTCCATTGCTGATACCCTTTCTTCCAGTTGATCGCATCGGCTCCTGAGGCTTCTGCATTCTTCACGTTGTTCTTGAGCCTTGGTTTTTGGCTCCATCAGCTCCTTTAAGCACTTCTCTGTATGGTTATTCTAGTTATACATTCTTCTAAATTTTTTTCAAAATTTTCAACTTCTTTGCCTTTGGTTTGAATTTCCTCCCGTAGCTCAGAGTAATTTGATCGTCTGAAGCCTTCTTCTCTCAGCTCGTCAAAGTCATTCTCCGTCCAGCTTTGTTCCTTTGCTGGTGAGGAACTGCGTTCCTTTGGAGGAGGAGAGGCGCTCTGCTTTTTAGAGTTTCCAGTTTTTCTGTTCTGTTTTTTCCCCATCTTTGTGGTTTTATCTACTTTTGGTCTTTGATGATGGTGATGTACAGATGGGTTTTTGGTGTGGAAGTCCTTTCTGTTTGTTAGTTTTCCTTCTAACAGACAGGACCCTCAGCTGCAGGTCTGTTGGAATACCCTGCCGTGTGAGGTGTCAGTGTGCCCCTGCTCGGGGGGTGCCTCCCAGTTAGACTGCTCGGGGGTCAGGGGTCAGGGACCCCCTTGAGGAGGCAGTCTGCCCATTCTCAGATCTCCAGCTGCATGCTGGGAGAACCACTGCTCTCTTCAAAGCTGTCAGACAGGGACATTTAAGTCTGCAGAAGTTACTGCTGTCTTTTTGTTTGTCTGTGCCCTGCCCCCAGAGATGGAGCCTACAGAGGCAGGCAGGCCTCCTTGAGCTGTGGTGGGCTCCACCCAGTTTGAGCTTCCCGGCTGCTTTGTTTACCTAAGCAAGCCTGGGCAATGGCGGGCTCCCCTCCCCCAGCCTCGCTGCCGCCTTGCAGTTTGATCTCAGACTGCTGTGCTAGCAATCAGCGAGACTCCATAGGCATAGGACCCTCCGAGCCAGGTGTGGGATATAATGTCGTGGTGCGCCGTTTTTTAAGCCTGTCGGAAAAGCGCAGTATTCGGGTGGGAGTGACCCGATTTTCCAGGTGCTGTCCGTCACCCCTTTCTTTGACTCGGAAAGGGAACTCCCTGACCCCTTGGGCTTCCCAAGTGATGCAATGCCTCGCCCTGCTTCGGCTAGCGTGCAGTGTGTGCACCCACTGACCTGTGCCCACTGTCTGGCACTCCCTAGTGAGATGAACCTGGTACCTCAGATGGAAATGCAGAAATCACCTGTCTTCTGCCTTGCTCACGCTGGTAGCTGTAGACCGGAGCTGTTCCTATTCGGCCATCTTGGCTCCTCCCCCCATTCAATTTCTTTAATAGATTCAGGCCTATTCAGATGGTCTATTTCTCCTTGTATGAGTTTTTATAGATCTTTTGAGGAATTAGCCCATTTTATCTAAATATTATCACGTTGTGGGCATAGAGTTGTTTAAAATAGTCTTTATTATCCTTTTATTGGCCATGGGGTCAGTAGTAATGTCTCCTCTTTCATTTCTGATACTAATAATTTATTTTTACATTGTTAGCCTGGCTAAGGGTTTATCAATTAGATTGCTCTATTTTTGGTTTTGTTGATTTTCTTATTTCTTCCCCTTTTTCAATTTTGTTAATTTCCACTCTAATTTTTATTAGCTCTTTTCTTCTGCTTGCTTTAAGGTTATATAACTCTTTCTCTAGTTATCTAATGTGTAGGCTTAGGTTACTGATTTTAGGTCTTTCTTCTTTTCTAATATGTAAATTCAGTATTACAAATTTCCCTCTAGACATTGTTCTTGCTGCATTCTGCACATTTTGATAAATTGTATTTTTATTTTCATTTATTTTTTAATTTTCTTGAAACTTCTTCTTTGACCCATGTGTTATTTAAAAGTGTGTTGTTTAATCTCCAAATATTTGAGATCCATCTCGATATTTTTATTGATTTCTATTTTAATTCAATTGTGGTCTAAGAGCATACTTTGTATGATTTCTATTCTTTAAATTATTACAGATGTTTTTATGGCCCAGAATGTGGTCTATCTTGGTGAATGTTCCCTGTGAGTTTGATAAGAATGTTTATTCTGCTGTGGTTGGGGAAGTGTTCTAAAAATGTCAATTAAATCCAGTTGACTGACAGTGCTGTTCAGTTCAACTATATTCTTACACTGATTTTCTGCTTGCTGGATCTGTGCATTACAGATAAAATCTCCAACTATAATTGTGGATTCATCTACTTTGCCTTATACTTCTGTAAGTTTTGCATAATGTATTCTGGTTCTCTGAATACACATTAATTATTATGTCTTTTTGGAGAATTGACACTTTTATTAATATATAACACTCTTCTTTATCCCTGATAAATTTCCTTGCCTTGATTCTGCTTTATCTGAAATCAACGTAGCTTCTTCAGCTTTCTTTTGACTGGTGTTAATATGGTACATCTTTCTCCATCCCTTTACTTTTAATCTGCATTTCTACACAAGCTGTGTATCCCTTATCCAAAATGCTTAGGACCAAAAGTTTTTCAGATTTCAGACTTTTTTGGACTTTGGAATATTTGTATTATATTTACAGGTTGAACATCCCTAATCTGAAAATCTCTCCAGTGAGCATTTCCTTTGATCATCATGTCAGTGCTCAAAAGATGTTGGATTTTGGCACACTTTTGATTTTGGATTTTCAAATTAGGGATGCTCAACCTGTGTCTAAAGTAGGATTATTGTTGGGTCTTGTTTTCAATCCACTCTGATAGCCTTTGTCTTTTAACTGGTATATTTAGGTCATTTAGATCTACTATGGTCTGCATGTTTATGTCCCCTCAAAATTCATGTTTTGAAATGCTACCCTCCAAGATGATAGTATTAGGAGGTGGGACTTTTGGAAGGTTGTTGAGTTATGAGGGTAGAGCCCTCATGAATGGTATTATTGCCTTTATAAAGAGGCCCAAGGCACTTTGTTCACAACTTTCACCACATGAGGACCCTGAAACAAGGTACCCTGAAACAAGGTACCATCTATAAACCAAAAAGTGTGCTCGCACCAGATATTGAATCTGTTGGTGACTTGATTGTGGACTTCCCAGACTCCAGAACAGTAAGAAATAAACTTCTGTTTTATGAAATACTCAGTTTATAGTATTTTGTTATAGCAGCCTGAAGGGACTGACATCTAAAGTGATTATTGATACAGTTGAATACCTGCCACATTTTAAATTGTTTTCTATTTGTTTCACTTTTGAAAAATCTTCCCTTTTTCTAACTTCTTTGATTTTAATTGAGCATTTTATATGATTCCATTTTCCCTCCTTTCTTAGAAATCGATTAAAAAATTTTTAGGCCTTGACCTAGAGTTTTCAATATATATTTACAAATAATCTAAGTTCACTATCAAATAATAGTATGTAGCTTCATGGGAAGTGCAAATACATTATAACAAAATCTTCCCAATGTCTTCTCATTCCTTATAACATTGGTGCATTTATTCTATTTATTCGGAAGCTATATATGTTGTTGATATTATTTTGAACAAACAATTATATATTACATAAGATATGAATAAGAAAGGTATTTTTTTAAAAAAACCTTCCTTTATACCTTCTTTAACACTCTTCCTTTGTTCATGTAAATGCAAGTTTCTCACCTATATCATTTTTCTTCTCCCTGAAGAAATTTTCACATTTCTTGCAAGGCAAATAAATCTATTGCTGACAAATTTCCTCAGTTTTTGTTTGTATGAAAAAGCCTTTATAATTTTTTCACTTTTGAAGGATATTTTCACTGGATATAGAAATCTCGGTTGGTGGTCTTTTTCTTTCAACACTTTAAATACTTCATTCCACTCTTCTCTTGCTTGCATGGTTTCTGAAGAGAGTTCCAATATAACTCTATCCTTGTTCCTCTGTAGGTAAGGTATTACCCCCCCGCCCCTGCCCTCTGGCTTTTTTCAAGATGTTTTGTTTTTGGTTTCCTACAGTTGGGATATCATATGCCTAAATTTTGGGTATTCGTTCCCTTGGTATTCTCTGAGCTTTCTCGATCTTTGGCTTGGTGTTTCTTATTAATTGTGGAAAATTATGATACGTTATTACTTCTAATATTTCTTTTGCATCTTTCATTCTTCTCCTAGTATTCCCATTATATGTATGTTGTACCTTTTGTCTTGTCCCACAGTTCTTGGATGTTCTGGCCTATTATCTTATGATAATCTTATATTATTTTGTGATTAAAATATCTCTCTCCTTTCTCTTCTCTTTGGTGGGCTATACTCCCTGGGTTGTGACTTTTAGAAGAAGTTCTTAGCCTTTTTCTCCCCTATGCTTATGTGAGACTGAAATTGAGGCTGGAGTTAGCTAATTGACCTTCCATCAGGTCAGATAAGGCTGTGGTAGTTTCCCTGAGAGCCAGCCTTTGTTATAGAGGACAGAATGAAGACCAGAATGCTCTGGGCATATTTCAAAATGGATACTTTTCCCTTGAGTACATTTCAAAATTATTATTTTTACCTGTCTTTGCTGGAAGCAAGAGGGAATTTTTCTCAGATGTTCACTGTGATAAACTGGTGGGTCTTTTGGAGGGAAAACTCATGAAAATGATTTTTCATTTCATTGTGATTTGTAACTGCAATGCTCTGATGGATCTAAGAAGATTTGTTGATTTTCAAATTTTCAGCCCTCTTGTTGTGAGGACAGGAATGATGACTTGCAAACTCTTTAAAACTCTTTACATGTCAGAGTGGAAATCATAAGTCTTCTCTGTGGATTTTAGATATAAATATAAAAGGTAAAATAGTAGAATTTCTACAATATTACATACAAATATATCTTCATGATTTGAGATAGACAAGTTTTTTGAAGGTAAAAAAATGCTAAAGAAAAAAATGAATAAATTGGACTTTATTAAAATAAAAAAAAAACTTTTTTTCATCAAAAGACATCAAGAAAAGCCAGGAATGGTGGCACACACCTGTAGTCCTAGCTACTCAGGAGGCTGAGGTGGGAGGATTGCTTGAGCCCAGGAATTTGAGTCTACAGTGTGCTACAATTGCACTTGTGAATAGCCACTGCACTCTAGCCTGGGCAACATAATGAGATCCCATCAAAAAAAGGCATCAAAATAGTGAAAATAAAACCACAGAGTAGGTAAAGATATTCACAATACAAATAAGAACTTAATATTCAGTATTTTAAAACATCTATGTCAAAGGGCTTGTATTCAGAATATGAGAACTACGACAACAACAACAAAACGAGGCGCAGTGGCTCACACCTGTAATCTCAGCACTTTGGGAGGTCGAGGCAGGCAGATCACCTGAAGTTCAGGAGTTTGAGACCAGCATGGCCAACAAGGTGAAACCCTTTCTCTACTAAAAATAAAAAAAATAGCTAGGCATGGTGGCGGGCACCTGTAATCCCAGCTACTTGGGAGGCTGAGGCAGGAGAATTGCTTGAACCCAGGAGGTGGAGGTTGCAGTGAGCTGAGATGGTGCCACTGCACTCCAGCCTGGGCAACAGAGCGAGACTCCATCTCGAAAGGAAAAAAAAAAAGAAAGAAAGAAAGAAAAAGAAAAAAGACAACCCAAGTTTTTAGCAGGCACTTCCAAAAGAGGACAGCTGTTTCAGTCAGCTTGGACTACTATAGCAGAATACCATAGACTAGTTGGTCAAACAACACACATTTACTTCTCACAGCTCTGTAGGCTGGAAGTCTGAGATTAGGATTCCAGCATGATTGTGTTCTTTTGATGGTCCTCTTTGATTTGCAGATGGCTGTCTCCTCATTGTATCCTCACATGACAGAGAGAGAAATAATCTCTCCCTCGTCTCTTCTTATAAAGGCACTAACCCCATTCATGATGGTTCCACTCTTCTGACCTAATTACTCCTAAAAGTTCTATCTCCTAATACCATCATATTGGGGGTTAGGATTTCACATATAAATTTTGGCAGGGGCACAAATATTTAGTGTACAACAATATCCAAATAGCCATTGAGCCTATGAAAACATTAGCCGTGAGGGAATCACAAATTCAAATCCTAACTCTACGCATCCATCAGAATGGCAAATTTAGAAATCAAAACAGTAAAAATCCATAGTGTTGACACGATGTTGACACCCACAGTGTTAAGCAATGGAAACTCTCACTTACTACTAATAGGAGATTATTTGTACAACCACTTTGGAACATTCTTTGGCAGTATCTGTTAACGCTAAAACATGTATTCTTTGACCCCCAAAATTCACTTCTAGGTTTACACCCAACAGAAACGCATCTATATGTGCACCAGAAGACACATTCGAGAATGTCCATAGCAGTATAATTTATAATAGTAGAAACATTCAGATTCTAATAAGAGTGGAAATGGATAAATAAATCTTGTTATATTTGTACATGGAATATTACATAATAAAAATAAACAAGCCAGACATGGTGCCTCACCTGTAATTCCAGTGCCTTGGGAGGCCAAGGTGGGAAGATTGTTCAAGCCCTGGAGTTTGAGAACAGCTTGGGCAACGTGTCGAGACTCCATCTCTCCAAAAAAATACAAAAATTAGCCAGTTGTGATGGTGTATGCCTGTGATCCCAGCTACTTGGGAAGCTGAGGTGGTATGGGTCACCTGAGCCTGGGAGGTCGAGCCTGCAAGTGAATTGAGTTGGTGCCACTGCACTCCAGCCTGGGTGACACAGTGGGACCCTGTCTCGAAAAAAAAAAAAACTACTGCTACAATATTAAGTGAGCGGAGACAGAATCTAAAGAAAACATGTTGTATGATTCTGTTTATGTAAAATTAAAACACAGGCACAAATAGTCAATGCCATTAGAATAGTGGTTACCTTCAAGGAGATAACGAGTGGGAGGGGACACCATGAGGGCTTCTGGTGAGTGATCTGGGTGGTAGTTACATGGAGTTTACTTTGTAAAAATTAATGAAGCTGTTAACTTATGTACATTATTACTTCAATATGAAACTTACTTTAAAAAACAGGTTATATAATAATACGTACCCTCCAAAATTATGCACACATTATCACAAACATGCTGAAAAGATACCAAAATGTTAATGGTGAATATCAATGAGTAGTGAGATTTTCATTTTTGTGATTTTGTTGTATTTTTCAAATTTACTTCAATGAACCAAATTACTGTTGTGATTAGAAAATATCATTAAATATTACTTACTATCACTCTAGGAACTGTGTGAAAGATGGGTTGGGGAGAGGTAAGACAGGAATGTCAGGAGGCGTTGGTAACAGCCACGTGAGAGGGGATGAGGGTCTGACTGGGGTTGTGTGGTTAGGGAGGTGGTGCATTATGTTGAAATCAGGAGCACAAGAGGAGTAGAGGCCTCTCTCTCTTTCCTCTTTCTCTCTCTGGGGGAGGGGCAAGGAGCTGGGGAAGTTCAGTTTTAAACATGTTAGGATTGGGTTCCCTTTGGGATATCCAAGTAGAGATGTCTGTAAATAATTTTAATTGTTATGTAAAATGTCTAATTTCAACATTACCATTTGATATGACCCAGTCTGAATACATTGAGTCACCAAATGAAGGAATTTTTTCTGTGACATCTTCCCTTCTTGGCCCCATGCATTCACAAATTAGTTCTTTATATCATATAAATGAGAAAACAGTGCCCTGATGAGTATTATATTCTCTGCTGGAGCTTTTTCTCCTTTAAGGTGAGTTTTCATGGCACAAATTACACCTCAGGAAAAAGGCACAACTTCTTGCAAGACAATGACTAAATTTTAGAAGATGAAGATTAAATGGCCAAAGAGCTATAATTACCTCATTATTAAAGATTCTAACATTCAAAAACCAAAGAATTCACTATTGAAACTCCAAGGTAGTTAAGTGACTGATAATTATTTTTCTTCCTTATCTGTATACCTAATGTAAATCAGGGAAAAGAAATTGAGATAGAAAAAAGTCTTAATAACAATTTTGAGGTTCCACAGTAAAAACTTTATCAAGAAAACCTAGTTAGATGATGATATACATACTACTATAGGTGTATAAGTAGCTGGTTGCTACCCCCATGCTCCAAGAGTTCACAAGTGGTTCTTTAATGCATACACTCTTTATTTTGTATTTATTAGAGTATATTTTATATATACATATATAATAGCTTATTTTATACACTCACGGTCCTTAAATTATAATCATTTGCAGCATAAGAGAGTCTTAGTTAGAAGGTTGTCCTTAGATGACACAAGAGTAAATGATACAGTAATAATGGAAGACCAAATTTCAACCGATCTGCGCAACTGAGTCTGCCAAATCTTGCTAAATTTGCTTGATTGAAAATTTCTTCCTCTCTTTCTCTGTGTCCTGTACAATTTCACAAAATAATCCTAAGATTTGGATGCCCATGTGCTGGCAGTATCTTTTAGTGGTTGGTTGTTAAGTTTGATCATATAACCAAATTGGTGAAAGGGATTTATATATATATGTATATATTTAATATTCATATTGAGAAAAGCACAAAGTCATTTCCATTTTCTTAACCTAATAAAATGTAGCTCTCCTTTGGGTTATTGTTCATTCAATAATATAGACTGGACTTTCACATTAGCAGAAATGTTACTGCATCCAATAGATTGTATCTTACTATTCTCTGTCCTTTCCAAAATCATGCTCTGCATGAAACTTTTGGTTTATGGGGGTTTCCCCTCATGACAGTACCAACTTGAATGTGTTCTGTAAAATGTCACATTGTCCAAAACTGGTTTTTCTAGCTTTTGTGAAGATTATATGGTCTGTGGGTTCTGCCTGGTAAGTTTTTGTACATCACCGTACGTCTCTGCTCATGGTGAGCATTGCAGACTGAGAACAGCTCTACCTTTGGTGGTTGTTTTATGTTTCCTCAGTGACTGATTTTTATTAGTTTCAAAAGATAACAATATATGCATGCACACACGCTGATGTTTCTGAAGGGCATTGTGATGAAAGATTAGAATGCTTTTTGCCTTCCTCCTGATCAAACAGTGGGTCTTAGGGAGTATGGGTACATTTACTTTGTCACCAAAAAGAATAAAATCTGTTGACATTGTTACTTGTCACTCATCTTCATTCATTCCTTTTTCTTTTTCAAATTATACTCTAAGTTCTGGGATACACGTGCAGAATGTGCAGGTTTGTTGCACCCATCCGCCCGTCATCTACATTAGGTATTTCTCCTAATAGTATCTCTCCCCTAGCCCCCAACCCCTTGACGGGCCCCAGTGTGTGATGTTTCCCCTCCCTGTGTCCATGTGTTCTCATTGTTCAGCTCCCACTTATGAGTGGGAACATGCAGTGTTTGGTTTTCTGTTTCTGTGTTAGTTTGCTGAGAATGATGGTTTCCAGCTTCATCCATGTCCCTGCAAAGGACATGAACTCATCCCTTTTTATGGCTGCATAGTATTCCATGGTGTATATGTGCCACATTTTCTTTATCCAGTCTATCATTGATGGGCATTTGGGTTGGTTCCAAGTGTTTGCTGTTGTGAACAGTGCCACAATAAACATGCATGTACATGTGTCTTTATAGTAGAATGATTTATAATCCTTTGGGTATAAACCCAGTAATAGGATTGCTGGGTCAAATGGTATTTCTGGTTCTAGCTCCTTGAGGAATCGCCACACTGTCTTCCACAATGGTTGAACTAATTTACCCTCCCACCAACAGTGTAAAAGCTTTCCTATTTCTCCACATCCTCTCCAGCATCTGTTGTTTCCTGACTTTTTCATGATCACCATTCTAACTGGCTTGAGATGGTATCACATTGTGGTTTTGATTTGCATTTCTCTAATGACCAGTGATGACGAACTCTTTTTCATGTTTTTCGGCTGCATAAATGTCTCCTTTTGAGGAGTTTTATATCCTTAACCCACTTTTTGATAGGGTTGTTTTTTTCTTGTAAATGTAAGTTCTTTGTAGATTCTGAATATTAATCCTAAGTCAGATGGATAGATTGAAAAAATTTTCTCCCATTCTGTAGGTTGCCTGTTCACTCTGATGGTAGTTTCTTTTGCTGTGCAGAAGCTCTTTAGTTTAATTAGATCCCATTTGTCAATTTTGGCTTTTGTTGCCATTGCTTTTGGTGTTTTATTCATGAAGTCTTTGCCCATGCCTATGTCCTGAGTGGTATTGCCTAGGTTTTTTTCTAGCATTTTTATGGTTTTAGGTCCTACGTTTACATCTTTAATTCATCTTTTTTGTATAAGGTGTAAGGAAGGGGTTCAGTTTCAGTTTTCTGCGTATGGCTAGCCAGTTTTCCCAACACCATTTATTAAATAGGGAATCCTTTCCCCATTGCTTGTTTTGATGAAGTCAGGTAGTGTGATGCCCCCAGCTTTGATCTTTTTGCTTAGGATTGTCTTGGCTATAATGGGCTCTTTTTTTGGTTCCGTATGAAATTTAAAGTAGTTTTCTCTAATTCTGTGAAGAATGTAATGGTAGCTTGATGGGGATAGCATTCACTCTATAAATTACTTTGGGCTGTATGGCCATTTTCATGATATTGATTCTTCCTATCCATGAGCATGGAATGCTTTTCCATTTGTTTGTGTCCTCTCTGATTTCCTTGAGCAGTGGTTTGTAGTTCTCCTTGAAGAGGTCCTTCACATCCCTTGTAAGTTGGATTCCTAGGTGTTTTATTCTTTTTGAAGCAATGGCAAATGGGAGTTCACTCGTGATTTGGCTGTTTTTCTATTATTGGTGTATAGAAATGCTTGTAATTTTTGCACATTGATTTTGTATCCTGAGACTTTGCTGAAGTTGCTTATCAGCTTAAGGAGATTTTGGGCTGAGATGATGGGGTTTTCTAAATATACAATCATGTCATCTGCAAACAGAGACAATTTGACTTCCTCTTTTCTTAATTGAATACACTTTATTTCTTTTTCTTGCCTGATTGCCCTGGCCAGAAGTTCCAATATTATGTTGACTAGGAGTGGGGAGAGAGGGCATCCTTGTCTTGTGCTGGTTTTCAAAGGAAATGCTTCCGGTTTTTGCCCATTCAGTAAGATATTGGCTGTGGGTTTGTCACAAATAGCTCTTATTATTTTGAGATACGTCCCATCAATACGTGGTTCATTGAGAGTTTTTAGCATGAAGGGGTGTTGAATTCTACTGAAGGTCTTTTCTGCATCTATTGAGATAATCCTGTGGTTTTGTCATTGGTTCTGTTTATGTGATGGATTATGTTTATTGATTTGCATGTGTTGAACCAGCCTTGCATCCCAGGGATGAAGCCAGCTTGATCATGGTGGAAAAGCTTTTTGATGTGCTGCTGGATTTGGTTTGCCAGTGTTTTACTGAGGATTTTCACATCAATATTCATCAGAGATATTGGGCTGAAATTTTCGTTTTTGGTTGTGTCTCTGCCAGGTTTTGGTATCAGGATGATGCTGGCCTCATAAAATGACTTAGGGAGGAGTCCTTCTTTTTCTTTTGTTTGGAATAGTTTCAGAAGGAACAGTACAAGCACCTCCTTGTTCCTCTGGTAGAATTTGGCTGTGAATCCATCTAGTCCTTGAATTTTTTTGGTTGGTAGGCTATTAATTACTGCCTGAATTGCAGAACTTGTTATTGGTCTATTCAGGGATTCAACTTCTTCCTGGTGTAGACTTGGGAGGGTATATGTGTCCAGGAATTTATCCATTTCTTCTAGATTTTCTAGTTTATTTGCATAGAGGTGTTTAAAGTATTCTCTGATGGTAGTTTGTATTTCTGTGGGATCAGTGGGGAAATCCCCTTTATCTTTTTTTATTGCATCTATTTGATTCTTCTCTCTTTTATTAGTCTGGCTACTGGTCTATTTTGTTGATCTTTAAAAAAAAAAACAGCTCCTGGATTCATTGATTTTTTGAAGGGTTTTTTTTGCGTCTTTATTTCCTTCAGTCCTGCTCTGATCTTAGTTATTTCTTGTCTTCTGCTAGCTTTTGAATTTGTTTGCTTTTGCTTCTCTAGTTCTTTTAATTGTGATGTTAGGGTGTTGATTTTAGATCTTTCCTGCTTTCTCTTGTGGGCATTTAGTGCTATAAATTTCCCTCTTAACACTGTTTTAGCTGTGTCCCAGAGATTCTGGTACATTGTGTCTTTGTTCTCATTGGTTTCAAATAACTTATTTATTTCTGCCTTAATTTCATTATTTACCCAGTAGTCATTCAGGAGCAGGTTGTTCAGTTTCCATGTAGTTGTGTGGTTTTGAGTTTCTTAATCCTGAGTTCTAATTTGATTGCACTGTGGTATGAGATATTGTTTGTTATGATTTCCATTCTTTTGCATTTGCTGAGGAGTGTTTTACTTCTAATTATGTGGTCACTTTTAGAATAAGTGCTATGTGATGCTGAGAAGAATGTATATTCTGTTGATTTGGGGTGGAGAGTTCTGTAGATGTCTGTTAGTTCTGCTTGGTCCAGAGCTGAGTTAAAGTCCTGAATATCCTTGTTAATATTCCTGTCTAATATTGACAGTGTTAGTCTCCCACTATTATTGTGTGGGAGTCTAAGTCTCTTTGTAGGTCTCTAAGGACTTGCTTTATGAATCTGGGTGCTTCTGTACTGGGTGCATATATATTTAGGATAGTTAGCTCTTCTTGTTGAATTGATCCCTTTACCATTATGTAATGGCCTTCTTTGTCTCTTTTGATCTTTATTGGTTTAAAGTCTGTTTTATCAGAGACTAGGATTGCAAGCCCTGCTTTTGTTTTTGCTCTCCATTTGCTTGGCAAATATTCCTCCATCTCTTTATTTTGAGCCTATGTGTGTCTTTGCATGTGTGATGAGTCTCCTGAATACAGCACACTGATGGGTCTTGACTCTTTATCCAATTTGCCAGTCTGTGTCTTTTAATTGGGGCATTTAGTCCATTTACATTTAAGGTTAATATTGTTATGTGTGAATTTGATCCTGTCATTATGATGCTAGCTGGTTATTTTGCCCATTAATTGATGCAGTTTCTTCATAGTGTCGATGGTCTTTACTATTTGGTATGTTTTTGCAGTGGCTGGTATCTGTTGTTCCTTATCATGTTTTGTACTTCCTTCAGGAGCTCTTGTAAGGCAGACCTGGTGGTGACAAAATCTCTCAGCATTTGCTTGTCTGTAAAGGATTTTATGTCTCCTTCATTTACGAAGCTTAGTTTGGCTAGATATGAAATTCTGGGTTGAAAATTATTTTAAGAATGTTGAATATTGGCCCCCACTCTCTTCTGGTTTGTAGGGTTTCTGCCAAGACATCCACTTTTAGTCTGATGGGCTTCCCTTTGTAGGTAACCTGACCTTTCTCTCTGGCTGCCTTAAGATTTTTTCCTTCATTTCAACCTTGGTGAATCTGACAATTATATGTCTTGGGGGTTGCTCTTCTTGAAGAGTATCTTTGTGGTGTTCTCTGTATTTCCTGAATTTGAATGTTGGCCTGTCTTGCTAGGTTGGGGGAGTTCTCCTGGATAATATCCTGAAGAGTGTTTTCCAACTTGGTTTTATTCTCCCCATCACTTTCAGGTATGCCAATCAGACATAGATTTGGTCTTTTCATATAGTCCCATATTTCTTGGAGGCTTTGTTCATTCCTTTTTATTCTTTTTTCTTTAATTTTGTCTTCATGCTTTATTTCATTAAGTTGATCTTCAATCTGTGATATCTTTCTTCCACTTGATTCAGCTATTGATACTTGTGTATGCTTCATGAAGTTCTCGTGCTGTGTTTTTCAGCTCCATCATGTCATTTATGTTCTTCTCTAAACTGGTTATTCTAGTTAGCAATTAGTCTAATCTTTTTTCAAGGTTCTTAGCTTCCTTGCATTGGGTTAGAACATGGTCCTTTAGCTTCGAGGAGTTTGTTATTACCCACCTTCTGAAGCCTATTTCTGTCAATTTGTCAAGCTCATTCTCTGTCTGCTTTTGTTCCCTTGCTGGCGAGGAGTTGTGATCCTTTGGAGGAGGTGAGGCATTCTGGTGTTAGAAATTTTCAGTCTTTTTGTGCTGGTTTTTCCTCATCTTTGTGGATTTATCTACCTTTGGTCTTTGATGCTGGTGACTTTTGGATGGGGTTTTCTGTGTCTGGACATCCTTTTTGTTGATGTTGATGCTATTTCTTTCTGTTTGTTAGTTTTCCTTCTGACAGACCACTCTGCTGCAGGTCTGCTGGAGTTTGCTGGAGGTCCACTCCAGGCCCCTGTTGCCTGGGTATCTCCAGTAGAGGCTACAGAACAGTAAAGATTGCTGCCTGTTCCTTCCTCTGGAAGCTTTGTCCCAGAGGGGCACCCGCCAGATGCCAGCTGGAGCTCTCCTGTATGAAGTGTCTGTCCACCCCGGCTGGGAGGTGTCTCTCAGTCAGGAGACATGGGGGTCAGGGACCCATTTGAGGAGGCAGTCTGACCCTTAGCAGAGCTTGAACGCTGTGCTGGAAGATCCACTGCTTTCTTCAGAGCCATCAGGTAGGCACATTTAAGTCTGCTGAAGTTGCACCCGCAACCACCCCTTCCCCCACGTGCCCTGTCCCAGGGTTATGAGCCGCTGATTTGGGCTGCTGCCTTTCTTTCAGAGATGCCCTGCCCAGAGAGGAGAAATCTGGAGACGCAGTCTGGCTGCAGTGGCTTTGCGGAGCTGCGGTGGGCGTCTCCAAGTTCGAACTTGCTGGCAGCTTTGTTTACACCGTGAGGGTAAAACCGCCTACTCACACCTCAGTAATGGCAGATGCCCCTCCCCTCACCAAGCTCGAGTGTCCCAGGTCAACTTCAGACTGCTGTGCTGGCACTGAGAATTTCAAGCCAGTGGATGTTAGCTTGCTGGACTCTGTGGGGGTGGGATCGGCTGAGCAAGACAACTTGGCTCCCTGGCTTCAGCCCTCTTTCCAGGGGAGTGAACAGTTCTGTCTCACTGGCGTTCCAGGAGCTGCTGGGGTATGGAAAAAAAAAAAAAAAAAAAAAAAAAAACTCCTGCAGCCAGCTCAGTGTCTGCCTAAATGGCTGCCCGGTTTTGTGCTTGAAACCTAGGTCCCTTGTGGTGTAGGCACTGGAGGGAATCTCCTGGTCTGCGGGTTGGAAAGACTATGGAAAAGCATAGTATCTGGGTCAAAGTGCACCCTTCCTCATGGCACAGTCCCTCTGGGCTTCCCTTGGCTAGGGGAGGGAGTTCCCCGACCCCGTGCGCTTCCTGGGTGAGGCGACGCCCCACCCTGCTTTGGCTCGCCCTCCGTGGGCTGCACCCACTGTCTCACCAGTCCCAATGAGATTAACTGGGTACCTCAGTTGGAAATGCAGAAATCACTTACCTTTTGCATTAATCTCCCTGGGAGCTGTAGACTGGAGCTGCTCCTATTCGGCCATTTTGCCTGCAATCCAGGATTTATATTTTTAGAGAGTCAGTCCATGATAGATTACCTTGTAGTTTTGTGGAGAGGATGTTATCATCGTTCCTGATTTAGGGGAAAATGCTAAGAAAATAAGTGATTTTCAAAACCTTGCCATGATTCCATCAGTAATGGAGTTTGCACTGGTACTGGGAACCTCCAGGTATTGACTTGAGACCACATGCTTATATGGTGTCAGTTCTCTTCAACGGAAGTGTTTTTAAGCTTTCCAAAATTTCCATAAAAACAAAAATGGATGGTAGTCTTTTTTCTTTTTGAAGAAAATTTTAGCTATCTTTACATAATAGCTGCTTAAGAACTGAAAAATAAAGCAAGGTTAAAATCTGAAGCAAGAGTACTTGTCTCAGGTTCTGTTATATAAATTAAGTGAAAAAAAAAATAGCCATGGTAGGTGGTACACACCTACATAGAAGGCTGAGGCAGGAGGATTACTTGAGCCTAGGGGTCTGAAGCCAGCTGGGGCAATATAGCAAGAGTCCATCTCTAAAAACAATAACAAACTTTAAAAATTTTGAAAAGAATAAAATAAGCATAAATGGGGAGAAATTAATTAAAAGGAGACACTAAAAAATATGTCACTGCTCCCACATCTTCTCTGCACTCCCCCAAGGTACAATATTTTTTACCTCTTCTCACCTTTATTTCCTATGGAATCCAGCCTTAACAATGGAAATTGGAAAAAGCAACTAGACACCATGGAGGAAAAAAAAAGAACAAAGAAATACATTAAGGAACTAAAGAAAGGAAGGAGAGAGGGAGGGAGGAAGAAAGGAAGGGAGGAAAAAAGAAAAATATAAAAGAAAATCTGAATGTAGAATATAAGTGGACTAACTTCCAGAGGTCAGGACCACATGGGCTGAAAACATGTTTAGAACCCGATTTTACAGGAATTCTGCACGTATCTAGAAGGGCTTTTGCCAGAAAACCGTTAAGCTTAACTAACATTCTATTGTGAATGTTTTGTGATATAAGGTCATTTTAGTCCTATATTCAAGGTCAAGAAATGTTTCTTTTTAAAATAGAACGGCACGAATCCTCCTTTGTCAAGCTCATTAACAGAAAATGATATCTTTATACTTTGTCAGTGGATTTCCAATCAATTATCATCTAATGCAAAAATAATCCCAGGAGGTAAGATTAAGTATTGTTTAAATCATGGAACCAAGACCTATAGTCAGACATGACCTCAATAATGCAAATGCGTTTGTGAATAGCTGGGAAGACAAATTCATTTATAACAACAGACGGTGTCAGGAGAAGATTAAAATATATATGCACCACATAGATGAAATAATTGTAATCAGGACAGCAGAATTACAACATTTGGAGAATTTCACTGAATAGCTGAATTTCATGTATAACACAATCAAATTTTCTGCCTCATTCACTCTCACCAGTGTTCGCTTCCTGGATGTTCTGACTAATTTAAACTATGGTTAATTGAAGACTGAAATATTCGGGAAACTATGACAGGAACAATTTGCTACGGACAGTTTCCACCTGTACTCTCAAGACTTAGAAGCCATATGGATAGAATGAAATAGGTGAGATAAATCATATTTCACTAAATGTTTGCCACAAAATTAGAGTTTTTACTTAGGAGAATATAAAGGAAGGGGCTATAAAATACTAAGGTTAAAGCATTTGTTGAAAGATGGTAATATAAATAGATACAAATTTCAGTGTTCACTGGTAGAAAAGATTTCAAGCAATTTCAAAGTTGTAATCCTTGCATTTATGTGTTATTTTCTTATAAAGGGAATTTGCCTGTTCAACTGCACTTTAAAAACCAGTCATTCTTTTCATCATGCTAAATTAGAAAATTTTCCAGGAAAACGTCTTAAATGTATTAAAGTTAGAACTATTTTTTATTTTTTATAAAACAACTATCCGTACTTGGACATTTACAGATTCTCAGTTTTCATACATAGACAGATAATTTGAAAACACTGGATACTACAACCTGTACATTTCCCCACTGACCTCTATGTCCCCATCCCTTTACATTGTAGTTCTGCATTGCTGCCAGGAGACATCAGAACCATTTTTACAATATAAATACACTGGAAGGAAGAGATTCCTGTAGAACATTAACAGAAAATGATATCTTTATTAATATGTCTTTGCTATATGTATCTTTGTAACAATGTAATATATCTTTGTAACGGTGATATCTTTGTTAATTCCTACTACTTAATGTCAAGTTAATGTCATAGGACACTTAATTTCCCCAGGCAGTGTCATATCTTTGACCAAAAGGGATGAAAATATCAAATGTTAGACCTGGAAGTAACCTGGGGGTATCCGGGGGAATAACCTCATTATGCAAATAAAGAGCCGCAGTGGTCCATTGACTACTTCTCACAGCTGACGAGTGAATATTCTCCAGGATCCCATCATTCTCGGCCCATCTCGCCCATCTCAAGTCATTTTTGCCCTCTCCCCACGTGCAGTCAGAAGACTGGAAGTGGAGGTGTGAGCAGTAGATAGAGCAGTTTATAAGACAATGTTAAGACCATGATGAAAAGACATTAGAGGAAGCAGGAAAAAAGAATATGCGACACTTAGAACAGGTAAGTGTGCTTGCCCCATCAAGCCAAGCACAGCTGTCCCTCCCCTAAGGTTAGGACCTGGCTATGTTTGTCCTATGTTCTTTCTACCTCTATGGCCTCTCTGGTGATTTAAAGGCACATTCTCTCTCCATCTCTGTCTGTTTCTCTATGAGATTATTTTCACTTTGACCATTGCCCTCATTTATTTACCCCCAGCATAATGACAACAGATTGAGAGTTAAAAATAAATCCCTTGTTTGCAATCTATAAAAAAAAAAAGCAGTTAAATTTAAGGATGGGTCAAAAAGAGAGATGATATCGCAGGTATTTTTTAAATTAGCGTTTTAGATATTTTAACCAATCACCTTTCCTTTAACTCAACTGTAGTTTCAGCTAAGGAAGTTAATGAAACAGATAGATGGGTATTTCCTGATCTATTTATTTTTCCTTTTTTTTTTTTTTTTTTGTAGGAATTGGTGGTGTCTTGGAATATCTGCTTCAGGACGATAATGAAACTAATGATTTAGGGCAGTAGAAGAAGCCGTGGGAGGAACTTTCACATTTGGCGAGGCAAGTACAATTTTGTTAGGGCTTTTTGAAACTGCATTTGAAAACTTGCTTAGCGGTTTTGTGATTCATGGTATATATCAAATTTTATTGAAAAGCTGTCAGTGAACAGGATGAGAAGTTCTCTTTTAAATACAGTCAGAGGCATTATAAAAACTAGCAATTCTAAACTTACTGCAAAATAAAAATTACCCGAAAGAACTGTCCTTCTAGAGTGCTTACATGCTTCTCTTATCAGTCAGCCAGGATTAATGATCAGTTCAAAAGTCTTCATATTGTTTTGTCCATCCGTCCACCTGTCTGTCCATCCACCCGATGGCTATTGTGTGCAGGATTTCATGCTAAGTAATATGTGAAAGTATTCTAGGCACGCTACAGCAACAGCTTGCTCACACGCTTCCTCTGTCTTCAGATAAGTCTTAAGTCCTTGATGACTTTTTAATAAAATACGCTACAGAGAACGTAAGGACGAAACATATTCCTAGCAGAGTGAAATATGTGTAAGTTATTAAATTAAGGCTCAACTACGTCTGAATTTTTAGTGCTATATGTTTTAAATTGTTTTAAGTGAAAACACACTAATAGATTTCCTTTATAAAAAGTTCAAATATTCCAGACAAAGCAAAAATATCCTTTCTAAGCAGGGTGTCTGATATGTGTCCTTCCAGACTGAAACATATACATACTCTTGGTTTTTTAATCAATAGACTCACATCATATATGTTGTGCTACATCCAGCTTTTTGCACTTAATATGTCTGGGAGATATTTCCTTTATTGTTACAGTTGTCCCAGAAATCTCTCTGTGGTTGCTAGGGAATGTACCTTTATCTTTGGTTTTAACAGTCATATTCATGTGTCAGGCAGAAATAGAAGGTATGATAATATAGATCTTGCCTAATAGTGAATATCGTGAAACAACTGTGCAGGGATTGCCAATGTTTGGTGGTTTTCTTTCTAAATTTTTGCTCACTTCTATTAAAGGGTTGAAGCATTAGCAGACAAAACTCTAAATATAGTTGGCCTGCACTGGAAGGTTAAAAGTGCAGTTCTCCTAATAGAGTTCTTATAATCACTAAGGAAAACACCATCTGAACTTTATAGCGACCAACAAATCAGGTTAGGACAGGTAATTCAGACACTCTAGCCATGAATTCTAAGGTGGATGATAGAGGCTATACCATAATCTTTCTCTCTCTGGGATAGAATGACTTTCATGGCTAATTAGTTCTATGGCCGAGAAGGTCAACTTTCTGGATGTTAGAACAAGCACATTTGTAAAAGAGAAACCATTTTAAACCCAGCAATAGTGAGTGCAAACTTATTTCAGTACTTTTTCTCCTCTTTGCAGATGATTAATCCTATTTCTGTTTCACCAACTTATTTTATGATGAAATCTTAATTATTTTCTAATAAATGACTGGGAATGCAGGAAGCTAGCTGGCCCATTTCCTCTGTTAGGTTTTTTTTCCCTTTCTCTGCACACTGGTGAAAAGACGTTGATGCATAACTTCTAGAGATGCCATGGTTATTTATGTCATTATAAACAGCTTATTCTAACTGGGACCCCACAGCCACAAGGAAAAACATACAATTTTATTTACAAAGAAGACTGAACCCATTTTAACTTCTGTATCAAATGCTCTGAGTAGGTTGGCTTCGATAGTCATGTTCAGTCCTGGGTAGAATGTGGTCTCATTATACAACTTCACCACCAAATCCTAGTTCTCGATGTTATCCAAAGCTGCCTTCTTCCTCAAAGACCTCAGTCCCCTCCCAAAGCCCAGGGGAGCGTAAACAAATCCCTCTCTCTCAGGGTTACATGAAAAGCCAAGTCATCATCCAACACAATAAAATAAGCTGGTGAAGGAAAGAACCAATCAAATCTCTTTGATTCTGGACTTAGGGAAAGCACTTAGGAAACCTCATAGTCTGCCCGTCAGAGGGGAAAAAACGCTCCAATTAAATGGGAACAGTACTCATTTTAAGCACTCTAAAATGTTAAGATTTAAAAAATACAGTGCTTAACGTTCTGTAGAGCTACAACAAAGAATATGCTAACCTTGGTATTTACACACCAAGCTTCTGCCAAGCCATTTTATAATGTACCTTAGAAAAATTTCATGCTTTCTCACAAAAAGACACCCCCTCCCTCCCCTGCTGTTGGCCTGCACGTTCCCAGGCATGTGAATTGCAATCCTTTTGAAGTCCAGTGATGCTGGTAGCTTGAAGGGAAAGCTCTTGCCAATAATATTGTTGCTCCTGATGCTCAGAACTGTTGCTGCTGAATGGCTTATTTTCTATCTTGATATTTTCTCTATATGACTTTGGCTGAATAGGCCACTTTTTCGTCAAGCTAGTTTCATGTGTGTTGTCTGTGTTCTAGAAAATGGAATTAACTACCACTTTCTAGTTCCATTTCCATGATCTTTACCTAAACAACACCCTCTCGTTAATAAAACATTATGCCTTTGCATTCCATTAAAACCCATTATTGGGAGTTTAAACTATTGATTCTGAATATATATATATATATATATATATATATATATATATATTCTACTTTTTGTGTGGCTGCAGAAATACTTTGCTATTACTCTAATTATATGCTGGAGTTAGAATCCTTCCAGCTAGTTAAGGTTGGAAGGATTCTAGTTATGCTGTCTACTGTATTCTTCTTTGTAGCATAACTAGAGTACTGTCCACTGGAGTGAAATAATAGAAGCAGAAACTCAGATTTAAAAAGAAAGGAAACAGAGAAAGAAAGGTTTTTAATAAAAATTTACTTATTTAGAGATGGGGCCTTGCTCTGTCACCCAGGCTGTAGTGCAGTGGCAGGATCATAGCTCACTGCAGCCTCAAACTCCTGGGCTTAAGTAATCCTCCCACCTCAGCCTCCCAAATAGCTGGAACTGCAAGTACCTGACACTATGCCTGGCTAACTTAAAACATTTTTTTGTTTAGAGATGGTGATCTTGCTGTTTTGCCCAAGTTGGTCTCAAACTCCTGGCCTCAAGCCATCCTTTGTCCTTGGCCTCCTGAGTAGTTTGGATTACAGGGATGAACCACTGTGCCTGGCTAGAAAGATTTTAAGAATAGCTTAGAACAGCACCAAAAAATGCAATTATTAGAATTTAAAACTTCAGAGTTTAAACAGAGATCTAAGAGACTGTCTGGTTGACCCCTTTATTTTACACATTAAGAGAAATTATAGAGACATTAAAAAAAAACTCTCTTAAATCCCATAACTGGGTTAGTACTAGAGGGGACCAAACCTGCTACTTGATTCAGTCAGAGATCTTCCAAATTTACACATTCAATATGGGAGGCAAAATTTTAAAACTCAGCTGTGGGACAAACATACTGCCTTAAATTTTTTTTTAAATTTTTAAATCTATGGAAAATGTGTCCTAAATATATAATTGTAATATTAAGAATAGCTCTCAAAGTTCTATTTATGTCGATTACATAAATGATACACTCTAAAAAACATTTATGAATACGCATTACCATTATTCGTGGTGTCTCAGATCTCTGATGAGTATGGTTGTGTGTGTATCTGTGTAAGTACACAAATACCTTTGAGAGAGAATGGAGAAAATGGATTCAGGTACAATCAGAATCTCCCAAACTGTCTATTTCTGGCAACCACTTTGACAAGGATAGCTTTTTGAAGTTTAGCAGTGTTTGCTCTCTTTCTCTAGTTGGTGATTATATATTCAATGGCAATTTAAATGGGAAGTAGGGATGTAGGGCCAGTTAATTTATGTGTTGCAATTCATCTTTCTACCTATCAATCTGGTTGTGTTTAGGGGAACAATAAGCAGTACCTCTTTGTCCTCCCAGTTTCTGTACAAAATGAGAAATGAAATAGAAGAGCTAGGAGAGGAAAAGCAGCTGGTAGAGCTCTATGTCCATGGAAGGAAACAAGGAGTTGGGGAAGAACATTGCCACTTTTCTTACACATATTGACCTCCTGCTGTGGTCCAGGCACTATGCAAGGGACAGAAGATACAACAATCCTTGCCTTTTAAGAGCTCAAAGGAAAGCGGATGAATTAGATTTACAATAAATACTTATGGTACTATGTATTAAGTGCTGTAATAGAGACATGCAAAAAATCTAGGACCATAAGCTCTAGAACGTTGAACTGTGTCTGGAAATAACCATGTGTGCCCTGGGAAATGGGCAGTGTTCTTTGAGATGTTCAGCTTTACGTTTGTGTTTTCAAAAGGCTAGACATTTTCTGATGCTGGGAGAGGGTATCATCTATGTTTGTTTCATTTTGGAAATGTGTACCTATGTTCTTGCTTGCAAATAGAAAGTATTTTTATAATTAAAAATATTTATAAATAAATATTAATAAATATCTTCTGTAGGTTAAGAATTTCCCATGTTCGCATTATTTCTTTTTACCTTCTTTCCTGTGAAAGAGAATGAATGAGTTCAAACCGATTTCTCAGTAGCAATAAGGAAAGAATAACCTCAATTCAGTATTCTGAACAAGAACTCCAATTAGTTTAACAATTGAATCAACCAGTTCCTTTAAGATTTTCATTTGCTCATTGGCGTTGAAACTAAACATTGGTTTTGACATTCCTTAAATATACCCTACTCCTACTGTACTATATACCATATTTTTTCACATGTTCTTTATATTACTGTAAGCATGCCAGAGCTCAAAATTAATATTTTTAGTATTCTATTCAGCATTGTGGTGCCTGGCATGTTGTGTGTGCCCAGCATATTTTGAAAATAACCTAGAGTTTAATTAATTCACCGGAAAGTGCCATTTGAATCAGCAACCTGTACCATACTTGAAGTGAGAAGGAGAACTTCCTCTGGGATCCTGGACTCAAAAATTTTTTTAACACCAAGTTGCCCTTTCCCAGGTTGCCAATGTCTAGTGTGGTCTAGGAAATAAAGGGGCAAGTGACCTATTTGTTGGACTTTTAGACAGTTCCTTCTGAGGATCCTGTGGTTTTGAGTGTCCCAGACCCTGGGCGGTTGGCACAGCATCAGCATTGCCAGTGTGTGAAGTACTGACTTGAGGCTATGTAGATACATTTGCCTACTAGGTTAGTTTGAAAAAAGCGATTTAACCTTGTATGTAGTTAAAATACCATATATTTCTAACTTAATAGCTTTCTGCTACTGTAATTTTTGTAGTACTTGTATTTTCAACTACATAAATAAATTGGCTGTGATGGGCTATCCTAGGAACTTAACTACCAATTATAATATTGTTTCTGTGGAAATATAGATTTTTGAGTTCTAAACAATAGCCTGATAAATGAACGTTTGGAACATAATCCTTCTGTAGGTTAAGAATTTCCCATGTTTGCATTTTTATTATTTCTTTTTACCTTCTTTCCTATTATCTCTTTCCAATGCTGAGGTCTAATGGTGATTGAGTGCGATTATAAACACACTATCTAGCTGCCATTCTTTTGAGGTAGCAGATACTAAAATAGCATGATATAATATAATGGGACATGGAGATAATAGCTACACATTTCCTACTTTTCAGCAGTGGCAGAAAAATAATTGAGGCGATATTTGTGAATACTAGGAAGAAATGTGCTATACTGAAATCTGAATGTCATTATTCTCCCATACGCTGTATGAGGAAGAAAAATGTAAACATCATTATTGTTCTTCTCACTCCTTTCATTTGAGACTGAGTGAGCTTTCAGAGCCCTTTATTCTGAACAATCTAATTGGGCATTTCTCAAATACCTATGGATGGTAGCTTCTATAATCCCATTGCTTTCATGTGTGAAATGTGTACAGTATTTGTAAATTTAACAAGATAGGGAAAAAATCAGTTTCAACCCCGGGGGAAAATAACTATCAAAGGCAAGCAAGATGCATTCCTCGACAAGAAGCTTGTAAAAGCAGAAGGTCTGTTTAAGAAACGTTTTGCCACATGAGGAGGCTGGCTAGGTGGTGGGAGGGGATACTTAGAGATCTACTGACCTTCTCCCTCAATAAGCTCTTGACATAGATGACCATACCCAGGGAATATTAGCAAATGTGGGGTGTATTTAGCATGTTCTGCAAACATGGGTTATTTAACCTTTCCCATCTGCCTTGTTCTTTCTCTCCAACTAGAAGCAATAGCAAAGCTCTGGCAAAGGCTGGCAAGGAGAAAAATAAAAGCTGAAACTTCTAATCAAACCTCTAATCAGAAAGATGACAACTAGTGAAGATTATTAAATTTTCTTTGCTTCCTTGATGAATTTAATAAAGAACTAATCAAAGATCATTAGAAGGCTTTTGTGCCTG
Source organism: Homo sapiens (assembly GCF_000001405.40). Classification (NCBI taxonomy): domain Eukaryota; kingdom Metazoa; phylum Chordata; class Mammalia; order Primates; family Hominidae; genus Homo; species Homo sapiens. The sequence continues at coordinate 36,172,129 of NC_000014.9, forward strand.
GCTTGCATTGTAGCTGGATTGCAATCTGAATTTGTGTTTTAGTGGGCTTCCAGGGGTTGGGTTGGACATGTAAATATATTAAAAACTATAGAAGGTTAGACAGTTTTTAGAATTTTTAGTTAATGTAAAAGCCCATGAAAATGTATTAGCTATTTATTGTGCTCATCTACTCTGCCAACTAAAAATATAGGATTTTAATTTTGATCTTTAGTAATTAGAATTTAAAAATTTGTATCAGTGTCTAGCTCAAAAATTTTCTAATGATCTTTGATTAGTTCTTTTCTTAAATTAACAGGAAAATAAAAAATGGTATCATTTAATTTCTAGAGCATAAAAATATGTAAATAACTCTAACTACCAGAGCCACTAGAAATTTATAGAAAATTATAGAAATATCTGAAGAGGTTTCTTATCCTCCCTCCTCAATTCTGAACATTTGCCTAATGTTCCTTGTTTTCAAATGATCTCCCCATAGCCTTCCAACTTTAAGTACTACATTTTAAATACTGCATTTATAGTGTCTCAAACTATGCATTTTGATTTCCTGATTTATGACCCATGTATCCCATCCATTTCCAGTGCTCAGTTTTTCAAGCCCCATTGTCTGGTTGGTCTAATGCAGTCTCCTCCTCACTCTCCCCAAGCACAGATTCCCAGTAACTTAGGATTTCTGTCAATTATTACATTCTCCCATCTCAAAAAGCCTCCCAGCCCTCTGAATTTATGACATTTGGTTTTGATTTGTTTTAGCTGCAAAATACCTCTGTGATCATAAAGTAATTGGCTCTTGTTAACATAAAAACTTAAAACTTGCTTTGTTTTTTTTTTAAGTATTGGTTATATACTTAATAAAGTAGTTCTTAGGTTCTCACCTATCTTTTTCTGCCAGAATAGAAAAAATTATTCTGGAATTACCAGAACAAAGGCAACAAAAGAAATAGTAGGCCCTTTTATCAGATTCCGCAGATAAACTTTAATTAGTCTTGTGCTATCTATTTATAGCAAAATTAGGTATTTAAAGGCAGTAACTCAAATCTGAATACATATTACAGGAAATCTATTTCTGTAGTAGTTCCTACATTTCTTTTTTATGAGTTAAAACATTTCATGACTATTTAAAGTATATAGAAGAATTTTAAAAAATGTACAGAGATGGGTAGTGTAAAACTCTACACATATTAGATGAGTCAGACTCTTTCACTAAGTACTGGTAGAGGCAATCAACACTGTAACTCTGAATCATAGCCCTCTTTTGGACAAAGGAAAAGTAGCTCGGAGCTCTGAGACTAGACTCTGAGCTGTTCACATTCAATGCTGAATTAAATGTCAAATTTCCAGACAACCTTGGAAAAGAATGCTTTAATTTAAAAAACTTTTAGCTAACTCTCAGCACCATTCTACTTACAAGGGCCAAATATTAAGACAGTTAACTCTTAGGTAGAAGTGACTTGAAATTAAGTCTATAGGAACTTCAGTTCTATAATGATATCTATCTTCAGCACAGTCCTGAAGACGTTTGTCTAAAACTGTTCATGTTTCTGATGAAGATGCTGCCTATCTTATTTAACATTCCTGGTGCCCTTTGATCTTGGAGATTTAAATTTCTCTTTCACCTGAAAGACATCTTTCAGGCAGTGCAGGCAGGCTGGAAACGAATTCTCTCAGCTGTTATTCTTCAGCAAATGTCTTTATTTAACTCTTGTTTACGGAGGCTCTTTCTGCTGGATATAAAACTGAGATGACAGTTTTTTCTTTCAGTACTTTAAGAAAGTCATTTCATTGTCTTCTGGACTCCATTGTTTCTGATGAGAAGTAAGTGATCATTCTTGTTTTTGTCCCATTGTATATAAAGTACCTTTTTTTTCTCTTTGGCTGCTTTTAAGATTTTTTTTCTTTATCTTGGTTTTCAGCAGTTTAGCTCTAACGTGCCTAGGTGCAGATTTCCTTGTATGTGTCCCGTGTGGGTTCGTTGAAATTCTTATATGTGTAAGTCAGTGTTTCTCTTCAAATGTGGGGAGTTCGGGGCCATGATTTCTTCCAATTATTTTTGCCTCAAATTATTTTCTTCTACTAGGACTCAATTACCTGTAAGCTAGGCTGCTTGATATTATCTCCTTGAAACTCTGCTTATTTTTCTTCTCTCTACTCTCCAGATTCAGGCATGTCTATTGGTTTGTATCTAAGTTCATTGACTCTCTATGTTAAGTCTGATCTGCTGTTAGGCTCAATTTTTATTTCAGTTACTATACTTTTCAGTTCTAGAATGTTCATATAGTTGTATTTGTAGTTTCCATTTATCTGCTGTTTTCCATTTGATTACTCATTAAGATCATATTTTTGAGTCTTTTAATGTGATTTTTATTTGTATGTCTAGTGATTAAATAGTGAACACTGTGGACAACACACTGTAGATAGTCTAGATTCTGTAGTCTTCCTCTAAAAATGGTTGTTTCATATTTGAGGTGGCAGTTCATTTAATGGCTTATTACTTTAACTTGTGTAGACTTAGTGTTTTGCATTGCTAGTATAGATCTGTGGACAGTCCAAGGTGTTTTCAAGATCTTCTAACCTTTCAGTAGTCACTTTCCAAACTGTGTCTCCTGTATAAATCTTGTCGGGGTTTGGTTTCAGGCTTTGTTGGGGTGAGTCTAGAGTTGGTCTTTCTCAAGGGGCATATTCCTTAATCCTAATATGTGCACTTTGTGGTGTCTCAGAGCTGGATGTCAGGAGTTTTAACAAGATGTTAATAAATCTCTCCTCTCTGGCAGGGCCAGAACTCTGACATCTCTGCCACTGCTTTTCCCCAAGCACTGCTCAACCTCTAGAATCTTGGTTCCACTTTCAACTGCATAGCATCTGACATCTAGTAAAGCTCGGGTCGCCTCACACTGCACATGTACAATCCAACTCTCAGTCACTGATTTGCAGGAGATCCCTGCTGGATTCTGGGGTCCTCTCTCTCTACATAGCTCCCTCCATTCAGGCTCCATAGTTTCTACTTGCTTCAGTTACCCTGAACGCTGATGTCTGCCTCCCCAGCTCAACAGGACTGCCATGCTCTGCTCAGACTCCAGGTCTCTGTACCATGGTCAGGAAATTGTCTCCAGGCACAGAGCTGAGGCAATCATGTAGCTTACCTCATGCACTTCCCTTCTCTCAAGGAGCACAGCCTTACAGTGCTTGTTATCCACTGCCTGAAATCGGATGCTTCACATATTCTGTCCCGTTTTAGAGTAGTTTTGGGCTAGTACAGTATCAGTCATCCCATTATGGTTAGAGATGGAAGTTCAGGAGTCAGTATCTTGATTTCAACCCTACCTGAAATCACATTTCCACGTTGGGAAGAACATAAGAACCACAGCACTTTCTATGAAATGTCATAAAATAGGTCCCAGCCAGTTGCAAAAACTCAAAAGTTCATGTGGCTTAAAATCATATAGGCTATGCCTAGCAAAATGCCCGATATGCCCGACAGAAGCATGTAGTTTTATAAATTATTAAGTCATTTGCTGGATACAGAAAGAAAGGAGGAAGAACCCACTCCTTAGAGTTATGACTTATCTACCAATTAACTCTATGATCTTGGGCCTACAGCTATATTTAACTTGTCTTTGGGATCACTGGAGTAACTTCATTGAACACTAAGAAAACCTAGTTAGAAATTTGTATTTGTAATTTGCTTTGATTATGTCCTCTGAAAGATACTTTCCAAAATGAGACATGATTGTTGTGGTTTTCTTCCAGAATTAAACAGGTTTCCAAGTTGGCAACTGGGATGACAACTTGGGAGGGCTTCTCCCAATTTCAGAAAGAGCTTTATTCCCATAAGTGTATTAAATTCATGTAGAAAGAAAAGAACCAACAACAGAAGACAAATGTGGGTAGCAAATAGCAGTTTGGGAGTGTCAAGGAGGTGGGAGAAGGACTTTCAGTTAAGAAAACGATACAAATACATACATATGTACATAATGTCATGTGAGTGATTAAACTGTCCTTTCTCCAGAGAGCAATATTAAGGTTTTCAGAGGCCAAAACAGTATACTAATGCAATATAATTATACCTTTGGGTGAAACATCAAAGATGCAATGAGTGAGAGCTAAGGAGGCTACAACCCAGCTGAAATGCCATTATTTAATGAAAGACCAACAGATGCAACAAGAACACTTACCACCATGGTCTAGTGTTCCCTCTCAGTGCAGTCTTAAGCCTAATTCCTCTTCTGCTTGGCCTTTGACCTGGTCTCTCCAGTTGACTTTTCCACAACAGTCTTCACTCACAGGCAGAGTAGAAATGGGATGCAAGAAAAACAACAGGTCCCAGATCACTTTTTTCCTCTTTCTCTATTCCTCTTTCAGTTATGAATTCTGTTTTGCTTTGGAGAAGAAAAATGCGATCCCCCTGGATATTTTTTCTGGGCCATCACCAATTTATCCTGTTCCCCCTACCCACCCCTGCCAGTATTTTATACTTTACTCTTCAAAAACTTGAGATGTCTTGAGTACTGAGAAGTCTGAAGGAGTTTGTACTGGGGCCTGGCCTCCGATATTTCTGCTGGATAAGCTATTCCTTCATGCCTGACGGTGAATGTGCGTTATGGACTTGCCCAAGGAATTTCTGGAACTGGGCCTGCAAGTCTGTTTTAGATTAATGCAAATGGGATTTGGGGTAGCTGTGCCTACAAATATCCTGCAAAGATATTTTGTATCAAAATGACAATATTAAGATGAATCAACTCAATGAAGTCTTTGGGTACCGCAAAAATGTTGAATGTTGCATAATCACTTTCTGTTGATCTTTTTCTTATTACTATTATATGTGAATATACACGAGGCTTCCTGCCTTCATTGCCACAATTTAATGGGACAAACTGCAGGCACACAGTCCTTCCTCACTTTCTGTGCCCATTTCTCTGACATACATCATTGCTGAAGTCTGTTGTTTAAGCAGTGAAAAAAACATGTAATGTTTCATATAAGGATTATCCATAAAACCCCAAAGTCCTTAACTCTTCTGTCCTTCTGAGGCCATCCTTTTCTTTAACAGCCATCCCCTAAATTGTGGGAAGTCTAACGTGTTCTTCAATTTTCCAGCAGATTCTAGAGTTGAGACTTGGTTCTTCCCATTTTTCTCTTGCTCCTGACTTTTTCAATTTCTTCCCTCCATCTGCCCACTGCCTTTCCAGGCTGCCCCAGCCCATTCTAGTTTGCTTTGCTTCAAAATATGGACTCACCACCCTTTTCTTCATGATAATGCTCTTGTGATTAGCAGTGTGTTATTGTATTTTCTTGTTTTATATGAGCAATGTAGAGGAATGATAGCACAAAACATGGACTGACTTAAAATTGAATCCTGGTCACACTATTGCTAAAGTTTTCTGAAGTCTCCCCCTCGAGGAGTCCTTACTGGTGGCACTCTCAACTGGGTATTTCTGGGGCCTGCTCCCTGGACTCTAAGAAAGCTTTTTGTTTTCAATGTCTCTCTCTCATGGTCTGACCTTCCTCAGCCCTGCAGTGGTGGGTGGAACCCACTCCAAAATTCCTGTGACTTGATGGTGCAGAGAAACTTGGCTCTCTTTCAGGCTGACCCTCTCCTACCCAGACTCTCCTGGGGTCCACCCCCACACTCAGAAAAGCCCACTGAATGCTTTCCCAACAAAAGAGCAGTTTGCTCTTTAAGAGGAATTCTGCCACCCTCTTAGAGCAACCAGTTAAAATGACTGTCAGCTTACAATTTTTAGTTATAACCAGAGTTTCTCTAAGTTTGCAAAATGTTTTAAATAAAGCAATTTGACAGAAGATTTAATAAGGTGATAGACAAAAATGGGGGGTCCTGTTGTCAAGAGTGGTAATTCTAAATGAGGCAGGAAAAGTTATGGATAGAAGAAAAAGAGTTTGTGATTTACTGTTTCTTCCAGTGACCTCCGCAATGTGTGGAAGAGAATAGGTTAGACAGGCAGCAATAATTATCTCACTTGTAGCTTCTCAAAACCTGGAAAATAAGGCAAGGTCTGGTGGCTCATACCTGTAACCCAGTCCTTTAGGAGGCAAAGGCAGGAGGATCTCTTGAAGCCAGGAGTTCAAGACAAGGCTGGGTAACATCAAGAGACCCTCTCTCTACCAAAAATAAGAAATTGGTCAGGATAGTTGTGCGTGCCTGTAGTCCCAACTACCCCAGAGGCTGAGGTGGGAGGATCACCTGAGCCTGGGAGGTTGAGTCATGATTGCACTATTGCACTATTGCCTGGACAACAGAGCAAGACCCCATTTCAAAAAAAACAAACCTAGAAAAGAAAGCTATTCTAAATTGAAGTAACCAAGGAGCAGAGCCATAATCCACAGAGAGAGACACAGGTTCAACAGAGGCTGTGGAAAAGCAATTCCAAGCAACTTCTCATATTCCAGGAACGCAACTGAGGCCTGGGGAGCCAAAAGGCTGCTCTCAGAGGCAGGCACATTCCAGGTGTCACCTTAGGATTCCACTCGGGACCATGATGGCCCTGGGAGGGAGGGGAATGGGCTTTGCAGACTTAGACTTGACTGCATGACATCTACATCTTCAATGTTATTCTACACTGTTTAATCGGTGTAATAAATGGAACTTCCAATATTACAATATTCTAACATTCTTCGAATATTACAATATTCTAACATTCTTCGAATATTACAATATTCTAACATTCTTCGAATATTACAATATTCTAACATTCTAAGTTCCATTATTTTGCCAATTAAAAAAACTGTGTGTTAAGAGTGCTTTTGTATTTCAGGGGTTCCTGAGGACACTGAGAAAGGGAAATATATCATATGGCAATATTCCATAAAATAAATTACCTGGAGACAGTATAAAAATTTGCAAGGATACAGACACAAGGCATGTAATTATTATAAATATATAAAGAATGTATGACTACTTTTAGATATAATCACCTAATAAATTTCAAGATTGCCTTATTAACTATCTATTTGTGTTTGTATACATTGTATCATTTAAAAATAGATATGAAATAGTACTTAACAATAAAAGGTTTGTAATAAGGTTTTTGGAATCAGAATAAAGAAAAACTTTTGTCCTACTGAGGATAAGTTGTTCAATACAGTGAAGTCACATGCACATGTCTTGCTTTGGATTTACTTTCTCCCAGTTCTTACAATATCACCAAATAACAAAAATTTCTACTTACGACTTTACTTTCCTATACGTTGTCAGTTGAATTATTTTTCTGTATATTTCCACAATGTGATAAATATTTTTCAGGTTTAGGAAAAAGTCATTTAAAGCTGTTAAAATTTAAAAAGAAATCTATTCATAGCATATACTTAGTCTAATTGCCTTAAGACTCTTCTGGGACATGTAGCAATGTAAAATGGTGGATGGATAGCGGTGTACGTCTTTTCAGCAGGATAGTCTTGCAGGATGGTGGTAAAAAATAGGCAAAGAGACATACACCAAATTTTTTTTTATGAAGAAGCAGCTGCAGATTTATTGCTTTTAAATATGTAAATTTTAATTAAATCACATGTACAAAGATAGTATATATTTTTGCATTCTTCTCCTGGCCATGGACAATAGAACTCTACATTCTCCAGCCTTTGGACTCTGGGACTGGCACCAGTGGCCCCGCAGGTTCACAGGCCTTTGGTCTGAGACCCAGAGTTACACCATCAGCTTCCCTGGTTCTCAGGCCTCCAGACTTGGACTGAGCCGTGCTAACAGACTTCCTGGTTCTCTAGCCTGCAAATGGCCTATTGTGGGACTTCACAGTCTCCATAATTGTGTGAGCCAATTCCTCTAATAAATTCCTTCTCATATGTCTATATCCTGTTGGTTGTGACTCTCTGGAGAACCAACAGGATTCTGACTAATAATATATTTGTAACTTGCAATTTAATTTGGTTGAAAGATAGTCATTGCAGATTTGTAATAGCTGGGAATTTAAAATAATCTAATGTCCATTCACAGGCTAATTATAGAACCATATATACCTCACAATCTCATTTTTATAAAAATCATGTAGTTTTATAAACAGAAATAACTGAAAAGCTATTTGTCAATCTGTTAATGATGTCACTATAGAGTGGGACTGTGGGAGACGTGCTTTTCTGCCAGTGTATTTTTCAATTATTTGAATCTTTTACAAAGTTTTATACTACTTTTATAATCAATAGAAATCGTGCACATACTCATTTTGGGAACTTCAATTGCCTTGACTACTTTCTGAATAGGAAATAATAAAAAGCAAATAGTTCATTCTTATGTGTAGAACTGGGTAGTGCATGGCAGTAATCAAAACAATCCAAAGGCAAAATGACATATGTCAAAGACTGGTGCTTATCTTGAGTGGTGGAATGATAGGTGAATTTTATTATTAATATTTTTGCTTTGTGCTTTTCTGTGTTTTCCCAGTATTCTGTATCAAGCACGTAATGCTTTTGCAATTAGCTGGAAAGCTAGAGTGTAAATGTTGCAGATGCAAGCAGAAAATGAGAAAGCTTTCAAATAAGACTACCCTCTTCTCTGTGCTAACCTCTCTTAACCAGGGCTATATCCTCCAAAAATATAAAAGCATTAACTTGACCTTCAGCAGCCCTTGTTGTACAGTTACACTTTTTCTAGCTCCTACCTGCTAAAATAATCTTTCAGCCCACAATGAGAGATTAGGACCTCAGGTAAACAGACCTGGCTGGGTCTGATTCAGGAAGAATCCAGGAACCCGCTTTGCTTAATAAGTCACCATGGTATGGCTGTTAGAGTGAGGCTGTATTGTGCTTTGCTGGCAATTGCCGGCTAATTGAGCCTCACCTTTTTTTTTTTTTTTTTTTTTTTTTTTTTTTTTTTTTTTTGAGACAGAGTCTCATTTACTCTGTCACCCAGGCTGGAGTCTGGAGTGCAGTCGTGTGATCTTGGCTCACTGCAACCTTCTCCTCCTGGGTTCAAGCGATTGTCCTTCCTCAGCTGCCTGAGTAGCTGGGACTACAGGTGTGCATCACCACACCAGGCTAATTTTTATATTTTTAGTAGAGACGGGGTTTCACCATATTGTCCAGGCTGGTCTCAAACTCCTGACCTCAAGTGATCCACCCACCTTGGCCTCCCAAAGTGCTGGGATTACAGGCGTGAGGCATCGCACCTATCCTTAACTGTAATCTTAAAGAGAGAAACCAGGAAAGACAATTCTCAAACGGAACTTAAACTCTCATCCCCTCCATGGGTTTGTCAGTGTGGCCAGTACAAAGGGTGGTTGGTCAGTCAGAGCCAGTACGAAGGTGATTAGTCAAAACGATTTTCTGAGTGATTGTCTGAGAGAATGACCAAGCCACCTCCAAGGCTACGATCCTACTTGGGGATCAAGAGTTAAGCGCCATGGAAGCCCAAGCTGCAGTGTGCACTGTTTGCCATGTCTACGGGAGCAGGCACCATTCATATATGTGTTAAAAGCAAGCTGGTCACTGTGCTAAAGCTGACGGCTCTCGTGTTTGAGGAACACATATCTCATGACTTACACAAGTGGAAAAAAAAAAGAAAAAAGAGTTCCTCAGTAGAAGACAAAAGGAAGTGCTGTAAGTTCAAGTCAATGAGGAAAAGGAGACTGGAAGTTAGTGTTCAGAAGAGGGTGGTGATGAGGAGAAGTCTTCTCTTAGGGAGTAAGTCTGAGCTTCCCTGATCTGTGTAGGTGGTGCCTTGAGGCACTGAGGGGGATCAGAATGATTCCTTCTCCTGGGCAGTGTTGGTGAGAGATGCCTAAAGGTAGAGAGAGAAGCAGCCTCTTGAAAATTGGTGTACCCAGGCAGAAAATTCTTGTTCCTCTATGTCAGTGATTCCCCCACCCCCACCCCAGCATTTAATTTTGAAAACTTCAAATATACAGAAGGTTAAAAAAAAATTGTGGTAAACTGTCATATACTCACCATCTAGGTCCTACCATTAACATTTTAGTGTGTGTGTGTGTGTGTGTGTGTGTAAAAATCTCCAACCCCCATCCATCTTATTTTTTATGCATTTCAAAGTAGGTTTTCACATTGAATACATATGGACACAGAAGGAACAACAGACACAGGGACCTGCTTGATGCTGGAGGGAGGAGGGTGAAGACAGAAAAACTACCTGTCGGGTAACTGTGCTTATTACCTGGGTGGCAAAATAATCTATACACCAAACCCCCATGACATGCAATTTACCTTTATTACAAACCTGCACATTATTCCTCAACCTAAAATAAAAGATTTAGGAAAAAAAAGAAAATAGAAGGTTGCCATGGGGAGGAGAAAACAAGGAGTTGTTAACAGGCATGAAATTGTAGTTTAGAAGATGAAAATGTTCCAGAGATATGTGGTGATGGCTGCACAACAATATGAATGTACTTAATACCACTGAACTGTACATTTAAAAATGATTAATATAGTAAATTCTGTTATATTTTACAATAAAAAAGTTAAAAACAAAAACAAAAGTAGGTTTTAGACATCAGTGTTTTTCTTAAATAGTTCAGTATGTACATCATAGAGTTGAATATTGATTTACTTTTTTCTTTTAAGGTAAAATTTTCTTTTTTTCTTTTTTCTTTTTTTTTTTTTTTGAGACGGAGTCCTGCTCTTTAGCCCGGGCCGGATTGCAGTGGCACAATCTCGGCTCACTGCAAGCTCCGCCTCCCAGGTTCATGCCATTCTCCTGCCTCAGCCTCCCGAGTAGCTGGGACTACAGGCACCCGCCACCGCGCCCGGCTAATTTTTTGTATTTTTAGTAGAGACGGGGTTTCACCGTGTTAGCCAAGATGGTCTCGATCTCCTGGTCTAAGGTAAAATTTTCAAAGAACGAAGTGAGTCTCTTGAACTTAGGAATTTGAGACCAGCCTGGGCAACATGGTGAAACCCCGTCTCTACCAAAAATACAAAAAATTAGCCAGGGGTGGTGGCACGTGCCTGTGGTTCTAGCTACTCAGGAGGCTGAGGCAGGAGAATTGCTTGAGCCTGGGAGACGGAGGTTGCAGTGAGCTGAGACTGAGCCACTGCGCTTCAGCCTGGGTAACAGAGAGAGACCCTGTTTCAAAAAAATAGATACAGACAATTACAAAAACCCAATGAAGTTCTCTTATACCCCTTCCCACTTAATTCGCACCTCCTCCCCACCAGAGGAAACTACTGTTCTAATTTTTTTCCACCACAGAACAGTTCTGCTTGTTCTAGAACTTCATGCAAATGGAATCATATAATATATACTCTCAAATAAGGCTTTTTTTCTCTCAGTATATTTTTGAGATTCATCCCTGTTGTTGCATATATCAATAATTCATCCCTTTTTATTGCAAGTATTCCCATTGAATAAATATATGACAGTTTGTTGATTCATTCTGCTATTGGAAAATACAGGAGTTTTCAGTTTGGGGCTATCGTGAATAAAGCTGCTATAGACATTCTTGTACAAATCTTTGTGTGAATGAAAAGAAATGTTTTCATTTCTCTTGGGTAATTACTTGGGAGTAGAATTGCTGAGTCATAGGGTAGGTGTATGTTAGTTTTACAAAAACTTTGCAGCCCTTTTTGCAAAGTGCTTATACCATTTCATACACTCACTCCTGATATATGAGAATTCCAGTGATTCTACGTCCTCACCAGCATTTAGTGTCGTTGGTCCTTTTTAATTTTAGCCATTCTGGAAGGTGTGTTGTGATGGTTCATTGTGATTTGAATCCGCATTTTCTAGGCCAGTGGTTTTCCAATTTTGGTGTGCTACAACACACCTGGGGTGCTTGTTAAAGTATAGACTCCTAGGCCCCAACTAGAGAGTGTTTGTGTGTTTATTAGTATTTGTGTTATATTTTTATTTGTTAAAGCTGGTAACCTAAACCCCAACACAGTTTTGAATTCAGAAGATCTGGTGGGGTTGAGGGCAACAGGTGTCTGCCTCTTAACTAGCTCCCTGGAGATTCTGCTGAATGTGGTTCAATAGACCAGCCCTGAGAAACTGGCCCTCTGGGGGTTGCAAACTGACATATTTGATATCGGTGTGCATTCACTTTTACCTGGCAACTAGAATTGGTCCAATTTCTTCCAATGGTGGTACATGGGTACTTTTCATGCTTAATAAAAGCTTTACTGCTACTATTTTAATCTTCAAAAATTGGAGACTTCAGGGATGAATATATTGTCTCATGTAGAGCAAAAGAATCTAGATTTTCTGAACCAAATTCCAAAAGAAAGATGTTTCAGGAAACTGTGCCAAAAACAAAATCCATAATTTTCAGGTATCTACAATCAGCATATTATTCTCAAAAACAATTTTATGGGTCAGAGATGAAGAAGCTGATTACCATAATCTTATTTCCATGAATGGGTTAATGTATTTGATAGTTTTATCTAATTCCAGTAGTTTTATAGGCCTGCATAGCCTAATGGCAACTGGTAGGAAAAAGATTGAAAATACATAGGCGTGGTGCCAACATGGCCGAATAGGAACAGCTGCGGTCTACAGCTCCCAGCGTGAGCGACGCAGAAGATGGGTGATTTCTGCATTTCCATCTGAGGTACCGGGTTCATCTCACTACGGAGTGCCAGACAGTGGGCTCAGGACAGTGGGTGCAGCGCACCGTGCGCGAGCCGAAGCAGGGTGAGGCATTGCCTCACTTGGAAAGTGCAAGGGGTCAGGGAGTTCCCTTTCCTAGTCAAAGAAAGGGGTGACAGATGGCACCTGGAAAATCGGGTCACTCCCACCCCAATACTGTGCTTTTCCGACGGGCTTAAAAAACGGTGCACCAGGAGATTATATCCCGCACCTGGCTCGGAGTGTCCTACGCCCACAGACTCTCACTGATCGCTAGCACAGCAGTCTGAGATCAAACTGCAAGGCGGCAGTGAGGCTGGGGGAGGGGAGCCCGCCATTGCCCAGGCTTGCTTAGGTAAACAAAGCAGCCGGGAAGCTCCAACTGGGTGGAGCCCACCACAGCTCAAGGAGGCCTGCCTGCCTCTGTAGGCTCCACCTCTGGGGGCAGGGCACAGACAAACAAAAAGATGGCAGTAACCTCTGCAGACTTAAATGTCCCTGTCTGACAGCTTTGAAGAGAGCAGTGGTTCTCCCAGCATGCAGCTGGAGATCTGAGAATGGGCAGACTGCCTCCTCAAGTGGGTCCCTGACCCCCAACCCCCGAGCAGCCTAACTGGGAGGCACCCCCCAGTAGGGGCAGACTGACACCTCACACGGCCAGGTACTCCTCTGAGACAAAACTTCCAGAGGAACGATCAGACAGCAGCATTCGCGGTTCACGAAAATCCGCTGTTCTGCAGCCACTGCTGCTGGTACCCAGGCAAACAGGGTCTGGAGTGGACCTCTAGCAAACTCAAACAGACTGCAGCTGAGGGTCCTGTCTGTTAGAAGGAAAACTAACATACAGAAAGGACATTCACACCAAAAACCCATCTGTACATCACCATCATCAAAGAGCAAAAGTAGATAAAACCACAAGGATGGGGAAAAAACAGAGCAGAAAATCTGGAAACTCTAAAAAGCAGAGCGCCTCTCCTCCTCCAAAGGAACGCAGCTCCTCACCAGCAACAGAACAAAGCTGTACGGAGAATGACTTTGACGAGTTGAGAGAACAAGGCTTCAGATGATCAAACTACTCCAAGCTACAGGAGGAAATTCAAACCAAAGGCAAAGAAGTTGAAAACTTTGAAAAAAATTTAGAAGAATGTGTAACTAGAATAACCAATACAGAGAGTGCTTAAAGGAGCTGATGGAGCTGAAAGCCAAGGCTCAAGAACTACGTGAAGAATGCAGAAGCCTCAGGAGCCAATGCGATCAACTGGAAGAAAGGGTATCAGTGATGGAAGATGAAATGAAGCGAGAAGGGAAGTTTAGAGAAAAAAGAATAAAAAGAAACGAACAAAGCCTCCAAGAAATATGGGACTATGTGAAAAGACCAAATCTACGTCTGACTGGTGTACCTGAAAGTGACGGGGAGAATAGAACCAAGTTGGAAAACACTATGCAGGATATTATCCAGGAGAATTTCCCCAATCTAGCAAGGCAGGCCAACATTCAGATTCAGGAAATACAGAGAACGCCACAAAGATACTCCTCCAGAAGAGCAACTCCAAGACACATAATTGTCAGATTCACCAAAGTCGAAATGAAGGAAAAAATGTTAAGGGCAGCTAGAGAGAAAGGTTGCATTACCCACAAAGGGAAGCCCATCAGACTAACAGCTGATCTCTCGGCAGAAACTCTACAAGTCAGAAGAGAGTGGGGGCCAATATTCAACATTCTTAAAGGAAAGAATTTTCAACCCAGAATTTCATATCCAGCCAAACTAAGCTTCATAAGCAAAGGAGAAATAAAATACTTTACAGACAAGCAAATGCTGAGAGATTTTGTCACCACAAGGCCTGCCCTAAAAGAGCTCCTGAAGGAAGCACTAAACATGGAAAGGAACAACCAGTACCAGCCACTGCAAAATCATGCCAAATTGTAAGGACCATCAAGGCTAGGAAGAAACTGCATCAACTAACGAGCAAAGTAACCAGCTAACATCATAATGACAGGATCAAATTCACACATAACAATATTAACTTTAAATGTAAATGGACTAAATGCTCCAATTAAAAGACACAGACTGGCAAATTGGATAAAGAGTCAAGACCCATCAGTGTGCTGTATTCAGGAAACCCATCTCATGTGCAGAGACACACATAGGCTCAAAATAAAAGGATGGAGGAAGATCTACCAAGCAAATGGAAAACAAAAAAAGGCAGGGGTTGCAATCCTAGTCTCTGATAAAACAGACTTTAAACCAACAAAGATCAAAAGAGACAAAGAAGGCCATTACATAATGGTAAAGGGATCAATTCAACAAGAAGAGCTAACTATCCTAAATATATATGCACCCAATACAGGAGCACCCAGATTCATAAAGCAAGTCCTGAGTGACCTACAAAGAGACTTAGACTCCCACACAATAATAATGGGAGACTTTAACACCCCACTGTCAACGTTAGACAGATCAACGAGACAGAAAGTTAACAAGGATACCCAGGAATTGAACTCAGCTCTGCACCAAGCGGACCTAATAGACATCTACAGAACTCTCCACCCCAAATCAACAGAATTTACATTTTTTTCAGTACCACACCACACCTATTCCAAAATTGACCACATACTTGGAAGTAAAGCTCTCCTCAGCAAATGTAAAAGATTAGAAATTATAACAAACTGTCTCTCAGACCACAGTGCAATCAAAATAGAACTCAGGATTAAGAAACTCACTCAAAACTGATCAACTACATGGAAACTGAACAACCTGCTCCTGAATGACTACTGGGTACATAACGAAATGAAGGCAGAAATAAAGATGTTCTTTGAAACCAATGAGAACAAAGACACAACATACCAGAATCTCTGGGACACTTTCAAAGCAGTGTGCAGAGGGAAATTTATAGCACTAAATGCCCACAAGAGAAAGCAGGAAAGATCCAAAATTGACACCCTAATATCACAATTAAAAGAACTAGAAAAGCAAGAGCAAACACATTCAAAAGCTAGCAGAAGGCAAGAAATAACTAAGATCAGAGCAGAACTGAAGGAAATAGAGACACAAAAACCCCTTCAAAAAATTAATGAATCCAGGAGCTGGTTTTTTGAAAGGATCAACAAAATTGATAGACCACTAGCAAGACTAATAAAGAAGAAAAGAGAGAAGAATCAAATAGATGCAATAAAAAATGATAAAGGGGATGTCACCACCAATCCCACAGAAATACAAACTACCATCAGAGAATACTACAAACACCTCTACGCAAATAAACTAGAAAATCTAGAAGAAATGGATAAATTCCTCAACACATACACTCTCCCAAGACTAAACCAGGAAGAAGTTGACTCTCTGAATAGACAAATAACAGGATCTGAAATTGGGGCAATAATCAATAGCTTACCAACAAAAAAGAGTCCAGGACCAGATGGATTCACAGCTGAATTCTACCAGAGGTACAAGGAGGAACTGGTACCACTCCTTCTGAAACTATTCCAATCAATAGAAAAAGAGGGAATCCTCCCTAACTCATTTTATGAGGCCAGCATCATCCTGATACCAAAGCTGGGCAGAGACACAACCAAAAAAGAGAATTTTAGACCAATATCCTTCATGAACATTGATGCAAAAATCCTCAATAAAATACTGGCAAACCAAATCCAGCAGCACATCAAAAAACTTATCCACCATGATCAAGTTGGCTTCATCCCTGGGATGCAAGGCTGGTTCAATATATGCAAATCAATAAATGTAATCCAGCATATAAACAGAACCAAAGACAAAAACCACATGATTATCTCAATAGATGCAGAAAAGGCCTTTGACAAAATTCAACAACCTTCATGCTAAAAACTCTCAATAAATTAGGTATTGATGGGACATATCTCAAAATAATAAGAGCTATCTATGACAAACCCACAGCCAATATCATACTGAATGGGCAAAAACTGGAAGCATTCCCTTTGAAAACTGGCACAAGACAGGGATGCCCTCTCTCACCACTCCTATTCAACATAGTGTTGGAAGTTCTGGCCAGGGCAATTAGGCAGGAGAAGGAAATAAAGGGTATTCAATTAGGAAAAGAGGAAGTCAAATTGTCCCTGTTTGCAGACGACATGATTGTATATCTAGAAAACCCCATTGTCTCAGCCCAAAATCTCCTTAAGCTGATAAGCAACTTCAGCAAACTCTCAGGATACAAAATCAATGTACAAAAATCACAAGCATTCTCATACACCAATAACAGACAAACAGAGAGCCAAATCATGAGTGAACTCCCATTCACAATTGCTTCAAAGAGAATAAAATACCTAGGAATCCAACTTACAAGGGATGTGAAGGACCTCTTCAAGGAGAACTACAAACCACTGCTCAAGGAAATAAAAGAGGATACAAACAAATGGAAGAACATTCCATGCTCATGGGTAGGAAGAATCAATATTGTGAAAATGGCCATACTGCCCAAGGTAATTTACAGATTCAATGCCATCCCCATCAAGCTACCAATGCCTTTCTTCACAGAATTGGAAAAAACTACTTTAAAGTTCATATGGAACCAAAAAAGAGCCCACATCGCCAAGTCAATCTTAAGCCAAAAGAACAAAGCTGGAGGCATCACACTACCTGACTTCAAACTATACTACAAGGCTACAGTAACCAAAACAGCATGGTACTGGTACCAAAACAGAGATATAGATCAATGGAACAGAACAGAGCCCTCAGAAATAACGCTGCATATCTACAACTATCTGATCTTTGACAAACCTGAGAAAAACAAGCAATGGGGAAAGGATTCCCTATTTAATAAATGGTGCTGGGAAAACTGGCTAGCCATATGTAGAAAGCTGAAACTGGATCCCTTCCTCACACCTTATACAAAAATAATTCACGATGGATTAAAGACTTAAATGTTAGACCTAAAACCATAAAAACCCTAGAAGAAAACCTAGGCATTACCATTCAGGACATAGGCATGGGCAAGGACTTCATGTCTAAAACACCAAAAGCAATGGCAACAAAAGCCAAAATTCACAAATGGGATCTAATTAAACTAAAGAGCTTCTGCACAGAAAAACAAACTACCATCAGAGTGAACAGGCAACCTACAAAATGGGAGAAAATTTTCACAACCTCCTCATCTGACAAAGGGCTAATATCCAGAATCTACAATGAACTCAAACAAATTTACAAGAAAAAAGCAAACAACCCCATCAAAAAGTGGGCGAAGGACATGAACAGACACTTCTCAAAAGAAGACATTTATGCAGCCAAAAAACACATGAAAAAATGCTCACCATCACTGGCCATCAGAGAAATGCAAATCAAAACCACAATGAGATACCATCTCACACCAGTTAGAATGGCAATCATTAAAAAGTCAGGAAACAACAGGTGCTGGAGAGGATGTGGAGAAATAGGAACACTTTTACAGTGTTGGTGGGACTGTAAACTAGTTCAACCATTGTGGAAGTCAGTGTGGCAATTCCTCAGGGATCTAGAACTAGAAATACCATTTGACCCAGCCATCCCATTACTGGGTATATACCCAAAGGACTATAAATCATGCTGCTATAAAGACACATGCACACGTATGTTTATTGCGGCATTATTCACAATAGCAAAGACTTGGAACCAACCCAAATGTCCAACAATGATAGACTGGATTAAGAAAATGTGGCACATATACACCATGGAATACTATGCAGCCATAAAAAATGATGAGTTCGTGTCCTTTGTAGGGACATGGATGAAATTGGAAATCATCATTCTCAGTAAACTATCGCAAGGACAAAAAACCAAACACCGCATATTCTCACTCATAGGTGGGAATTGAACAATGAGAACACATGGACACAGGAAGGGGAACATCACACTCTGGGGACTGTTGTGGGGTGGGGGGAGGGGGGAGGGATAGCATTAGGAGATATACCTAATGCTAGATGACGAGTTAGTGGGTGCAGCACACCAGCATGGCACATGTATACATATGTAACTAACCTGCACATTGTGCACATGTACCCTAAAACTTAAAGTATAATAATAATAAAATAAAATAAAAATAATAGTAAAATGTGAAATCAATTAAAAAAAAGAAAATACATAGGCATTTTATTACTGTAATAGGTGCTAGGATGGAGGGAAAAAAGGACAAAGCTGCTATTAACCTAAAGCAATAATAAATATATGTTATCCATAGGCTCAGCCAAAGGAAAGACATGAACAATGAAAATACTAACAGTAATATTGAATTTGTTCAGTACCTTTTTATCAAGAACTCCAAGGCAATTGTGAGTGATGGCTCCCTAAATCTCACATCTCTGTAAGTTAGGCAGGGTGGGGAATGACACCACATTTTTTTCCAGTGGAGAAATTAAGGGATAGAATCTTTAATATAACAATAGGTACAAAGAACAGAACCAAAGGCAAGAATGGAAGTAAAGAGTATCCCAGGGCTCGTAACTTCCTTTTGTGTGTTACTGTATCCAAGTCTGGTTGTTCAGTCATTCTCAGAACACATCTTGGGTTGCATGATATGTACCACACAAACACACAGACAGGATTCAGCTGGGAACAGGTGAAAAAACAGCACTGGTCTACGTTTGAAAAATGTTGACAGTCAAAATGCTTCTCTTGAATTCTCTAGTTCCTATTTCTTTTTTCATTAAAGAATGTGGCTAAAGAGTAAAGAGTACTATTAATATATAAGGAGAGCAAAGCAGAAGCATTCTCATGTTGCTTCTCGGGGCTTTACAGATAAATAATTAAACACAAAGCCCAAACTCCCCATTTCTGCCTTCAGTGATTTTTTTTTCCCCCTCCTTCTGCACTGAACACGTGTATCTCTTTAAGAATTGGTCTGGCCTGGTGGGTAACCTGTCCCGCTGAAGGCTGGGCATCAACACCACTGCCTTTGCTAAGGCTGGCAGTCAGCTTGCTGTCAGCTTGCTTCTTGCAGCCTCTTCAGCTCTCAGACATCTGTAGCTCTGGGCTGGTTAGAGCTGAACATTCCACTCAGAAGAATGATCTCTAGATCTTGGAGAAGAGAAACCCCATTAGGTGTTTGGTTTCGATAGGAAGTCATTTTTCAAATTTGCTGTTTTAGAGGGCATTTTTGGAAATGTTTGCCATGATTCTTCAAATTTCATTTGACAGATGGGGAAGTTTAAAGATAAACATGATCTCGCTCCTTTGAAAACCTTGGCAATTCCTCTTCTTCCAGTAGGAATCTCTAGCTCTTTTCTCTTACCTCATCTCTGTAATTTTTCCTACCTACGCTCCTCTTTCCTTCTCTTGTATCAAACTTATACCTCTTTATTCTCTTAATTTAGCCAGTTTTTCCAACTAAGTTTAGGAAATATCATGTGAGCTCTGGGCCATGCTATTTCCAAGTAGAATTAGACATATTGGATCTCTGTCTTCATCTGAAAGCTCTTTTGGCCTTTTTTTTTTTCCATCCTTTAATCATCCTTGTTGCTCAGTATCGAACCTATCTCAGTTCCCCATGACCCCCTTAAGAGAAAGAGACTAGAAAGAGATTGTGTCTCCTTTGTCAGGGTCTCGTTTTCAACATCATATATTAGCAATGCTTTTGGTTCAGAGGTCACCAGATGTACAGTGAATTTCCCCTAAAATGGAAAATGTTAAGATACAGGCCAGCATCTCCTTCCCCCTCTATCTCACAGATTTTGACTTGCTGCCTATTTTTTGGCCATTTAACCCTTTAAGAAGGAACACCAAATAAGCGCTTTCATGCTCAATTATCTTTGACTTGCAATCTAAAATGAACCATTTACTGAACAGGGAGAGAAACATGAAAAGCAAACACTATTAAAGAATTATAGACTTCATAAGCTGCACAGTACTTGTGCATTTTGCTCTGTAGTGAAGGAACCTGTAAAATTGTACAGACGTTAGGAGAAAAGTTGCCACCCAGCATGCGTTGATTTAACGGCATAACTTCCAGTAATGTAAAGTAGGGACCTTGATTCTTAGGGCACATTTTGTTATCCTTTCTTTCTTAATAGGACAAGGTTTAAAATATGCTACTGTGCATACACAATAGCTGCTTTCCACTTATGCTGTTATCTGTGCAGAAATCATTCTCTCAGGCAAGAGATTAAAATAAATGCATAACAACTTTTTAGAATTGCTAATCCAAGTAAACTTCTCACAGAAAATTCAGCCTTTGAAGAAGGCATCTTAAACCTTGATATAAACAAACATTAATAAAATGTACTTCTTCCTACAATGGACAGTGATGACAATGAGATAGATATATGACTTGTTTTTTCCTTAGGAAGCCAATATTTGCTTTACTGCTTTAGATTGTACCGGTAAGGTTGAATTTGTGTGTTTTAAACCAAAACAGGGTTAAATCAGGATGTTTTGAGTCAAGTGGATAATAGGATGGAAAGTAAAATGGGTGGGTATAGGCTGGTGCTGTTGGAAAGAAGTTCTCAGAGTCCTGAGGCTGGCACTGGATCCTCATTCAGTCTTGTGGCCTTGGACAAGCTGCTGTTTTGTGGGGTTGGGAGGAGGAAGAGGATACTTTGTGCAAGGAACAGTGCTAGAAATGCTACTTGCCTTCATTTTAACCTTGACTTCTCATTTTCTGAAAGGAGGCGGCACAGGCTCAAAGAACTTCTGAATCAATCATTTGCTTTGCTAAGACAGAAATAGTCAATACTTGACTTGTATGTGTTTTTCACTCCATTACGTTGCTCCTCTCCTGCAGACTCCTTCCATGTTCTGTTGGTGTCTCCAGGCTTTGCCCAAAGGAATCTCCAACCAGGCTCATTCACTGGGGAGTTGGTACTCTACCTCTAAAGCCCAGATTCAGAGTTCTTATGTTTGTAATTTCTTTTTTCTCTCTCCTCTGGTCCCTACCCCAGACTCAAATTACCATCTAGTCATTCTTTTCCTGATACCACCTTGTCCTGCTTTTCTTTTTCTTCCGATCTTTCTGGCTTCCCACAAAAGGAACTCTTTACAACCTATGCCCTGATGTCCAATTGGGGGGCTCCATCCCCTATTTAAAATCACAAATCTGAAGGGCGGCAGAAACTATCAAGGTAGTTTTTAGGTCCGTGTCAAAAAGTCATATAAGATGGTAAAGAAATTCTAGAACTGAATGTGACCTGAGAGAAGATGAAGTCATCGCTCATTTTACAAATGAGGAAACTGAGGTTCCGATTTGCCCAAGATCATAACATGACTCAACAGCAGGGCTGAGCTCCTCTGCCTCCCACTCTGGGACTCCTTCTTCCACATATGGCAGGGAGGAGTTCAAGGGTTAAAGACAGCTATAATCTCCCTTTGAAAAAGCCCAATACCATGTGTCCATTTACAAATTGTAAAAATGGAACTCCATATTAGCATAGTATCCTGAAACTTGTCCTGGCTTTCACACTGCTACTGGTATTGGCCCTTGAATGCAAAAAAAATTTTTTTTTGCAAGAAGAATGTGTTGTCCAGAAGTACATGGAGTCACATAATTTGCTGCATGTTGTTCTTCCCTTATAAAATGTCTTTGCCTGGGCTCACTCGCCTGATCATAGAATCCAAACCAAATTATTTTCCCCAGGGATACTGTACCATGTGTATCTATCATCGTGCCACTCACACATATCTTCTAGCCCAGTAGTTCTCAAACTTTGGTGTGCCTAAGAATCACCTGGATGACTTATTCAAGCACAGATGATTAGGCCCCAATCCCAGAGTTTCTGATTCAATAGGGCTTTTGTAGGGCCTGATAATTTGTTTTTCTAGTAAGTTCCCAGCTGCTCTGCGGCTGCTGGTCCAGGGCATAATTTGAGAATTACTGTTCTACCTCAACTGCCTTCCTGCAAGCCCTCAGCTCAGAAGCAACGCTAGACCATTTTTTTTAAAGGAGTGACCACTAATTGGTCCAGAAGTGGACATCTGATAGAGAGATTAGCCAATGAGCAGCAAGAGGAGAAGACAGTGTAGAAGCCAAGAGAAGAAGAACGGTAGAGTACAGAGGGGAGAGGGGGAGGGGAGAGGGGGAGGGGAGAGGGGAGGGGAGAGGGGGAGGGGAGGGGGAGGGGGAAGGGAGGGGAGAGGGGGAGGGGGAAGGGAGAGGAAGGAAGGGGAGGGCAGGGGAGGGGAGGCGAGGAAAAAAGAGAACATGAACTCTGAATTTCACAGCGATAAGCAGCAGGTGCAGCACTACCTCTGGAGCAGCCTTAAGTGATTGTCTTTATGAGCCTCTTCCTTTCAGGTAGCCTGAGGGGCTTTCATGGAATGAAATGAACCGTCTCTACATAGAGATAATTATGGTCATTTTTCAGAACAACGGTGTTAGCTTTATGAGCTGCATAGAGTTGGAGTTATTAGAACCCAGCTAGGGCTGGAGATTCTTTAGGGAATCTTTTTAACTTTTACTCTAAAAGAGGTAGAAGTGCTAAAAGTGCCAAGAGTGACAATTCCAGGATTTGTATATAGGAAGGGATTAGGGGCCACAGCCTGAACAGATCTGGAGCAACCAGGATTTGCCTTGAAGGTATGTTTGTCTAAAAAGAGACAAGTTTTATTTAAATCATTTGCCTAATAGGTGTGGCTTAGAGGAGCTGATGGAAATGACAGGAAACCTTCACATTGCCACTGGTTTTTAGTAAGAAAATCAGCTTCAAATACCTGTATCCCATCACTAGCCTTTTGCCTCAGCCATCACTGTTACTGCAGAGCCTCTGCTTCCACCACACACCCAGGGTCCTTTCACTTCAGAGGGCCTGCACAGGCTCTCTGTCAAGTGCCTCTTTTGAAGGCAAACAATATGATTGGCTATGTTGTTGTTGAGAACTTCATTTGTAATGGATCTTTAGTGGTGTACATAACATAAAAGGCCCTTGGATATCCTAGAGAGATTCTTTGTTTTTCTTACTAACACGGGGATAACCAGACTGTTATAATCAGATTCCACCATTGATGGTGGTCTTGAATCTGAGGACCTTCACTGAAGAGTTGGTGTAAATTTCATTTTGAATATATTTAGAAATAACGATTTACCTTACAGTGTTATTGTTGATTCTTATATGGAGAAGTACTGACTTTTAAAAAAATTAATGTCAATAAGATTTATTTTAAAAGACTCAACAGTCAATACTGGTATGGGTATGATGAGATTTTCATTTTCACATTTTGCTTACTATATATTATGTATATAGTGATATGATTATTCAGGAAAGCAACTTGGCAATATATAAATAAATCAAGCACTTTAAATTTTCTATTCTTTTGCTTAAGTAGTTTCACTTTCAGAAATCTATCCTAAGGAAGTAAACAGTAATGCAGACAAAGATCCATGTCAAAGACATTCCCCACAGCCTTACTGACAATAGTCGTGGTGGACTCGGTGGATCAGGCTCAGTCAGCATTCTCCAACCTTGTTCTTGCTGGCCTCTCTGTTCTGCAGAGGCTGGAAAGCTAATACCTATACCACCCTACATATAGAATCCATCTGCAAATTAGGTTCCCCCCACTAGATGCACTCATATGATATTTAGGAGGTAAAAGTGAAGCAGAGGACATCTTCCTATTGACCGAGGTTTTTCTTGTTTTTTTTCTGATGACAAACATCAGAAAACAAACATGGTGGTGGCAATGCTGCGTTTTCCTGAAGAAGCAGTCCAGCGTCCATCACTTTTTTGGGGAGTATCAAGAGAGGCCATAGCAGTGGTAGCAATGGCCCTGCTTCTTGGCTCACAGCTATGTATGGCAGTGTGTTCTTGAGGTCAGCAGTCTCAGCAAGGGTCTCTGGCTGCCCCACGTCTATCACTTCTGATGCCCCCTAGCATCTACTCTTTCAAAACCATTTATTAGATTGGTGCAAAAGTAACTGTGGTTTTTGCCATTACTCAACAGCAAAAGCCGCGATTACTTTTGCAACAACCTATACAATTTTGTCAGCTTCTTAGTCCCTGTATTAAATGTCTTTCTGTCTAACCTAGGTAGGGAGCCTTCTGTCTCTTGACTCTTCATGAGGCCTGACTGAAATCTCCAGCAACAATAAAAGATGAAATATTTTGTAGTGCATCTCTTTGATGGAACATTTTGTAGACATTAAAAAATAATGTTTTAGAAGGAAATGTAATGATGTGAATGTTTATATCATGGGAAGAAAAGAAAAAACTGGGAGGAAATTGATTCTAACATCTTAACGGTATTTATCTTTGGATAGTGGGGATATAAATGATTTTTACTATATTTGTTATACTTTATTCTTGAAAAGTTTTGCAATATACTTTATTGCTTTTGTAATCACAGGAAATAATAAAGGGCAGAGATTTTTCTAAGTATTTGCTAATTCATAATGATATACATTTTTAAAATGTTGAATCTAATTACGGACTAAGTTTATTTAAAAGCCATCATTTGAAATTTTTTGCATATTTGCCTTATAGCGATCTTTTTTTCTCTTCTGACTTACTCACTGCATTTGCTGATTATGACCATGCTAGGATACATTTCACTGCTACATGAAAATGGGTATTTTGTTGGTGCCCAAAATAATTTCACATACTTGTATTCAAAAGCATTCTCTTTTGCTTTCTATCTTGTAGAAAGCATATTTTAAAATAGCTGCGTAATAACTAATAGAAGGTACTAGTGTTCAACTTGGTAAAGACAGAATCAGCTGAAACTCCCAATTAGATCAACATCACAGCCTTGATATACAGACTAACACTGATTGGGAGGAAGTTATGTCTATTATGCTTTCACTCCTAATCTCAGCTTTAGATAGAGTATTGTGATCATGATGTACTAGATGTTAAAGTTCCGATTAGTTTGTCAGATTCATAGATTTTAATCTTAAAATGTTGTCTTACACATCACTCTGCCCCATTTAAACCATATCCAACAAATGAAAACCCACCCTGTTGAACACCGACAATGAAGAAGATTCTACATTCTTGGGGAATTTGTTTCTATTTCAGCTCTGAAAAATTTTTTTAAATCTAAATTCGATTTCTGATCTAAAGAAACTAAAGAGCATCTGCACAGCAAAAGAAACTATCAACAGAATACACAGGCAGCCTACAGAATGGGAGAAGATGTTCACAAACTATGTGTCAGTCAAAGGTGTAATATCTAGGATCTATACAGGAACTTAACTGAACAAGCAAAAAATAACCCCATTAAAAAGTGGGCAAAAGACATGAAGAGACATTTCTCAAAAGAAGACATACAAGTGGCCAATAAACATGAAAAATGCTCAACATCACTAATCAGAGAAATGCAAGTCAAAACCACAATGACATACCATCTCACTTAGAATGGCTATTTTTAAAATGTCTTAAAAAAAATAGATGCTGGCAAAGCTACAGAAAAAAGGGAACACTTACACACTGTTGGTGGGAATGTAAATTAATTCAGCTGCCGTGGAAAGCAGTTTACAGATTTCTCAAAGAACTCAAGACAGAACTACCATTTGACCCAGCAATCCCCTTCCTGGGTAAATACCCAAAAGAAAATAAATTGTTCTACCAAAGAGACACATGCCCTCATGTGTTCATTGTAGCACTATTCACAATAGCAAAGACATGGAATCAACCTAGGTGCTCATTGATGGTGGATTTGATAAAGAAAATGTGGTACATCCACACCATGAAATGCTACACAACCGTAAAAAGAAGAAAATCATGTCCTTTGCAGCAACATGGATGTGGCTGAGTGCCATTATCCTAAGTGACCTAACATGAACAGAAAACCAAATATCACATATTCTCACTTATAAGTGGGAGCTAAGCATTGGTTATGCATAGACATAGAGATGGGAACAAAAGACACTGGGGACTACTAGAAGGGGAAGGGGAATGGGGAGGAGGGGAGGGGGAGGGGGAGTCGGGAGGGGGAGGGGGGAGGGGCAGAGGGGAGCAAGGCTGAAAAACTACATATTAGGTTCTATGCTCACTACCTAGGTGATGGGATCATTCATACCCCAAACCTCAGCATCATGCAATATAGCTGTGTAACAAACCTGCACATGTACCCCATGAATCTAAAATAAAAGTTAAATAAATGAATTCCATTTCTTATTCTACCATTTCAGCTTATTTCTTTCTGATCCAGCCTTAATATTGATAGATAACAATGGTCTAAATGTAAAAGTTTATTATAAATTATCCTTTGATTTTTTAACATCCCAGGCAAGGGAATCTCAGTTTATTATCAGTCTTTTGACATTTTCACCCCACTTTCCCCCCAGAATCCATGGGGGCATGCTTCTGTTGTATCCAGTCCCCAATAAATAAATATATAAATGTATGAATATGTAAAAATAAAAGTATACAAGTCCTCCACGAGGACTTGACAAAATAACCCTAAGCTCTATAGATTAGAAGAGAAGATGATCATAGCCCCCCTTTTGTCTTCTTCCCTGGAGATGAAATAGGGGAAGGATATGATAAGGGAGAAAGTAAGATTTCTAAATAGACCAGAAAAGGAGCTATTCTTGATGGGTTAGAGGAAAAGAAACCAAGTCAGATCCATAGCTAAACTATTGTTCTTTTGGATTAAAAAATCGTACCCTGTAAACACATTCATTACCATAGCTTTCTATTCTCCATAGTGGAGGCTTAACTCCTAGGATTACAAATAATGTCACATGTTGCAATTTTGCTTAGAGTGGGGACTTCCATGCAGCCATATTTCCTCCTGGCACTATATCACAGAACCTCTTTGGTGCTGGTTTCCTGTAGGCATCTCAAAAGTATTTGGACCCTTTACAAACAGAAGCCAACAAAACTGAAATGCAAAGAAAGGAAAAATCATGTTGTTTGGGATAATCGAGGAAGGTATCATGGAGAAGAGGGATTTGAGTTGGGCTCTAGGTGACTGGGTATGATTTGATTGCTAAAAACTGGGGAAGATGGTGACTTGCATAAGTAAGTCAATCATATTCTCCACCATCACTAGCAATGCTCAGCTAATAACCAGTCTCTAGCCCACATCCTGCCAGTTGTGTATGTGAAGACCATGTCAAAGTTGGTTGGTGAAGGGTTTCAACCAAATCTTTCCATTTGACTAATTAAATTGCTAGCTTCTTTAATTTTTCTAATATAACTTTTAGAATATCTCATTTTGTTGATATGAAGGGGAAAACACCTTTTTAATGTGGAAACACAATCTCATAATTTTATTGTATTATCTAATGAGATCCTATTTTTCTCCTGTATCCTTCTCACAAAATCTTATTGTGCTGACTATGTATGAATGAAAATCCCACTAAATACTTTGGAGCCATTAGTATAGAAATGAGCAAACTAGGATTGTATGGAGATGAAATATATCCCCTAGAGAAAAATAATGAAATGAGGGGAACAAATACAGCTGAAGCTGCCATATATCAAGAAATGATTCTGTGACACACCATGTGGTGATGAGGATAAGCACTGGCTGCCAATTTGTACAGAGGAAAGCATGAAATTGATGTCAGATAAAGACTGATCCACGAGTTTGGAGAGGTAAAAAACTATAGGCTTAATTCAGAGCTCAGAGGTGGTCTGGATTGCAAATACCACCTGACAGAATAATTTGGTAACTAAATGATGAGATTGGCATTTCTTTTATATAATCTCCATCCCTCTTACTTCCAACAAGAGTTAGTGCAGCATGTCCTTCTGGAATTTTGTTATTAATTCCAGGACAAATATGTCAGAAGAATTCAGAAACTGAGATAGGAGGGAAATGGGGCCTCTTCAGTGTATTTTCTGAAATTCATGGAACCTTATGTTATCTGAACTGTGGTTTCTGTTTCATATTTCAAGGTACAGACGGTCTATTTGGCAGCACTGGTAATTTGCAGTGACAGCTAAAAATACAGCTGGAAAAAGTAAATAGGAAAAGTACTTAATGTTTGTGGCAAATGGAAGCTAAATCATCCTTTCAATGAAACCACCACAATTTCATGTTTTTGAAGGAACAAACACAATGCACTCTAAACTCAGACAAATGAGTTTATCTAGGGAAAATCGCAAGCAAACAGCAAAACCCTGATGTTGTTTATTTCTTGTAGACTAAGCAAACTATTCCCTATAAACAAGTTAAATCTTGCCTTTAACAAGAACTTAGGGCACTTGGGGTTCATTCCTCACCCTTGAGGTCAACATCAGGTATCCCTCCAAATATCTCTTGGTGCCACTGTCAGTCACAATTTGGGGGTGGATAAACTACTGTTTCTGATTAATAAAGAAGGTCTCATGAATTTTTGTTTTTCTGAATGAGGGAAATCCAGCAGGAGAATACAGTCAAATTTGGAAAGGACAGACATAGTTGCATATTTCCATTGGCATTCTCTCCTCTTCATTTCTGTCCAAGAATGCTGTCAGCAGAATCCCACCATAGTCTCTGCAGGTGCAACTCCATGCAGCACCAGGTATCTCTGTTCTCTTTGTTTTATGATCAGGGAGAAAGGATGAGAACTCACCAGAGAGCGTATATTATTACAACAGATTTTAATATCAGTTTATTTCAGTTCTGCAAATGCCTTCTTCTTAAATATTCTACTCTTCCACTCTCCCTCACCCATAACTCCTTAAGGTCCCACTCTCACAAACTTTTCATATAGAACTATAGTTGAATTTACAAATGTGGTGGCAGAAAGGGGCTTGACCAATAGATTTAGGGCATCCATCATCTGCAAGACTAGTACCTAGCATATTAGGAGGTGCTCAAAAAACATTTGTTGAATGAATAAACCTTACGTGTAAGATACATGAAAATTGCCCCAGAGGAGCCAGACATTGAACTTCTGGGTTTTGGTAGCTAATGTTATTCTGAAGCTCATGTTTCAAATAGGGACTTGCAGCCTCCATTTTTTTTGGTGGGGGGACAGGATTTCATTAAGTCGCCCAGGCTGGAGTGCAGTGGCACAATCACACCTCACTGCAGCCTCAGCCTCCCAGGGCTCAACTGATTCTCCAACCTCAGCCTCCTGAGTAGCTGGACTATAGGCACACTGCCACCACACCTAGCTAATTTTTGTATATTTTGTAGAGACAGCGTTTTGCTGTGTTACACAGGCTGGTCTCCAACTCCTGGGCTCAAGCTATTCACCCACCTCAGCTTCCCAAAGTGCTAGGATTACAGGCCAAATTTCTTAGAGTAGCTTTGTGGGCAGCGCACAACTTATTAGAGTAGGAACATCATTTTTGGTAGTAAATACCAGCTATTAGTATAGCCTAACGCAAAGCTTCTCAGAAACCTAAGGAACAGACGTAACTGATGTTCTTTTAATCAGTCTACCATCTAAGTGTTTGCCAGCTAGAGCATTATTTTTAGGCTTGGGCATGTTACACATATTTCTTGGCAAAGACAATTTATTTACATTTTGTCTTCTTACCATTATGCATTGTGGTTTGCAAGGCAGTAAATTTAAGTGAGAAATGAATAAAATAATAAATACAAGTTTAAACATCCTCAACAAAATACAACAAACCAAATTCAACAGCACATTAAAAGGCTCATATACCATGACAAAGTGGGTTTGATCCCTGGGATGCAAGAATGGTTCAACATATGACACCAATTAATGTGATACACCACATTAACAGAATGAAGGATTAAAATCATTATCAACTCAATGAATGCAGAGAAAAGCATTTGATAAAATTCAAAGCCATTTCATGTTAAAAACTCAACAAACTAGGAATCAAACTATCCTTATACTCAATGGCAAAAAAAGCTTTTCTCCTGAGATTAGGAGCAAGGCAAAGATGCCCACTCTCACCACTGTATTCATAATATTAGAAGTTCTGGTCAGAGCAATTAGATTAAAAAAAGAAAGAAAAGACGCCCAAGGTCGAAAAGGAAGAGGTAAAATTTTACCTATTTGTAGATGACATGATCTTATATATAGAAAACCCTAAAGACTTCACCAAAAAAAAAAAAAACTGTTAAAATTAGTGAATGAATTCAATAAAGTAGTAGGATACAAAATCAACAGACAAAAATTAGTTACATTTCTGTATGCTAGCAACAAACTATCTGAAAAGGAAATTAGGAAAACAGTCCCATTTATAATAACATCAAACAGAATAAAACACTTAAGAATAAAGTTGACTAAGGTAGTGATAGACTTATACACTGAAAACTGTAAAACATTGATGAAAGAAATTAAAGACATAAACAAATGGAAAGACATTCTGTGCTCAGGCAATGGAAGACTTAACATAGTTAAAAATGTCCATACTACCTAAAGTGATCTATAAATTGAAAGCAATCCTTATCAAAATCCCAATGACATTTTTTTATGGAAATAGAAAAAACGATTCTAAAATTCATATGGAACCACAAAGGACTCTGAATAGCCAAAACAATCTTAAGAAGGAAAATCAAAGCTGAATTCCTGATTTCCAAATATATTACAAAGCAATAATAATTAAAACAGTGTGGAACTGGCATACAGACAGACATATAAACCAATGGAACCAAATAAAAGCCCAGAAATAAATCCATGCTTATACAGTCAATTGATCTTTGACAAGGGCCCCAACAATACGCAATGGGGGAAGGATGGTCCGTTTAACAAATGGTGTTTGGAAAACCAGATATCCACATGCAAAAGAATGAAATTGAACCCTTATATTACACTGTACACAAGCTCAAAAACTCAAAT
The DNA here is from genome assembly GCF_000001405.40 of Homo sapiens. Taxonomy (NCBI): domain Eukaryota; kingdom Metazoa; phylum Chordata; class Mammalia; order Primates; family Hominidae; genus Homo; species Homo sapiens. The sequence goes on from NC_000014.9 coordinate 36,203,284, forward strand.
ATAAGACGTGAAAGTGTAAAACTAGAAGAAAACATAGTGGGAAAGTTGCATGCCCTTGGTCTTGGCAATGACTTCATGAATATCACACCAAAAGCACAGACGAAAAATGCAAAAATAGACAAGTAGGACTATATGAAATTAAAACTCTTCTTCACAGCAAAGGAAACAATCCACAGAATAAAAAGGCAACCTATAGAATGACAGAAAATATTCACAAATCATATTTCAGATAACGGGTTAATTTCTAAAACACATAAGGAACTCTTTATAACTCAACAGCAAACTCTAACTCGTTAGCAAAACAAAAACAAAACACACCCACAAAACAAACAAACAAACAAAAAACAAAAAACAACCTGCTTTAAAAATGGGCGAAGGACTTCAAGAGACATTGTTCCAAAAAAGTTATTCAAATGGCCAAAGTTATATGAAAATATGCTCAATGCCACTTATGCAAATCAAATGACAATGAGATATCACTTCATACATGTTAGAATGGCTCTTATCAAGAGACAGAAGTGTTGGCAAGGATACAGAGAAACTGGAACCCTTGTACACTTGGTGAGAACGCAAAATGGTGCTGTCAGTATGGGAAACAGTATGGAGGTTCCTCAAAAATTTAAATATAGAACTGCCATATGATCCAGCAATCCCATTCTGGGTATTTATCCAAAAGAATTGAAATCAGGATCTTGAAGCGATATTAACATTTCCATGTTCGTTACAGCACTATTCACAAATAGCCAAGAGGTGAAAACAATCTAAACGTCCTTTGATGGATGAATGGATAAAGAAAATGTTATGTACATACAGTGGAATATTATTCAGCCATAAACAAGGGAAATCCTATGATATGCTATAATAGCACATGGCTGAACCTGAGGACATTATTTTATGCTAAGCGAAATAAGACAGAAGGAGAAATATTGTGTGCTTCAGTTTATATGAGGTATCTAAAATAGTCAAACTCATAGAAACAGAGCAGAATGGTGGTTGCCAGGGGGAGTGGGGAGAAGGAAATGGGAAATTGCTAATCAATGGGTATGAAGTTTCAGTAATGCAAGATAAGTTCTAGAGATCTGCTGTACAACATTGTGCCTATAGTGTTGCATTGCACACTTAAACATATGTTAAGAGGGTAAATCTCATGTTAAGTGTTTGTACGATGAAACTTCTTAAAAATTAAATTTTAAAAAGCAGCAAAATAAATGAACTGTATATAGATGAAAAATATTCTAGTTCTCAAACTCCTGGGTAAAATGTTAAAATGCTGTGTCCAGGGCCTTACCTCTTCAGATTCTGACTCAATCTGGGGTGGAGCCCTGGAGTCTGCATTTTAACAAATCCAAGCATCTGCTGCAGAAGCATGTTAAGAAGCACTGATGTGCGTGAAAGGGCCTTGTAAAAAATATGCAAAAGAAAAGTCTAAGTTGTTAGTAAACTTTGCATAGTGATAGCTGACATTTATTCATCAGCTTCTGTGCCTCAGACTCATGATCTAGGTCACCATATTACCCCGTTTTCCAGATGAGGAACTGAGACATAGAAAACAGTAAATGGCAGAGCCACGACTCAACACAAGGTGGTCTGATGCGCCATCCACTCTCTTGACCACAGATTATCTCTTCTACTACTAGTTGCCTTCAAAAAGCAGATACTTCAGAAGCTGTAGCTTGATGCTTCTGGGAATTCTACATAGCACTGCCACCTCTGTTCTTATTCACTTTTCAATATATTTATAGATGGAAAGATTTCAATGAATGAGAAACAAAGTTGGGATGTGAGAACCCTTAGGGGCACAGACATGCATGTCCACAACCATTGCAAGCTTCCTGGTTGTAGGATGAGCCCTGGGCAGGTGAAAATGTAGGTCTGACCCAGTCTAATACTTTTACATTCTTTGATTTATAAGTTGATTAAAGTTTTTGCCAATTCAGGAGGAAAAAATCACAAGAGTAGAATGTTATTCAAATTGTTTGGTATTAGGTGACTTGGTATGTTAGCGCTACTGAAGCAAATATATAGACAAGACTTTGGCTGATTGGCAGGATTTTGACTAGATTAATCAGACATTTGAGCATTATGAAAAACAATCATTTTTCTTTAACAATTATTGCCTTTTAAATGAATAAGCTAATATGAAAGTGACAAGTGAGACCTCACTAGGGGCTGAGATAGCTAACATAAATATGTAAGTTATGGCACAGACAGAAAGAATGACAAAAATTTACACATTTAAAAACATTTTATCAATTAAGAATTTCCTGTTTAATAAGTTTTATAAAACAGTAAAGTATGTGGATTAAAGAGACTCGCTTCTGTCTCCCTTACTTCTTGATGTATTTTTTTCCTCTTTCTTTCTCCCTCTCTCTTTTTTATCTCTGTAATTGCTGGCACTTTAATGTAGAAAATAGGCTCATTCGTCTTGTCTTCTAATGAGCTTTATACAGTATAAGAAAACGTAAAGTCTGGAAAGGGGTGTTAATGTTGGATCCTAAGAGCCCCAGCATTTGTACGTTTGACTCTATCATCTTTTATCATGTAACAAAAGACATAAGCCAACAAAGCGTGCTATCTATAGAAAATACTTGTAACTGTTTTGTTAACCCAAGAGTTGACCCCTTTACATGTAATTTCAGGCTCAGAATCAGATCAAAGGCCCCAGTTTGGGTTATGTGTGCACTGTGACCTCTTCCATGGTCTCTGAGTTCCCCGAAGGAGAGGTCTAGGTCTTTCTCATTGTCATCTCTTCATGCCCAGCAAGCTCGGCAGTGTTTGAGGATGAATTGCTTGTACTATGAGGAACTTGGGAGATTTGGGCAACATATTTGCTGGTGAACTGGCACTTCGGCACCTGTGTTGCTATCTTTTTACAGAGTCAGTGTGGTTTGCTGGAAAGGATAGTAGGTAGGAAGTCAGGAGCTAGTTCTTTCTTTGCCTATATGACCTTAAGAAGTCCTCTTAATCTCTTCAGGGTAAAGTGTCCTCATAAAGTGTAATACTTGGGCTAAATAGTATTCTTTAGTCTCTTCCAGCTTTAAAATTTATGTTTAAAATAGAAGAAAATGTGTCTGTGATTTTTTGTCTTTTCATTTTGAAATAATTTTGAACCTACAGAAAAGTTGAAAGAATTGTACAAAACTGCTCCTGTTTACCTTCACTCAAATTCATCAGTTGTTAAGATTTGCTCACATTCTCTCTCTCCACACTCACACACAAAATTTTTGTTTTGAAACATTTACGAGTTGTAGACGTTGTGCCCCTTTACTCCCAAGTACTTCAGAATGCATTTCCTAAGTACAATGATGTTTTCTTACATCACCATGATGTATTCATCAAATTCAGGAGAGTAAATACTGATTCAATACTATTATCTGATAGCCCATATTTAAATTGTGCCAGTTGTCCCAATATTTTCCATATCAATTTTTCCCCTGCTCCAAGACTCGTTCCAAGATTACACATTGCATTTAATAGTTGTCATGCCTGTTTAGTGTCCTTTGTCCTGCACAACTTTGAGATTTTTGAAAATTACAGGGCAATTTTTTTGTAGAAAGTCTATTAATTTGAGTTTGCCTGATGTTTCCTCATAAGATTCCAGTTATACCTTTTTATCAGGAATATGACACTAATTGAGATCACATTCTTCTCAGTGCATCACATCAAAAGGCACATAGGTCATGATGTTAAAAAAAGTTAATGTAAATTTTATGGGGGAAACATTTTCCATTCTCGCTGGATTTGAGCTCCGTCAACAAGACCATAAACAAATGGAAATTACCCAGGTATTGGAATTCTCTAGATTAAGTAAACTGACTGCCTGTATATTTTAGTTTCTATCTAAATAATTTTTATTTTGTGTTAGAAAGACTTTAAATAATAATTCCTGCACTCAACTCAAGAAACCTTAGTAAATTTGAAAAGTGTTTGAAAAGTATGATGAAGAGAATTCACATCCCATGTGATAACATGATGGATTTTTTTCTGTAAGAAAGAAATCCTAAAGGATCATCTTGTTAACATTATGCCAGGCAGGATTATGAAGGCTAAAGAGAAAAATGGGGTCAAATAATAGAACAATAACAAAAACACAGCTCTCCTGATCTTTACTTCAATACTTTTTTCACTACATTGTTGCTCCCATGAATCACTATCTGGAAGCAAATCTGGCTTTTTTAAAAAAAATAAAGAAGGCAGTTAGTCAATGACTATATGCCTTATGCCTAGTGTTCCATTATTGGAACGCTGAGCATGTGGGAGTTATTTATATCCTACTGCTCAAGGTCATCACCAAGGTCTGATTGGAAAAATTCAAAAAATTGCAACCTCAGGCATAAATTGCTTAACATGTTTCATAGCACCCTCAGAATAGCACCATGGACCAGTTGCAGTGATGATGTCCCAGTAAAAATAAAAATAACCACCTTGGATTCATTGGGCCACTTTGGGACACTGTAGTGTTACTGCAGAGCAGTAGATGGCACTGTTAATATACATTGATTTTAGTATAAAATCTGGAAAAGGGAAGTAGTATTCCAGAGATTTACTATGTGGTTGTTCCAACTAAAGTAGTGATACTTCACTTATTTGGTGAAATCCTATCAAGTCTGTAGTTGTTATGATACTTATTTTCAACTCCCCTAACCTAACTGTGGAGTTAGGTTATGATACTTATTTTCATCTCCCCTAACTGTGGAGGTTTTGCTTTTTGGCTTCTCCCCGCTCCTCACATACAAATAATGCAACTTACACATTTGGCTCCAAGAATTTAGTACTTCATTTGGTACTAGTAAGTCATTTATTATTTACCTTACAATTAATATTAGAGACCTGGGAGGATACAGGGTCTAATAATTTTATGTATTTCTTAGCTAAAGAAATATTCTTGGGAACATTTCATACTTTTGACCTGTTTGTATGTTTATATAGAAAGTTTTAATGCACCAAGTTTTTCTGATATTTGATTTAGTTGCTGAAAATAAGTCGATGGTTATTTTACTTTTCATTTAGATAAAAGTCATGAAGATCTGTTTCATATTTCATGACATCACTGTTTATTTGGAATGAGTGGGCAAGATATTTTATAACTCACGTATAAGAAACCTAAAAAGAAATCTGGAAATAACAACAACTCCATACTCCTTAATGAATTCAGGCCTTGATTATTTGCATTGAATGCAAACCTTTACTGGCTGATCACATCTTTTAAACACCTCACTTAAATTATGCAGATAAAAATTACATTCTGCCCCTTTATTTAAAAAAACCTTGAAGAAATGATTAAAACTATGTTTAACCAAATGCTTCAGATGAGAAAAATCATAAATAATGAAATGATATTTAAATTTGCTTTTTTAAAAAATAAAATCATTTAGTTTTCCATCTCAGGGTGAGAGAAGTTACACCTTCTAGAACCATGACATCATATGAAATGTTGACATCTATTATCAACCTAATTAACTATTTGCTGTTCAAATTGTGGTGAAAGTACATTGAGACTTCTTTTGTACTCTTATCGCTTGTTTAATACCAAATTGCCTGGCATCTGTGTATCAAGGCTTTGATCTAATACTCTATCAGTTGTTGGCTTAGGCACAAGAGACTGCAGAGTACACAAAGCTGTCACTGCAGACTCCAGGGAAAAAGAGGCTGTTGATATACAGTCCTGATTAGCCAAGTCAGTCAATATTTGCATGACGCAATGATAATGCCTTCTTTATGTTAGATTGTTATTTCACTGAAGCAAGTAGGAAACTTCCTTTTCAAGAGCTCAATATATTTTTCAGAAATTCTTTTTCCCTCTCAGGTACATATATGGCATTTTCTTTCATCTCTCTCCATTTCCTCTCCTGCCTTCAATGTTTGATCACACACAAATGCAACATAATGACACATTCTTGAGAAGTCTATAGTTTTTAGGATTTATATGTGAAGGAATTTTGTTAAAGTTATTATCTTACCTATAATATATCAAAATATCAGAATCAGAACTACCTCTTTCATTTTTGTGTACTTTAAATATAAAAGTTGGTTGTTTTATTCCTATTTTCTATTCTCTAACCTTCAGTTACTTGATTTGTAAACTCCACACACTGATGTCTTGATTCTACTTTCTAGCATAGACTTTAGGCTAGCACATCTTTTAATATTACTCAAATGTTAGGAGACATGAATCTTACAATATTCATATTTCAATGGAGGCAATAGAAAGCTACATTGAGCTCACATCAAAAGTTGAACATTTCTCCATTCACTTTATTTCATATTATTTTAGAAGTGTTGGCCTTTGCAATGGGGATTTGATATTTATAAGATTCTGTTTATACTTAGCAAAATTTCTAATCACATTCTATTATTTGAGATGCTCTTTCTCTCTCCAACCCTCTTTCCACTCTTATCTTTTAATATATGAAAGGAAATTGATGGTGATAAACAACCAGACTGGTATCTCCTTTAAAGTCATTCAGTCATCATTTATGAGCCAAGGATTGCGTTATTTGCTGGAGGTGACAAAAACAGCAAGACACTGTCTCTGCACTCTGAGAGAGAAAAAAACCATAAAAGTTGGCAGGAGCCAGATCACAGAGGGCCTTACAAAGAAGTTTGGGTCTTATCTTAAAATAGTATGGTGTTACAGCATTTTAAAATAAGAGGACTATGATTGGATTTATGATTTGGAAAGGCAAGGCTGCAGGATAAAGGACAGGGCAGAAGGGTGAGACTAGAAGTAGGAAGAATATAATTAGGAGACTGTATCAACAATTAGACAAAGCTAAATGTTCTTCACCTTTTGGGGCCTTAGATCCCTTTTTAGAATCACATATGTATATACACACACATAATTCACACATACTATCAGATGGTTCACAGATCTCTTAAAGTGTGTGAATTCCAGGTAAGAACTCTTTGAATAAATGATAAGGGCATTAATCAATGCACTAGCAGTGGAGATAGGGAATATCACAGATACGAGAGGTATAACAAAGAATCTATAGTATATATTGGCAGATTGAATATGAGAGGTGAGAGATGGCAGAGTCTCAGATGGCTTCCAAGATTCTAGTTATCTATGGTGACTGGGTAGATGGTAGTGCTTTCATCAAGGCAAAGAATAGAAAGAAACATGTTGACATTGTTGGAAAGCCTGTGGAATATTCTGGTGGAGGCATAGGTCTCTAGAGTTCAGTAGAGGTGTCTGGGCTGAAAGTATTGATTTAGAATCTTGAGCCTGTAAACAGCCATAGGTTGAGTTCACCTAATGAGATAATGTAGAGTAAGAAAGAGAAGGGCAGGCCATAATCCTTGGGGAACACCAGCTTCGAAGGCTCCGTCAAAGAAAGAGGAGTGAACGAAGTAGACAGAGTTATAAAGAAAAACAAGAGTGAAGAGCCTTAGACTCCAAAAGAAGAAATAATATCCAAGAAGGCATGGGCCACAACATCAAGTATTTCAAGGACAAATACCTCTAGTATTTCTTTGCATGTGACAATTAGGTAGTTATTGATGATTCCCACCAGAAGAGTTTCAATAGAATTGGGCTGAGATGAAGGTGATAAGCCACACTGCTGAAAGTTAAAGAGTGAGTGGGAGATGAGAAAGTGGCTATGGAATATTCAAGGACATTGTGATGGTAAGATGAGTGATTGAACTAAAATAGATATATACACATATATATCCGTATTATATGTATATATGTGTATGTGTGTATATATGTATATACTCTCTATCGATAGATATCTATCTAGATATCTATTGATAGATATCTATATAGATCTATCTAGATATCTATATATATATAGAGACAGAGTGTGTGAGTGTGTTGCTGGGTCAAAATACATGTACATTTTTAATGTGGATAGATATATATGATTGCCTCCCCCTAAAAGGTTACATTCATTCATTGCTATAATTCTTTACAGGAGTATCCTGTTTCCTACCCCATGGATAGATATACACTATTGCCTCCCCCTAAAAGATTATATCCATTCACTTCTATAATTCTGTATAGGAGTATCCGATTTTCTACCCCAACAGCTATATATTAACATGCCTTCCAGCTTTTTCTTGTCTGATGGCAAAAACTCTTTAATTTGCTTTCTGATTATTCACAAGGTTGCACATCTTCTTATATGTAATTTTTAGCTATTCATATTTCTTTATCTGTGTCTTACTTGTTTATAATCTTCATCCATTTTCCTATTGAGTTTGCTATTTCATTGATTTGGAAGAACTCTTTACAAATATTTTTCACCTGAAGATGTTAAAAGCATTTTCTTCCAGGCTGTGTTGTGTGTTTTAACTTTATTTATGGTGTCTTTATCACAACCATATATGTCAATCTTTACCTTTATAAAAATGTAAAATATTTTCATTTTATTCCAGTGTTTAATAGATTACATATGGCTTTGTTTCATCTGAAATTTGTGTGAGACATAATACAGAGCACAAACTTTATTCTTGTGAAATAGTTACTTGATTTTGCCAATACCATGCATTAAATATCCACTCTTCCTGGTGGTTTGAAATACCGCTTTTATTATATACCAAATTCTATATATACAGGGGTCTGTTTTCAGATTTTATGTTTGTTCCATTAGTATGTTTGCCTATTCCTGCACTATGTTTACACTGCTTTTAAAAATAGAGCTTCATATGATGTTTGATATCTGGTAGGATAAATACTCTTTTTCCTTCTCTCCTGCTCCTGGTCTGGGCTGTGTTTCCCTCTGGTTTTGTTCTTGTCAATACACTCCCCTTTGATTTTCTATCTTCTAGGATTCCTTAGAATCTCTTGTCTGCTGATGAAATTTTTATTTTCTAATATGCTCATTAAATTTATTATTTTAAAATATCTGTCTTTTCTTGGGTTGGAGCCAGGAGTAGATGCATGTGTTTTGTCTGCCATCTCGATACACTTCCTCAGAGGGATGCTTATAAAATAATCTACATGTGGCCAGTTGGTTGTCACCTTACAAAGCAAACAACATACAGCTGTGTAAGGATTGTTAAGTAACCATTCTGTATTCTGGAAATCTTTTAATGATCAACAACAGTTTGATGTATAATATATTTTATAGGCCTCATTGTAAAGAAATGAATGTTGATACCCTAAAGTGCTGATTCAATCTCTCTCAAAGTGTTTTCCCTTCAAATTAGTGTTTGTCTGCTTATATTCTGTGCTTGTCTTACCTTGGGGATGATTTCTTAAAACAAATTATGAGGCACATTCTGGCAATAAGAAATTTCCTAAATGTGATGTTTAACATTGGTGCCTAGAAATCATAAGTTCAATTGACTGTATTTTGTTATTTTTTTTCTTTTGAATGGGGAAAGGGTAGAAGAATCTGTTTTCTTCACAGATGAAATTTTCCATTAAAGGAAGCTATTATATTTCCATATCAGTACACTTATTTTATACTCAACCTCTCTAGGGATGACAGCCTGTTCAGCAGGAAAGCCCTAAAGGTCATCCAATGACTAGATTGATACATTTCACGGAAAAATTGAGACTAACTTTCTTACTGTGAAATATAGAAACCTGAGTCATCATTACCATAAACTCATAGCAGATCTATAGTTACCTTTGAAATAAAAGGGGATTACAGGACATTCTTGTTTTGATGGTGGGCTCCAGTTTCTCATCCTCAAAAATTTGGTTCTCATATTAAAATACTATTAATACAAAAATTATGCCATATGAAGTGAGTATCCAAAGATTTCTAAATAAAACATGTACTGAAATTAGTAAAAATTTCTCATAGTGTTATATGGGATTAACGGCGATTTCACAAATGGGAATACCTTTTTAATTCTTTCTACTTATTTACCTATTTATTTGGAAGTACAGTATTACAAACTAGGGAGCGGCTAAGACTGGCTAAGCAATCATGCTGGAAATTATTGCATAGCTCAGCAAAATATCCTAAAAATAAAAATATGCCTTACTTTTATGTCCAGGAACTTTTTATTATTTCTGACTTAGAAAATGTTATTTCTAAATTTTTAATGCTAGTTATACTTCTTTCTTTTGGTCACCATAAGGCTTTCTAGCACTTTCCTCAAAGGAAGGGAAATTAAATAAATGGGTATAACTCAGTCCACTTTGGTGACAGCTTGTTTGTGAGCTCGAGTTTGGAGACAGAATAAATTGGACTATTTGCTAAAATGGGGTTTTAGGATTATTCAAGAGGAAACAATTTCATGTATGGCTTTTCACTCTGGTTAGTCTTTGATTGTAGATCCTACATTTATTACTGTGTAGTCAGTATGCTTACAACTGGGCATCCCAATGGCTAGGAGATAATGTGAGTCTCTGGACAAACACTCCTGCTGAGCCAGAAATGCTGTCAGAATTTCCTCAAAGAATGATCTCAGTGTTTGTCTTTATTCTGATTTCAATCACACGGTGATTTGTCAGGGCTTTATAAATGCAATTTAATCCTGTTCAATTTCCAAGGAGGGGTGAACATGCAACAAAATGAATTAACTAGGCCAATCATAATCAAACACTGCAGAAAGCCAGGCAGAACCCACCATATGCCAAGGGTGTATAGATCTCATCCTGCCTGGGAAAACTTGACACTCCGCCTGGTGCAGGGATTGGGAGGGTAACTGAGGGAGGTAAGGAGGTAGGATATCCCTTAGGGAAGGAGCATCACTCCTCTCAGGAGATCTGTTCCTATGACTTTCAACAAAGCACCACCGAATTGTCATTGTATTTTGTGAGTAGCTAAATTCTTCTGGGAATTAAGGAAAAAATTTGAAGTTGCCATGAAGGTAGCCTCTTCCCAATTACACCTTAGCTAAAGGTAGCACTCTGATTCTCTGAGGATAATTGGTCCATCTAATAAAATCACATTGAATCTGGAGCAATCCTGAGTGTTTTCTAAGCTCAAGCTAAGAAATGCTGCTTTCAAGGGGCAGCAGTACAGCATTAAGAACATGGTATGGCCCTGCGGGCTGGTTTTACTACTGATTACTTATGTGACCTTGGGTGAGTGACTTAACTTCAATGAGCTTTTGTTTTTTTTTTTTTTCATTTGTAAAATGCAGATAATACCCTCATGGTGTTGATGTTGAAATTAAGGGAGACAATGAAAGTAAAGTGCTTAGTACACTGCATGGCATGTGGTAAATGCTCCATAAACATTCATGTTATTGTTTTCAGTATAAGCAGTCAAAAATACCAAAATTTTTCTTCATGCAACAAATATTTATTGTGCGTTTACTATATGCCAAACTTGCCAAATACTGGAGAATATTTGAAAAATACCTTATTCAGTGACCAAAGTAAGAATCTGCATCTCTGTTGTTGGCTGTAGATGGCAATTTCTGCTTCCTGGCCTTACTTCTTTAAAGAAAAAAATTTCCCATGCATTAGTCACTTAGATCAACCCATTGCCACATTTTTTTAGTGTTGAAAGCTAATATATTTTAGTAATGCTTCAATGAACTGTGGTAGCAACAAATAAAGAAATTGACTTCTGTCCCAAAATATGGGGAGTAGAGTTGTAATCAGGATTACAAAAAAAAAGGGGCCAGTATTACAAGCTGCTAAAATGCTTTTGCGTGGATTATTGTTTTATTTGGACCCCCTCCACCCTTTAAATCTGATACATGCTAAGATTTTCATGGGCACAGCCACCTCCTAATATGTGGTTTTGCTTCTCTGCAAGCATGGAATCCCCTCTGCAGTTATGTTTGCCTGTGCATCTCCGGCAGCTGGAGGACGAATCACATCAGGCTGATGAGTGTGTCACGCTCTTCATCCCCCAAGTGAGTGCACTCCCAGGCCCACCTTTCTGGAAAATGTTCTTTGGTGCAGGGTGCATGGTGGGCCAGGGAATTGTCTGGGCTTCCCATTAATCTCAGAGGATGGGAGGGTAATCCCTTCACAAATATGGGAATGGGGGCTGCTCTGAGGCTGGCAAATAATAAACAATGAGGGTTTCTTTTTTTTCTTTTTAATCCTGGATTCCTCCAGCCCTCCTCTCTGTAGTCCTCAGCAATAACTTAGCCCTTGTCTTCCTCTCTGAAGGATTTAAATGGAATGACCTTAATTCTCGCTTTGTTTGCACTCTATCTCTTAAGGAGCTGTGATGAAGACCAAGACAAACAGTAGATTAACAGTGCTACCTTTTATAAGGCTGATTAGTTCCTAAAATATGCTGAAAGGAAACAAAACCAAAAAGAAAAAAGAGTGGAAAGGGGGGTGAGACAGAAACCTTTGTCGGTGAGTTTGAAACAGCTCCATTTCTTTCATTAGTTGCAGATATTGACCTTCCGATGAAATATTTTCTTTGTGTGGGAAGGCTTTGCCAGGGTAGCATTTATTAGGCAGGTGCCTGGTAAGTGTTTCTAAGCAAATATTACTTTACTGCCTAATTTTGGTTTAAGGGGAGAGTTGTACCAGGGATGAATTTGGAAAACATTTGATGATGGTTCATCTGCCACCCCTTAGAGCAGGGGCTATCGAGTGGTTGACAGTATCCAAATCAGAATTCCAAAGACGCTGTTCCATCCGGAATCATTAAGAGGAACACAGCCTCTTAGAATCTCATTCAGCTCCTCTGGATTTGAAGGAATTTACAGAGAAACTTCCAAGACACCTCAGCTATATCCAAACGAAAGCCTAAGCATTATGGTTTGGCAGAGCTGAAAATGTGTCTCTGGAAAGAAAAAAAAATTATATAAAGCTCCACAGAAAATATTTCTGGGCATCAGCTTGTTTCCTTTGAGGGATGGGAGGTTGTTCCTGAAATTGTTCAATTTGATTTAAAGTTAAATAAAAATGTGAAAGACCAGGGTACATTAATAAGATGATCCACCTGCTTATAATAATAGGATAATTCACATCCTCATTGTCAGAGTAGAAAGGATCCCAATAAGGTCAGTCTTTAAACTCAGTATGTTTCATTCTTTGGTGCTGTCTCACTTAGATTCTCAGCGCCACTTGTCTGCCCTTCTTTTCCACTATGCACCTTTATTGCAAATTTAGTTCCATTAGGTAGATGCTTGCATCGTTATGAAGCCTGATTCCATCATTTTCAAAGTGCCAAGCCATTTGAATACGATACGGTCCTTGGTCATATTTAATCCAAACATTTACACACATCCAGCCCCTTCTTATCTTTTTAAATAGGATGCAGGGCTTATTTTTAAATTACATCCTCATTCATGCTCCGTAAAAGCATCAAGTAAAACCATCCATGGGATTTACATTCTGGTCCATAGTTGTTGCTTCCAATTCCTGGCATGGCCATTAAATCCTAGCCTCAGCATAATTCTCGGCATGACACTCTTGTGTCGAGGCAAAAAAGGAAAAACAGAAACAGCCATTTTTTTTTCTCTCCCAGAAATTAAGCTGCATGGAGGAGCACTGTAGCTTTTGCTTCCTTCCCTATGTATACCTAATTTAAAGGGCATCTTAAAATAAGGCTCCCCAGAAAAGGGATGTCAGTGGGAAGTTGAGGTGCTTGAAATAAAGCAAGTGCTTACTAAAAACGGATATGTGCATGATTTCTTTTATCACATGTCAATTAGATGTACATCTATTCAGGGGAGGTTTCTGTTGATATAATGAGTTTTCCTGTGACTTGAGTGCCATAACTGTCACCACAGCATCCCAAAAGTCCTGAGTCATCTGTGGTTGCCCCTCAAACCCTTGGTACGGTCTATTCCATGAATTCCCCCTTTCCCCCAACAAGCTCACTCTCCTATCAGCTTCTAGTCTCAGCTATTAGATTCAGTCATATAACAAGTACACAGATGCCCCAAAGCTATAGAGCCTTAGCTTGCTTTCTTCAATTTCTATGCAGTTACTGGCATCATAAGAAATCTCTTATCAATTTGGAAAGGCAATTGGAACAAACTAGTGTTTGCTTAATTAAACCCACACCCACACCCACACACACACACACACCCTGGTCTCCACCTACCTTGTCTCATTTTGTACTTAGAAACTCCTGATGGTGCACTGGGGGCTGCAGGGAGAGTCTGCATGAGATCCCCAAATGATCACAACTGTGCAATTGTCCTGGGTGCACTTCTCTGATAGGCTGCCATTTGTTCCCACTCACCTAGAGAGCTTGTGGATAGCCTGAGAGGGTTGAGCGTGTGTGTGCGTTTTAACAAATTTTCAAAAGTTGCCATGGGGAGAGAATAGAAAGAAAGCCCTTCAAAAAGGAAAATTATTTTCACAGCATCATCACTAGAAAACACCCCTGCAATGGATATCTTTGAAGGTCGGCTGCAATCTGAACTAATTGGGGAGGGAGGGAGAGCTTTCAATTTTGCTCACCTTTTATAAGGGGTCTCAGAGAAGTGGTCGGTAGCCAAATGCTTCCTGCAATGAGTGGTTTGGGCACTTTCTAAGCAAAAAGGAAAGGCTCTTCCAGCTTCTTCTTGTTCATGTCACTGAGAGAGGTCACCACCTGCCCTCTTACTTGCCACTTCTGATTATTGGGTAGGTTCTGCTCCAAAAGTCATCTTTTGTGGTGAGGACATAAATCCCCTCCCCAGTGATGAAATGCTTGATAAGAAGGAGGGGTGGAAGCAGGTAGAGTGAGCTGGAAAGCCTCAAGATCACAGCCAAGGAGCATTAGTCATAGGACTTTACTGAAAATCAACCTCAATCTCTGTGAATGTACTACATTAAACCAATAACAGACAACAAGCTTGTGAATATTTGGCACTGTGATGAAATCGGCCGCAGCCCTTCCACAGTGGGGAGGGAGAGAAGCCCAATCTAGGAAGTGCTGGTACTCCTCCCTGGAGTGTGTCTGTTGTGATTGCTAGCTGGTTTCCACAGATCCTTGCTGAATATTATGCCATTAAACAGTATGAAAGAAAATCAAAATATATGTTTACTGGGTACTAAATAGTAAGTGCCCTTTCAAATGCTCTTTAATGGCTACGCTTTGAAGTCATCGTGGAGCACCCTCAGAAAGCGAGAGCAGCATGTTTCACAGATTTCTGTTGCTGTAAACCACTATGAGAGGCTGAACAAACGCACGCTGAGATTTTTGAACACCCCACAACTCTGGACCCTTAAAGGCATATTCAGAGAGAAAACAGCCTTCTGCCATGTATATTCTTTAATGTATAATTTTAATTGAAAAATTGCCGATGGCTTCAGCTGAATTTTCTCAGATTGAATGACAATCAACGTCTGGTTCTGCATAATAGATATACTTCCTGGGGAAATAGGGAAAGGAATGTATGTTTCAATGGTGACTTATAGTGAGCAGTGGCTAAATATGACAAAATACTTGTGTGAAGATACAGGAATGACCATTTTCATTTATAAACTAACAATAGTCACACATCACTTAACAGGGATATGGTCTGAGAAATGCGTTGTTAGGTGATTTCGTCATTAAATGAACATCAGAGAGTGCGCTTATAGATGGTGGAGCCTATATACGATTAGGCTATATGGTGTAGCCTCTTGCTCCCAAATAAACATATATTTTGATTTTCTTTCACACTGTTTAATGACATACTGCTCCTAGGCTATATGATGTAGCTTATTTCTCCTAGGCTACAAACCTGTACACCATGTTACTGTACTGAATACTGTAGGCAGTGGTAACACAATGGAAAAAATGTGTGTCTCTAATCATAGAAAGGGTGCTACAATACTATAAGGGACATCATGATGGCTGTGATAGCACTAGATAAGAGGAATTTTTCAGCTCCTTTATCTTATGGGACCACCATTATATATGCTGTCCATCGTTGACCAAAACATTATGTGGCACGTGACTGTACAGTTCTTGTAATTTCTTGTTCATTGTGTTTGTATTATGTTAAATGTACTAGTACTCAATGTGTGAGCAGACAGGGAACAGAATACAAAGTCCAGAAATAGGCCAAAAACATAATATACTTTAGTATCTGATAAAGGGAACACAAAAAGTCGGTGGTAGGGAAAGGATGAATTATTCCATATTTGGTGATAGGATAACTAGAACGACCTGGAAATATCTAAAGTTGGATCTGTAACTCATACTGCTCAAGGATAAAATCTAAATGTTAATATTAAATTTAAAAGAAAAAATATTCAAGCAGTATAAAATTCATGGGAGAATTTATAACCTTGGAGTGGAGAAAGAAGCCATAAAGATGGATGTGACTGCATAAAAATCAGAACTTCTGCATGGAAAAAACTCCAGATACGCAGTCAAAACACAGATGACAAGTTGGGAAAAAATATTTGCAACTCATGACACACTTAAAGGGAAAATTTCCCAAATATATAAAGAACTAGAAATCAATAAGAAAAATATTAACACTCCAAAAGAAATATGGACAAAGACTTTAAGGAGAAGATTAACATGAAAAGAAATACAATTGTCTTACAACATATAAAAAGATATTGACATCACTAGTAACAGAAACTAAAACTCTAGAGTGCTACTATTTTTTACCTATCAGATTGGCTGAATTTCAAGAGTTTAATACTATCCTTTGTTGTCAAAGTTGGGAAAACAGGTACTTTACACTGTCAATGGGAGTGTAAATTGGAATAACCTCTATAGAGGGGAATTTAACAATTTGCATCAAAATTACAATTGCAAATATACTCTAACCTATAAATTTCACTTCTGGGATTTTATCTTTTATATATATTTGCATACATAAGAAATAAATGCACAAGGTTATTCATTATAAAGAGCGGAATTTTGAGAACACACCAAATGTCCATCAATAGGGATTAAATAAATTATAGTGCATCCATACAATGGAACACTGTGCTGTTGTAAAAAGAAAAAGGGAGAAGATCTCTGTGCTCTGATGTGAAAAGACAACCAAATATAGTGGTAAGTGAAAAATGCAGAACCATGAATAGTATGCTACCATTTGTTCATGCAAGAGGCAAAATAAAAATCTTAGTATTTTGAAAAAATATTTTCATAAAGAAACTCTAGAAAACTACAAAAGAAATGAACAGTAGTCATATAACAGTAGTTATATGTGAAGGAGTAAGAACTATACAGATGAATTTTAGGCATGGGAAGGAAAACTTCACAGTAAACCTTTAATCTTTTTTTGTTTTCCAATCATATTTTACCAAATGTTCCCTACTTAAAACTGTATCATTAAAATAATTAAATGAAACAGCTGAATAAACCATTTCACAATCAAATATAGCAAATAAAAAAATTTAAACCGAAAATAACTATACCAGTACTGATGTTGATTACATCTACCAAAGCAATGATGGAAGATGACTTAGAGCAATTTTGATAAGAGCCATTATGAATTTGGTCCTAGCCTATGATATACCCCTTCACTTACCATATCCGTATGCTATATGCCTCTGTTTTCTGGCTCAAAAAATTGGGAAAATTGAAAAATAAATCAAGGAGGGATTATATTTATTTTGGTTAGCTTCAAAAACATTTTTTACCATTTGAAATAAGAAATTCTTCTTTGCAGTTATCTCTAATTTTTTTGAAAAAATCATTTCTACATTCCCAAAGTAGCAATTGACCTGAATACTATCTTACCACTAAAAGAAAGTTTGCCCAACTCTGAATTCTGCTTCAAATCTTCACTTCTAACATATCTTTAGGTTAAACAGAACATAAGGTTAAAGTAGCACAGCCTGGAGAATCAATGAGTTGATGCTACAATTGTATAGTTAAAAACTGTATTTACTCTAAATTGCAAAATGGTAGGTATTGTATGTGATGTTTAAGTCACAGCAATTGTTCTAGTAATAAATGTAATATTCAGCAGCATTTTCATAGATTACTCAGTTCATCATTAGTGCCATTTTTGCCTCTTTATAATAATGTGCACTTTAGAAAGAGCTTGGTTATTTCTTTGGTTGGGCCTATTTGCTCCTTTTTTATGTGAGATTTTTCAATACTATGAAATGATGCAGAGCAAAAAAGGTCCATCCACTTCACTTGTGTTGCCTCCTGCGTTACCTAAACCACAACAGAACAATGACAGACAACAGAGCCTTTCTCCTCTCTAACAATTCAGTCACCATGACAACCAGCAGAAGAACATTGGGCCAGAAAAAAGCATTGAGCTTGAGGGACTAGACTAATCAAAAAATGGAATAACATGGCAACAATTACACTGATGAGTGAGAGGGAAGCTACAGATGCATTCAGACACCTATGGCACCACAGACTCAACGCATTCAGCATTTTGTGTTTAGTGTCTTGTGTTTTTGAGAGCAGGTAAATAGACAAGATCAAATTGTGTAACAGAATGTCAGTGCTCTAGTTAAATAGAAAATTCCTTTCCTTTGGCAGTGCTACTTCAAGCACGTTGAAGAGTGTTTAGGGGAGATGAGGTTTTGAAGTGAAATGTGTAATAGATACAATATGAGTGCCACAAAGCAACATTATTTAGTCTTAAAGTAAACTTCAGTATGCCTCCCACCCCTTATTTTCAAATATATAGGCACAAATAAAGGGAGAATGCTGCTGGGTTCGTGGCTGATGCTTCATGTCAGGAACATACATGATTCTCTTCTGTTAACATGTTTCTGGGGGTAGATTGATTCCTATAGACAAAATCAAGCACCATGATGTTAGGCCATTTTCATTCTAATGTCTGGAGGAAGTTGAGCCCATCATGATAGTTCTGTGGGTCAGATAACACGAGGACAGGATTATAGCTGTGTCTCCTACTCATCTGCCTCCACAGCTGCCTCCATTTACTTCTTTCAAAATTTTCTCCTGATTCCTGAGGAGTTTAGTATAATAGATGTGCATATCTCTTTAAAATGGCATTTCTATTGCCATTCCTTCTTGATTGCAGGAATAGGTTGGATTGTAAACAGGCTGTATAGACATTGACCCTTGCCTCAGTTGCTCTGATTAAATTTTCTCACAATTTTTGTAAATATGTGTTGTGTTTACATAATTTAGTGGATATTTTTAGTGAATCACATTTTGTGGTTTTAATGAATAGGCTTTTCAAAGGCAAATTTTTCTTTCCCCTAAACAGAAATATTTGAATTAGGATTATTTTATTAAATCAAACAGGAACTGATAACCTCTCCTCAAAGAAAGTAAAAGGCATGAAATACCATCATTCTCATGGAGAAACTGGAGGTGAGAGAAATGAGACCTAACCCTGTAAGTTGCCCAGCAACATTTGTGTTGGGATGGGGTTAAGGCTCCAGTCTGGAGACTTTGAGCTAGTGCTGTCCCCTCAGAGCCCACAGACTATAGCATCTCCAGTTGTTATCTGTTCTATCACTTAGTACATTTTCTTAGTCTTGTTATTTTGACATTCTGTGACTCAGTTTACCTATCTATAAAATGGGCTTTTTGACTATGTTATTGTTAAAAAATGATGATGGGACAGGGGGAAAAAAAGGAGGCAGTTTACTTTGACCCTATAAGTAAATGTTTCTTGATGAAGTTTTCTATATGAATGAATGATTGATTTTATTTTGATCTTGGTGTGAAGCCAAACACTTCTAGCTAGAAATTCTTCATTAGAAAGATGCTTTTAAATTGTCTTTCCTGGGTTACTTTTGTTCAGGTGAAAGAAACAGCATGGTTAGAGTAATGGCAGCCACTTAAAATGTTTATTCACAATTCATCTACTTCTCAAAAAGAATTTGAGACAAGTTATAAAGTTCTAATAAAACAGATTCATTCACAGAAGCTACAAAAACATGAAGTGGTAATCGAAGAAAAATTCATATCAAGAAATCCTGGCAAAAAGAGTGCAATTTCTAGCTCCGAGGTTTCCAACAGCCGGGCAGAGAGAAACCCTGCTGATTACAGAATCCTCCTCAACTAATCATAAGAATTGTGTTGGTTCTTTAAGGGAAACGACCTTTTCCTGGCCCTTAGCTCCTCCAAGTGGAGTCTGTCCTGAGAAGTGGTGTATGGAGGTGGCCAAGGCATTGGCAGAGGAGGCGGCTTTCAGCAGAGTTGGGAAGAGCCCGTCCTGGAGGAAGACTTGTCCTTCTGACTTTGGCTGATGAGCCATTCTAAGTCAGGAGCAGAGGAGAATCATTCCTTTCCCCTCTGTCATCAGAGGAAGGATAAGGAAAGAGGAAAGAAAGGGAAAAGAACATACTCTTCTGGGCTTAGAAGCAATCCACATCCCTTGAAAGCAAGTTACAACAGTTTATTTGGAAATCACCATATAGAGTAGGGCTTGAATTTGGCCAAAATATTTTTTACCAAAGACCTTCTTGCTTTAAAATAAAGCAGCTGATAATCAGATATTTGGAAGGGGCCCATCCAGCTGCAGCGGGCCTCCTCCCTGAAGGCGGCCAGTTTGAGCTGCTGCCAGGAGATTGTGTCAAATGCGAATGAAAAATAAGGGTTTTCTATGAGATTATTGTGAAAAGGTGAGAAAACAGCTAAATCAGCTGTGTAGGAGATAAACAGTGATATCTTGAGTAGACTCACACTACAAAAGCCAGATTTTAGACAGCATAAATGTGCTCATTCTTTCTATACAGTCTCCAATATTTTACTTTACTGTGAAGAAAATCTGCTTATCAGTCTTAACACCCTTCTCTGAGTTGCCAGATAAAAGGCCTCAGCAACTGGAAGAAATATATCTTTAAAATGTTTCTATTATGCTTGGTGACAATGCCGTTTCCACTGAGGACTTCTCGAGTATGTTTTTTGTTTTTATTTTTTTCCTATGGATGAAGCAGGAATCAAAAAGGACTTTTCGCTTTGCCTCAGGAGAACAATACGGGCATGCAAACACCGAGCCTGGCACTGCATTAAGCTCTGAAAATGCTTTCGGGAACTGGTGGCGCCGTGCACGTGCATCAATGCAAGGGTCTTTACGTTCTAGGAAATCTATCACAGTATGACAATCTGTGCGAGGCTCCCAAACTGAGTTTGTTCCTGTCTAGTTCTATTTCCCAGAGTGGCCTCACACTTTCTGAAATATGTCTGTAGGGGAGGAATTCACTAGTCGTTCAGACTAAGGGAAGAAGTCCGTGGCTCAGTTCATTTACCTTCGCCCCTTCTGTGCCTTCATTATAGCATAATGAGGCGGCCGCTTATGGGGTGTCTGTGTGCAGGCACCAAGTGAGTCACTTCACTTATATCACCGCCCACCCTCACCGCAGCCCTGTAAAAATAAGTATTCTTAACCTGTCTGAGGTCATGCATTAACTTGGCATTCATTCAACACATTATTGAAGGGCTTATGCTATAGGCTGGCCGACGCAGTTACAGATGTTGAGGGACCAGTGATAAACAAGATGTGTCCCTCTAACATAGAAATGAGAACACTGACCAGCAAAAAAGTTATGGGGACTGAGGAAGAACAGAACCAGAGTGTGAAGCTGTTTGTAATTCTGCAGCCCATACTATGCCTTTACACTGTGCAGCTTCTCTTGCCTGGTGCCGTCTTCTGATTTGTGTTTCCTAAGGTTAAGAGCGCTGACTTGGGGGCTCAAGGTAGTTTGCTACACGTTCACTGGATAATCTCAGAAAAGTTATTAACTTCTCTAGCCTCAATGTCATCTGTAAAACAAGAATAGTAATACCAACTTCATAAGTATGCTGTGTAACTTAAATGAGATTGTGCGTGTAAAGCCCAGCACGTAAGTGCTCAGTTAATGTGAAGTATTTTCTTCACTATGCTTCTTACACCGAGGAACCTCTCTGAGGCTGTTTGCTTTCACCTAAAATATCTGCTTCCTACTCTGGCCAGTGTTGCCCCATAGGCAGTCAGAGTTTTTCCTCTGACCTAAGGTGACACTTGTCATAAGGGGTCTACAGGAACAAAGATGGAGAATTGTTCTTACACTCAGGATCATATTTATGACCTTACATAATATTAAACAGTGGAAAATAATGGTACTAATCTATAAAAGGGGCATAATTTTCTGTAATGAACAAAGAGACATTGCAAAATGTTTGAGGACAGTTACGTTTCTCTTCCTTTCTCCTAAATCCATTGCCCCAAGACTTTTGCTTGCACCTGCCATAACAGAAAACAGGAGAGATGGGTGAATAGGGAAGAGTGGTCCCAAGAGGAGGGCTATAAAAATTTTAGTTTTAGCACCTGATTCCTGAGACACACACAAGAGCAAATTATCACCCTCTGTTCCTATGTTCATCTCTCTTGTTAGACTGGAGAACATGTCAAGGAAATGACACTCTTACGCATCTTTGTCATTTTAGTGTCTTTCATGGTGCCTAGCATATAAGAAGTGCTCATTAAATATTGTGGAATGAATAAATTAATGCCAAGTGAGCCCAAAAGTTTTGTTTGTTGCTTTAAAGTTTACACATTTCTGCATTGCAGAAGGACTAGAAAAACATGTCAAGATGTAATGTGGAACAGTAGTGCTGAGATTTGTGGTGTTTTTTTCTTCGTGCTTTTAGAGTTTTATCGTTAATAACATAATAGCAATTGATATCAAGGAAAGATCTTTGACTTCACTTGTGAGGTGGAAGACACTGGCATTTCTAGACTAAGGAGTGACATGACATGTGCCGGAGCCTTGGAAAGTTCAGTGCAATGGTGGTGGGCAGCACCATCCTTGCCCTACTCTCTTTAGGCTCTGAACAGACCATGGTTAATGTGCCTCTGTAGTTCAAATCACGTAACTCTTCCATGGATCTCTCAGTACTTTGGAGCCATTATTGCATTCAGCATTCCAATTAGGGGGCCGGGCATGACAATTCCACCGGACAGAAGATCAGGAAGACTATGCCTTTGACTCAAGTTTAAAATCTTACACCCTGCTCTCCTATAATCTAACCTTCTATCCCTTAGCTCAGAGTGACTTATTTCCCCCTTCCTCCTCTGTGCTAAATGCCTACTGATGTGAGCAATCAGCATGAGCCAGGGTACCTAATTATGTTTAGTTTACAAGCAATGTCATTCTTAATGGCTTCAGAAAGTTTCATTCTTTATCCTTTCCTCTGCTGCAACTGACTCTGGTAACTAATTGCTTTCAGCAACGATCTACATACTCCTATCTCTTCTTCACAAATAGATGGGAAATAAAGGTATTATAGTCTTTGAGCTCTGTTGGTTCCACATTGGTCTGTGATGTTGTTATAAAGGTTATGAGTCACTGAAGAACAAGTTCAAGTCTATTCTTCCCCCTGAGATCCCACAGCTTATTTTTTAAAAATTGTATGGTAAGTCATCATGCTGTCATTGGGTCTACATAGGAGGACAACTATGTCTCCTAGTGCAAGTTCAATGGCTGGTTGGTTATTTGGCTTCTTGGGTGTCACAGGCACAAGTGCACCCCTACACCCCTCTAGGCAACCACAAGACTCTTTCTCTGGCCAGAATTAATTATTGGGAAGACAACACCCTAGATTAGGAGAAAGTGAACAGGCCTTACAGCATAAATAATTTCTAAACTTAGTCTTGACTAGACTTTATATCTCCTTAAAGAAAATTATTGATAGCATAAATTAGATCTCCCAAACATACAGATTATTTGGCAGTGAATTAGATGATCTGGGGAGATAATCGAATAAATAACTCTCCACAGATGAGTCAATGAAGGCATCATCTTTCCCAGGCATGTGCTTTCTTAGTTAGCTCATGCCTGTTTCTAAGAGGCCATCAAAGGGTGACACTAATGGTTGGCATCCAAGTCCCTGAAGAGACTTTTGGTCAGATGGTACTTTTGGTCAGTCCTATCCTAGAAGGGACTCCCTAATACAACTTCTTACCTAACATCAGGAAGTCATCTTTTTGGACAGGCTTTTCAGAAAGTCCAGAGTCAAGCCCTTGTCACTTTAGATACATTTAATATATTCTGGAAAGTCTTTTTTTTTCATTTTAATATGGGAATTATTGAGCTTGCTTACTTCATGGGCTGTTAGGAGTTTTTAGTGGGTTTAATGCTGATCCCCCAAAAGATATGTCCACCCAGAACCTCAGAATGTGTCCTAATTTGGAATAAGAGTCTTATGGATTCAATTATGATAGTGATCTCAAGATCAGTTCATTCTGGATTATCCAGGTGGCTCCTAAATCCAATGACAAGTGTCCTTAGATGAGACAGAAAAGGAAAAGACAGACACAGAGGAGACTATCACGTGAAGACAGACACGGAGATTGGGGTTATGCTGCCCCTAGTCAAGGAACACCTGGAGCCACTGGAAGCTGGACAAGGGGGCAGATTCTCCCCCAGGACCTTCAGAGGAAGCACAGCCCTCCCCACACCTTGAGCCAAGTCTTTTGGCCCCCATATCTATGGGAGAATACTTTTCTATTGGTTTAAGCCATGCAGTTTGCAGTGATTTGTTAAGCAACCCTGGGAAACTAATACAAGTACATTCTTTGAGGGTCATAGCTCTAAGGAGTGGCAGAGTGGTTTTTGGTGGGTCTGTTCCCTAGTGTCATTTTCTGGGAAGTGTGAATTTGATTGCTTTGTTGGGGTTCTATCTTCTGGTACCCGATTAGGGATATTTGGGCTCACTCACTCCCAAGAGGCCCAAAGTTCAGTACATGGCTGGTGGGTTTTGGTCCAAGGCTGATTATAAATGCAATAAATTCTTCATGCAATTTTAAAACAAACAAATTGTCCCTAATGCCATTTTCACTAGGAGTTAAACTTCTTGAACATGAGACAAGGAACACCAAAGGCACAAACAATAATTAACTCCTGATTGCAGGGCAGGGCCAAGAAGTCTTGTTTTGTTATCAGTTCTCTCAGAGATTAAACATTTGATTAAACATATTTCAGCAACAGAAACTACTGAAACGGCTTTTGAACTATTTTAGTCACATAGCTGTATATTTACCTTCACCCAATGAAACAGTATCCTGTACTCTGCTCATTTGTTTATGTGCTTGAAGGAATTGGGTCTCCACGTCTATTTATTCTGCCCTTTCTTGAATATGAAGGAAATGACTCAATTCAAGAACTATTTGGCCAGTGCCTACTATGTGCTCCATACACTGAGTTGATTGGGTTAGGACAGAAGTAAAAAGCAAAGTTTCCAAATGCTTTCAGGTTAATCAAGGAAGGAGAGTGTACAAGTAATCCATGTGTCAAAGATACTTGTACCACCCAAGAGAGACACCTGGAAATGTCCCCTTTTTCTCTTCAGCAGCTCTTTCTTGGTTTATTTTCCAGGCCTCTACCTCTTCTAGCAGCTCTTAAATAGAGGAGTTCCACAAGGTTTGAGTAGAGGCTTTTTCCCCGCTTTATCTCTCTACCTGGGCAGGAAAGTCCATGCCCTCCAATGCTTTAGTTACTAACAAAATCCCCTAATATTCCTCTTCTGCCCAGAGCATTTCTCTGAGCTCTGAAATGCTACATACAACTGCTTAACACCTCATGGATGGCACACAGGCATCTCATACTCGACAGGCACAAACAACTCATGATCTTTGACCCCTTGCCTCAGACTGGACCACCTTTCAACATTTCATTCCCAAGAATGACAGACAGAAACCAGGGAGCTCTAAACCACTCTCGACCCCATCAATTATACCTTTTTAATTTTTCTCATATTCATCTGTTCGTCTCCATTTCCACTACTGACTCCTTGGTCTAATATATATCACAATAGGATCACAGGAGTGAGTTCCCCTTACCTTTGCCATATTCTATTGGTTAGAAGTCAGTCATGGGTCCTGCTCACACTGAAGGAGATTATTCAGACAAAACCAGGGAGCCAACCAAGATCATGGCACCATCTTAGAACTTAGCAACTGATTTTATTTTGTTTTTGGGATTACAGAGTAGCTTGTGTTCAAGGGATCTATGCTAAAGTTTTAACAGATCTGAACTCCAACTTCCTCAGAGAGCCCTCATCAATCCAAGAATTGAATCTAATTTTATTCTTCAGGCTTACATAACACCGTGTACTTCTTTATAGCATTTATTACAATTTCAGTTTAAAAAATAGTTAAATGACTAGATGCTTATAGTATTAGATTATTAGATTATTATATACAACAGATTAAGAAAAAAAAAATATATATATATATATCTTCCCCACTTGTCAGTCCTATGGAGAGGCTGTTTTGTTTGGCATAGCACCAGGCCTGAAACATTGTGGAAGCTCAAAACTGTTTTTTAAATAAACAGAAGAGCCATGGAAGCTATATTTTGTTACTCTGTCTACCCTCACCCAGAGATCAGACACATCTCACTTCTGGGCTACTTACTTAATGGATTGCTTCCCACCTCCACTGCCAGAATACTGGCCACAATGGGCCAGTGGAAGTTAGGCAAAAAACAAAAACAAGACGCTAACCTTGACTCCATTATCATGCAAACAGGCAAATCATGGTTTTTCAAGGTCCTAACCACAATAAGCATTCCAAATTGACAATAGATGTTAGAGGGAGTCAGGGATAGAGTTGTAACCTAGAACCACCAATAAAAGTTACAGCGACTTATTTATTTTTACCTTGTTTTCTGGGATTGCAGATTAGCTTATGTTCAAGGGATCTATGCTAAAGCATTGACAGATAAGTTGATATGACTGTGTCTCATATGGGAATTAGGGGCAGATTTATGTTTCAGCAATTTTAGAGAACAAACATTTGCTTGGTTACCTGTGAGGTGCCTGGATGGATTTTCACTTTTTTGAAAATAGTGTGTTCCTTTTGGTAGCCTAATCATGGCCACCATTCCTAATCATGGAATCTTCCTAACCTGCTTCTGAAGGTGGTCACCACCATCGCCTCTAACAGTATGCCTGTGAATTACGGAGCACTTCATTAGTACCAGGCCTGCACCAAACACTATGTATGTTATCTCCCTTACTGATTACAATCCCTGTAAGTATCTAGTGCTTACCCTATCACATTGGTTTTCGAACTTCAATAAGCATCAGAATTACCTGGAGGGCTGCTGAAACACTTCTGGGTCCCACCCCCAGAGTTTCTGATTCAGTAAGTCTGGTGTGGGGCCTGAGAATGTGCATTTAACAATTTCCCAGGTGATAGAGATGCTTCTGTTACTGGCAACCACATGTTAAGAGCTACTACTATATATGGTATATATTATCATTATTTTACTGATTTAAAAAACTGTGGTTAGAGAGATTAAGATCACATGGCCAGCAAGTTATGCAGCCAGAATCAAATCCAGGTTGGCCAACTCGAGATTACTAGGTAATACCACCAGCACAAAAAAAATCTTGTAAGCTCATAAGCAATGGCACAGAAATATGCCCATTGGAATAAATCAATTTTCAGGTAACTCCAAGCATTCTTGATCACTGTGGTTTAAGTAACCATTCATATAGCCACATTTTAAATGATCATTAAGTTTCAGTATATTAAAATCTGGAACAAAGTTGTTCATTAAGATGACAGTTTGAAAATCTTGATCAAGAAAGAGAAATCCAAAAGGAATTTGAACAGGCTGACTCCAGAAGAAAATCTCCTGCTCATTTCTTTAGAAGATGAAAATGTATTGGTGAAGATCAAAGGTCTGAGCAATCCTTTTCTTGCTGAGTGAGAACTATCTGGTGAGCAGAGAGGAAAACCCAGATCTACATCTGGTAACTTGAAGGTTTGAAGTGATAGAAACTGGACGTCGGAGGTAAACTTAAAAGTCTGGCTTAAATATAACTTGGCCTGTTCTATGTTGAGTGACTAGAAAGGGAATCGCTTTCTCATTCCCATCTCCATTGCACTCTTCTGGACTTCATCCCTGATTCTGGCATTATCCCAATGGCTTCTGGCTGGTTTTCCAGCCCCAGGCTTTCCTCACTCATGATGACCAAAAACAGTAGCAATTTTATCCTTTTTCAAACAGTGTTTCTTATGATTCTTCCTAATTTATGAACTTACAGAGGCACATTCAAGACTCATCAAGATAGAGTCCTTTTTCTTTGTCCCTCATCTCACCACCCTCACTTTTCATTATTCCTCAATGAAACTTTTGCTCCTCTCAGTAAGCAAATCTGCTCTTCCAAAGCCTTAAATGTTTTACTTCTGCCTCTTTATTTCCTTTCTGCTCAATTACTATAATTATCTACTTTTTAAAAGTTTGATAATTATAGTTTTTATTTTGAATGGTAGAATATCACAGCTGGTTTTAACCAACCTATGAGTTACATGTATACCACAACCAATTCCAAGTAGAGTTCTGCTCCATAGCTTCTGTTTTTAAGTTTTGTAAGATCATTGTTTTTACCATGACGCTGGGCTCCACCAAAATTTCTAGTTTTATCACAATAAAAATAGCTACTTTCAATATTGAATATTTTAACTGAATTTAAAATAGCATTCACAAAATGTCAGATGTTTCAACTATGCCAGAATAGGCTATATTTTTATTTCATGAATTGTTGAAAAGTAGTATTTTTATAATTAAGCGATTTTCAATTTGAAGCTGAAGCCTGCTATAAAACTTGTATCACTTAACCATTTTATCAGGGAAGGTAGCTCTCTTCAACCAAGCACAGAGCTTTGGGAAGGATGTACATGGGGCAGTGAGGGAGGAAGGGTACACCCGCATAGCTAGCCAGGTTGGCAGCCACATCAACCTTTGTGATCAATATGGTGACAGATGTTGCAGATAGTTAAGTGGTGGATGTGAGGGCGATCTATTTTTTTGTTGTTATACTTTAGGTTCCGGGATACACATGCAGAATGTGCAGGTTACATAGGTATACATGTGCCATGGTGGTTTGCTGTACCCATCAACCTGTCATCTACATTAGGTATTTCTCCTAATGCTATCCCTCCCGCTAGCCCCCACCCCTGACATAACAAGCCCCAGTGTGTGATGCTCCCCACTTCCTCTCTCCATGTGTTCTCATTGTTCAATTCCCACTTATGAGTGAGGACATGTGGTGTTTGGTTTTCTGATCCTGTGTTAGTTTGCTGAGAATAATGGTTTCTAGCTTCATCCATGTCCCTGCAAAGGACATGAACTCATCCTTTTTTATGGCTGCACGGTATTCCATGGTGTATATGTGCCACATTTTCTTTATCCAGTCTATCATTGATGGGCATTTGGGTTGGTTCCAAGTCTTTGCTATTGTGAAAGGTGCTGCAATAAACATACATGTGCATGTGTCTTTATCGTAGAATGATCTATAATCATTTGGGTATATACCCAGTAATGGGATTGCTGGGCCAAATGGTATTTCTGGTTCTAGCTCCTTGAGGAATCACTACACTGTCTTCCACAATGGTTAAACTAATGTACACTCCCACCAACAGTGTAAAAGCTTTCCTGTTTCTCCACATCCTCGCCAGCATCTGTTTCCTGACTTTTTAATGATCACCATTCTAACTGGCATGAGATGGTATTTCATTGTGGTTTTGATTTATATTTCTCTAATGACCAGTGATGATGAGCTTTTTTTCATATGTTTGTTGGCCATACAAATGTCTTCTTTCGAGAAGTGCCTGTTCATATCCTTGACCCACTTTTTGATGGGGTTGTTTTTTCTTGTAAATTTCAGTTCCTTGTAGATTCTGGATATTAGGCCTTTGTCAGATGGATAGACTGGAAAACTTTTCTCCCATTCTGTAGGTTGCCTGTTCACTCTGACGATAGTTTCTTTTGCTGTGCAGAAGCTCTTTCTTTTAATTAGATCCCATTTGTTATTTTTGGCTTTTGTTGCCATTGCTTTTGGTGTTTCAGTTGTGAAGTCTTTGCCCATGCCTATGTCCTGAATGGTATTGCCTAGGTTTTCTTCTAGGGTTTCTATGGTTTTAGGTCTTATGTTTAAGTCTTTAATCCATCTTGAGTTAGTTTTTCTATAAGGTGTAAAGAAGGGGTCCAGTTTCAGTTTTCTGCATATAGATAGCCAGTTTTCCCAACACCATTTATTAAATAGGGAATCTTTTGCCTTTCAAGCCCAATTCAAAACCTCCTTTCCCTAGGCAATCTTTCATTATAGACTTCATCTAAATGTGGTATTGCTCCTTGGCCTTTCTGGGTCAAGTTGGTACTAAATTAGTTTATATATTGAGAAGTTGTTCTGTGTAAGTATTCTTCAGCTGTTCAATTATTTTCTAACTCCTCTCCAAAAGGACTAGAAGCTCTTTGAGAGCAGATATTATCTTTGTTCCTTTTGTTAAGTGCCCAGTGGGACCTCATTTATTCCTTCATTTTTTTTTCTCACTTGCATTCAGCACTTTCCATGTGCCAGGCAGTGAGCTTGCCCTGGTGCTGTAAGTAGAAGTTTGGTTGCTTTCATAAGCCCTGCCCTGCACAGGGGCCTTCTAAATCCAGAGCTTTGTACTTGGACTTTGATAGTTGTGAGTGCCTTCCATTTACTCACTGGAGAAGTCTGAAATACAGGACAGGTAAAAAGACAGGAGGAGCTTGCTGGGAAGTGGAAGTATTTTTGTGGTGGGGGAGCTGGGTTGGAGAGGGACAGCAGGTTAAGGAGAAGCTTGTTGAGAAAGCAGAATTGAACTCTGTAACATTGCCCAGCAGGGATCCTTTTGCCGAATAGTAAATGAAAGAAAGACTTCATTTCCAACAGTTTTGCCTAAGGTAGAGCAGAACTGTTGTATTTTCAATAGGCAGAGGCTATATGAGTAATTGAAATCAAGGAGAGTGGCTTTCTGAATTCACCCAACATGGAAGTTTGATGACTTTGAGTAGCAT
This sequence comes from Homo sapiens, assembly GCF_000001405.40. Taxonomy (NCBI): domain Eukaryota; kingdom Metazoa; phylum Chordata; class Mammalia; order Primates; family Hominidae; genus Homo; species Homo sapiens. Next base: position 36,233,819 of record NC_000014.9, read on the forward strand.
CTTTGTTCCTGAGCCTCTTTCATCTATAAAAAGTAGATGTTAGAATTGGCACATTAATTAACCAGCTGACCTACTCAGAAATTGAAAGTTCTTTGAACAATGATAACATTCCTGTACAGACACTGACACTGTCTATGCATGTCTGTATATAGGACAGTGTCTACATAGAATGGTTATAAAGGCAAACAATTCAAAGCTGAGTTAGAAATTGGTTATATACATGGAGAACTGGTATATGTGTTAAAGCTAAGATATAGAAAATAGGGGTGTAACAGAATTCTACATTTTTGCTCATTCTGAACAATTTTTCCTGCAACCATAATGGTTAACCATCCCAGTATGATGGTACTGGGCGGTTTCAGCTCCTTCATTTATCTGTCCTGCTCTTTGGCTAGAATAGCCAGGTGGCTCTATCCTTCTGAGAGCAGCAAGAAGGATCAGAGTTCCTGTGCTTTCTTCGACGAGTGTGTGTGTGTGTGTGTGTGTGTGTGTGTGTGTATGTGTGTGTGTGTTGCCTCTTGTTCTTAAGAGACAAGGTCTCGTTATGTTATCCAGACTGGACTAGAACTCCTGAGCTTATGCGATGCTCCTGCCTCAGCCTTCTGAATAGCTGGGACTACAGAGGTGTGCCTCCGTGGCCGGCCAACTTGGTTATTTTGTCCTGTATGAGGGGGGCAAACACAAAGCTCATTGGAGGATGTCTTAGGAGTTAGAGTCAAGCAGTCCTCAGCGCTCAAGGGCTAAAAGTCAGCTACCAGAAGATAACTTTATAAGGAGAGAACTAGGGAATCTGTCTGAAATGTTCTCTCAGCATTCATCATTTTCCTTTCTCCACTACCTAGTTGACCTTCTTCCCCTTTGTTTCATTAGTCCGAAACCATTCCAAAACATGCGCTTGTATCTATGCATGTCTCCTCCTCTCATTCCATTTCAGCTAGAAGAGCTTTCTCAACAATACTGCTTCCCTTTCCTAGGACTCTTTGTAGAACTCAACTGACAGGCAGTTCCCCTTCAGTAGTCCTCTCTCCCTCTTCTAAGACTGAGGGAAGAAGACAGAAAATCCAGTGGGAGGGGCCACCCCAGGAAGTAATGGGCTGAGGGATGTGGAGAGCCTGACTTTCCCCCACATAGCCCCAAGCAATGAGGAAGGTAACTACAAGGCCCCCCAAACAACCTACACTGCAAAGTCAAATACAGAGATAGAGAATAAAACAATGGTTACCAGGGGCAGAGTGGTGGGGAAGAAATGGGGAGATATAAGTCAAAGGATCCAAAGTAGCAGATCTAATGTACAACATGAGGACTCTAGCTAGTGGTATTGTATTCAAAATTCCTGCCAAATGAAGATTGTACTTGCTGTTGCCACACAAACAAATAGGTAACTGTGTGAGATGATAGATATGCTGATTTGTTTCACTATAGTAACCATTTTACTATCTATACGTATCTCATAACATTATGTTGTACACCTTAAATCATGTACACTTTTTTTTTTTTTGAGGCAGAGTCTCATTCCATCACCCAGGCTGGAGTGCAGCGGCGTGATCTTGGCAACCTCCACCTCCCAGGCTCAAGAAATCCTCCCACCTCAGCCTCCCAATAGCTGGATCTACAGGCGTACACCACCACAATCAGCTGTATTTTTTGTAGAGACTGGGTTTCGCCATGTTGCCCAGGGTGGTCATGAACTTGTGAGCTCAAGTGATCTGCCCGCCTCAGCCTCCCAAAGTGCTGGGATTACAGGCATGAGCCACCGCCCCTGGCCTAATAAAATTTATTTTTAAAAAAGGACCTATGGCGAATCATTTTTACAAATAAAATCTATAGTCAAGGTGCAGTATGGGAACAGCATTTTACTGAGTAATCTTGCAAAGAATATGTCATTAACCACTACACTAATCTTGTTCTTGATGTACACCAGCAACAAATACAAAGAAAAATTTAGTCTCTTACTTTAACAGGTTCCAAGTATGCCACATCGTATTTTTTGCCAAATAATTTATTAGTAAGAGGAGATGACTCTAGTAAGTTATAGAAGTTATATTGAATTTTTAAAAAAAATTTTTCAAAACTATTCTGTGGGGATTGAGGACAGATGAACTACAAAGGAACATGATGGAACTTTCTGGGGTGAGCATAATGTTCTATATGATGATAGGGGCTTGGGTTACATAAGTGAGCATTTATGAAAACTGTACACTTTTTGTGCATTTCATTGTGTATAAAGTTTACTTCAAAAAAAACATTGAACTCCAATTAATTACATGCATGCTGAACTATTTAGAGTGAAGTATACTGATGCCTGTTGTTTACTTTGAAGTATTTCAAAACAGTAAAATGGATAGAGGAATGTGTAATAAATTGGTACACGATAAGGAAAATATAGTCAATTATGTTAATAGTAAAATCTAGATGGTGAGTAAACTGGTGTCCATTGTAAAATTCTTTAAACTTTGCTCTATGTTTGAAAATTTTAAGAATAAGATGTTAGTAAAAAATAATTGTTGTGCTATTAGAAAATCAAAAAATAACAAATGCTGGTGAGGCTGTGGAGAAAAAGGAACGCTTATACAGTGTTAGTGGGAGTGTAAATCAGTTCAACCATTGTGGAAGACAGTGTGGCGATTCCTCAAAGCCCTAAAGACAGAAATACCATTTGACCCCGCAATTCCATTACTGGGTATATACCCAAAGGATTATAAATCATCCTGTTACAAAGACACATGCACACGTTATGTTCATTGCAATATTATTCATAATAGCAAAGACATGGAATGAACCTGAATGCCTATCAATGGGGGCTGGATAAAGAAAATGTGGTACATATACACCATGGAATACTACGCATTCAAAAAGAAAAAAAATCATGTCCTTTGCAGGAACATGGATGGATTTGGAGGCCACTGTCCTCAGCAAACTACCGCAGGAACAGAAAATCAAACATTGCATGTTCTCACAAGTGGGAGCTGAACAATGAGAACACATGGACACAGGGAGGGGCACTACACACACTGGGGCCTGTGGGGAGGGGGAGTGAGGGGAGGGAGCGCATTAGGACAAACAACTAGTGAGTACCAGGCATAATTATGGATAATAAATTATGAATAATGATAAAATTATAGGTGATAAAAGAATCTGTACAACAAACCCCCATGGCACAATTTTACCTATGTAAGAAACCTGGACATGTACCCCTGAACTTAAAAGTTAAAATAATAGTAATTGTTGGCCAGGCACAGTAGCTCATGCCTGTAATTCCAGCACTTTGGGAGGCCGAGGCGGGTGGATCACGAGGTCAGGAGATCGAGACCATCCTGGCTAACACAGTGAAACCCCGTCCCTACTTAAAAAAAAAAAAAAAAATACAAAAAATCAGCCGGGTGTGGTGGCTGGCACCTGTAGTCCCAGCTACTCGGGAGGCTGAGGCAGGAGAATGGCATGAACCCAAGGGGCGGACTCCGTCTCAAAAAATAATAATAATAATAGTAATTGTTAAAATAATTTTATGTCATTCAGTCAACTAGTATCATTTTGTAATATCTCAACGCTTCTGGCTACTGACCAAAACCAACATTATGCAGCTCATGATAGTTTTTAATGTTTAAGAAGCATCACCTGGCTTTGTGTAGCCTCTGTATAGAGGAATTCTTTATGGAAATGACACCTTTCTTCCATTGTACACACATTGGTAGAGAATGCCAGTTTTGAGGTGGAGGAAAGCAACATTTAACTTCTTCTACGGGACTGACATACATTTTCTAATCACTACCATGTTGCTTTCATCTGTTTAAGGTGTTATTTTCTTCTATGTAATATGAAAAATTATCAAGGAGGTGACATTTGAACTGGGCCTTGAAGGATAAGTAGAAGTTCACCAAGCATCAAAACAAGGAAAGAAAAATGTCCAGTTTCAGTTATCTCTCTCTCATCATACCTAGCAGAGTAAATGCTAGATAAATATTTAGTCCAAGTTGCAAAAGCTGAAAGGTCAAGTTCCTAAACAAACTGTAAAAGAACCAACCTGATTTGAGGTAAACTGTCATTTTACTAGGTGATAACATTTCAGTGAAAGGTATTCTGAGACAGTGAAAAACTTGCAGGTCTTGCCAAGATTTGCAACCCTTCTGGGAGAAAAGAGACCCTGTGCCAGGAAGCCAAATATTGTGGTTTGCTTGATTTTCTTAAAATAAATATTTCTAGACTTAATCCATCCAAATAAATTAAGACAGTATCCCTGGGAGACCTCAAGTGCTACAATTCTTAGCAAACTTTTGGAAGCCCCTTCTTGGAATGGTGTTCAATGCCTACAACACTTCCCTTTGAATATCTTCAGAGTAGATAGATTTGATTTCTGAAACAAGAAATTCATGCAGAGGCCTGCCTTGAGTTGGACTAGTTTTGGAAGAGAGTACAGCTGTAAACTCACCGTGATTTTCTTAATATAAATTTATTCTTAAAACTGTAAGAGAAGAATTTCAAAAATATCTTTAGTATCATGAGAATACATGTATAACCTCCTGAGGTGACTACTTTGAAGGACAAAGCTTACATGAAAATACAGTCACGCCTAGAAGCATAAGCACACCTGCCCACTGGCCAAGTTGGGCTTAGAAGCAGGTAACTCATGCTTACCACCCCCCACTTTGTCTTTTGAAAAGCACTGGCCTCTGAGGCAGTTTGCAATGGGTTCCATGCCCTCCTCGGTGCCCGTTTCTACAAAAGCAGTTCATGAGATGTGGCTATTTCACATAGGACCCTGCAGAAAAGCACAGAGGGGAGGCAAGCTATGCCCTGTGAGGACATTAGAAATGGCCCAGAATCTAGCAAGAGAAAAAGCAACCATTCACTCTGTGGCCCTGGGATTCACCCAGATCCAGCTGCCGCAGAAGAGAGGGGAGGTGCCAGTCCTCAGATGGCAAAAGATAAACGTGGAAAACGGAAACAGCCTGAATCATGCGTGCTAAACCGTATCCTCAAGTAGTGGCAAGACTGTGTTGTGTAGGGAGGTTGGAAAGCAAAACGTGGTGTGGGATGAGTCACGGCCAGCACATTGAAACTATAAGAGGGTGTGAGGGACAGTGTGGGTGGAAGAGGCAGAACTCATGATTTGTGGGTAATAAGTTGGGTAATGAAATAATAGGAGGAACTCATGGGTCTTGAGCCTTTGTGAATTCTCTCCTGCTATCTAAGACACTCCATTGTTATGAAATAACATTTTTCAGGGTCTAATTGCCTTGTGTTTTGGCACTTATGTTTCTTCTGACTTTTGGTTTACCCAGATTCTCCTTCCCGTCTGGCTCCCCAGACAGTGATTTACTTAATGCTTTGCATTTTAAGTGACATCATCTGTTTTCCAGACAAATACCGTGGCAGCCTACACACCTTGAAGCACCACCACCATCTTGTGTTTATCACCATATCCTCTTATAACTAAACATTTACAAAAGACATTCTCATGCCTTTTTTCTGGGGGGTTGGGTTGGCGGGGCGGTGGGGGGGGCGCGGGGAGACAGGGTCAGCATTGAAAGTCATCACATTTCAAACACCAGAATTTGGGCCAGGCACAGTGGCTCACGCCTGTAATCCCACCACTCTGGAAGGCAGAGGTGGGCAGATCACTTGAGGCTAGGATTTTGAAACCAGGCTGCCCAACATGGTAAAACCCCGTCTCTACTAAAGATACAAAAATTAGCCAGCCAGGCGTGGTGGCAGGTGCCTATAATCCCAGCTACTCAGGAGGCTGAGGCAGGATAATCTTTTGAGCCTGGGAGGCAGAGGTTGCCAGTGAGCTGGGTTCATACCACTGCATTCCAGCCTGGGCGACAGAGCAAGACTGCCAAACAAACAAACAAACAAAAACAGAACCAACCAGCCTACCCACCCACCCACCCAGAATTTTAGTGGATGAACTCCAGAATAACTTGTCTATCCCTGTTACCTTGTCCTGGGGAATTCTCTTCCTCATTTGTTCTTCCTCTTTGAGAATATTGTTCCTTGCACACAGGCTGGCCCTCAGTAAGTACTCAAATATGTCATGAATGAATAAATAAAGGAATCATCTGTTGATAACACAAATCTTTTCAAGATGGTTTAACTTCTATGCTTCCTGGAGGCAAGGAGATAGATGACTTTCTAAAATCCCTTTAGTTGCTAGGCCTTGAACATTTAAAGACCAGCATTCGAAGGACTTTCCAAAAAGTGACACTGTATTCCACTGTCAGCATTGTGGGGAGTGAGTTGAGGGAAGAAGATAGTGTGTGGGTGGGCGTGTGTGCTCACGTGTGTGTCCCACCACATATACATACACACATCTCTCCAACCATTCCTCATATCACTAAGATATTTGACATACATTTATAATCAAGATAGACATGGCTTTAGAGCATGCATGTTTCATGAAGAATTGACTGCTTTGTCATAATTGACTGCTTTGTCATAAGCAACTCATGGACAAGCTAAAGTCATGGATTATTTAATGCTGGAAGTAGGGTAATCTCAAGTAGGGACTCAAGTTACAGATAACAAAAGACAGATCTAGAAGAGTGAAATGAGCTCCCAAATCTACACAGAAAGCCAGTGGCAGAAGAGAAACTTGACTCCTGGGTTCCTGTGTCTCAGTCTAGAGATCTTTGAGCAGCTCATCCATTTTAGGGGACTGTCCCAGAGCAGTCTTGGGAAGTTCTCACAAAGAAGCAAAAACATTATGGACTGTTTTCTTTTCACATAAGAGGGCTTAGTGACTGACAGGGTTGGGGAAAAAATAAAAAGATAAAAAGTTAATTATAAAAAATGTTCTTGGCCAGGCACGGTAACTCATACCTGTAATCCCAGCACTTTGGGAGGCCGAGGCAGGTGGATCATGAGGTCAGGAGTTCAAAGCCAGCCTGGCCAAAGAGACCAGCCTGGCCAACATGGTGAAAACCATCTCTACAAAAAATATAAAAATTAGCCAGGCGTGGTGGCAGGCACCTGTAATCCCAGCTACTCAGGACGCCAAGGCAGGAGAATTGCTTGAACCCGGGAGGCAGAGGTTGCAGTGAACCGAGATCATGCCATTGCACTCCAGCCTGGATGACAGAGCGAGACTCGGACTCAAAACAAATAAAAAAAAAAAGAAAAGAAAAAAGATCTTGAATTATAAGCCAAGGACATGGACACTGAGCAATATCTATTAACAGAGTTTGGTGGCATTTTTTGCTTTTTAGATTATTTAGTATGCTTTGAGATTAATTACAGCCTCCCTTATAACATTAAGCTCCCTTGGGAAAGGTCCTACTTTAAATCCACCTCAGTCATTAGCTTACACAAGGAACAAAGACATGGATTTAACATACATATGGAGATTTGACTAACCTGACAAGGAAAATAATTTTTAAAAGAATCTATTAACATAAAGCAAAAAAAAGCAATTTTTTCACTACTATGGATTCCCAAAAGTAACTTATTTTTAAAAACCTGCTATTTTTATATGCAATTACTTTTTAAAAAATTCTTCCATAGGTAGACAATGTTGTTTTCATCTCCATTGGTATGATATTATAGCTGACCAGTTGGTGGAGCAATTACATTTCCATAACTCTTAATGGCTATTTTGCTTAGGTACTAGTAACTTAATTAGAATCAAGAAAGAGACTATTAATATTCTAAGAAATAACCAAATGGATCACAAACTTTCAGAAGGAATGACAGAGACAAAAATCACTTCAACAACATCCAGCTCATTGACGACAACGCGTAATTAAATTAAAGTGATAATTCCACTTACAGTAGCAGGAGTGCTCCCTCTTAACTCACCTTGAAGAGGTAAAGCCCCATCCCAGCAAAGCCACACTCAAGCAGGTATGGGTAAGAAATGGGAGAAGGTCAGCTCTAGGGCTCTAACTCCAGAGGCATGGGGCTAATTATAGTTTTTAATGGCAAACCTGATACCCTTTTATAAAACCATACAGTACAGGCTACAATGTAATTATTAGCCTCTTTGGCTTACACACTTTTCCTAGAGAGACAGCCTGGGGAAAACAGTTTGCTCAATACCAGATTTCTTTAAAAAGAATGGTTGAAGGAGTGTTTGCCAATCCATCTTTAAGTCCCCCAAAATTGTCGTGGCTACTTACGTGTATTTAGAAAATGTAACCTTCGGCTGGGCATGGTGGCTCACGGCTGTAATCCCAACACTTTGGGAGGCCGAAGCGGGTGGATTGCCTGAGCTCAGGAGTTCAAAACCAGCTTGGGCAACATGGCGAAACTCCATCTCTACTAAAAATACAAAAAATTAGCCGGGCGTGGTGGCAGGTGCCTGTAATCCCAGCTACTCGGGAAGTTGAGGCAGGAGAATTGCTTGAACCCGGGAGGCGGAGGTTGCAGTGAGCCAAGATCACACCACTGCACTCCAGCCTGGGCGACAGAGCGAGACTCGGTCTCAAAAAAAAAAAAGAAAGATAACCTTCATCCATGATATTTTAAATGAAAAAATACAAGAATCAGTATAGATTATGTGGAAAAAATTATCTGAGATCTGAGTAGACCGAAAAACATAAAGAATCAGAATACTAAACAGTGGTCTCACTTGAATAGGAGTAATTTTTTTCTTATATTTTCTTTGATTTTCAAAATTTCCTAAAATAAGAGTTTCTTGCTTAAAAAAACTATTTTAAGGTGTTGTTTAAAGTAGAAATTTATTCTGAAAAACTTAAAGGAATGAATATGTGCATATGTATACATAAATATATGCAAACTAGTTCTATTGTTATGAATATAAGGCCATAAAGAATTCAATAGTGCTTTTACATGAATTTATATTTTGTTAATTGTAACAACCAGTGAATAGGTTTATACAGCCAGTGCATGAGAGAGGTGGGTGACAGTGCCTTGAAGTAATCTAGGTCCTGCAAATCTCAGCCAAGCACCCCAAGTTCTAGCTGTGGCTCCTCTCTTACCGTGTGTACTAAATAGCACTATCTTAAGGCTATCTAATTACATCTTTATCACAGACACTGATCAGTATAGAGGCTGGGCACCTGCTCTTAGCTGAAATCAAGGACTAACCTGTGCATGTGGATCAAGTTGTATTGCCTGGCCAGCTGAAGAGAAGAGGACTGATGAAGGTAAAGGGAGGGTGAGAGATTTCATTATTCTATAATCCAAGTTTCCTGAAGACATGTGTTTTCATAACTAGTTTTAAAACAAATATTAAGTATCCATTCTCTACCAAGCACTGTTCTAGACAATGAAGTTAAAGCAGTAAGCAAAATAGAGATTGCTGCTTTCTGGGAACTTATATTTTATATTGGTGAGACTAATAAACATCAAAACTGTACTATTTTAAATGATGGTAATAAGAAAATATAGTAGAGAAGAAAGGCAAAGAATGCCTGGAAAGGAGAGGGGGAGGTCACTTTCTGAAAAGGTTGCCAGGGAAAGCCTCCTTGATAAGGTGATACTAAAGTCAGAGTTGAAATAACCATGAAGATATCCTGGGCAAGAGTTCCAGGGAGAGGGAACAGCAAGCTCAAATATGTAAAACTGAAGCATGCCTGGTATGTCCCCAAAGCAGCAAGGAGGCAGGTGTGGCTGGAATAGAGTGTGTTTGTGTTGGGGGTGAATTTGAAAAATGAGGTTACCATAATGGGTACTAGACCATGCAGACTCTAGGCCATTCAGAGAACTTTGGCTTTTACTCCGAGAGGGATGGGAAAGTTTGGGGCACAGGAGTGTCTTGATGTGATTTTTAAAGCCTTGCTCTGGCTGTTATATTGAGGAATAGACTTTGGAGGGAGAAAACAGGGGCAGAGGAAGGGAGGTTAGTTAGGACTATTGTAATAGCCCAGGAAAGTGACTGTGAAAGTGGTAAGAAGTGAGAGTATTCTGGATAAATTTTTAAGGTAAAGCTAATGTCATTTGCTAACAGATTGAACATGGTACAAAAGAAAAAGAGGAGTCAAGGACGACCTCAAAATTTTGTCTGAGTAACCAGAGAATAGAATTGATATTCATTGAAGTGGGGAAGACTGTGGGAGAAACAAGTATGGTAAAGGTGAGGGAGAAATTAAGAGTTAGGTTTTAGACATACATATTAAGTGTGAGTTTCTTCTTAGACACCCTGGTGGACATGTCAGGTAGGCAGCTGGATTTATAAGTGTCAAATTGAAGGGAGAATGTAGATTTATTTGAAGCCATAAGATTGGATATCACTAAGAAAGCGAGTGTGGTTAGACAAGAAGTCCAATGACTAGGCCCCTAGAGGTTGAAGAGATGAAAAATAATCACCAAAAAAGATGAGTTCATGTCCTTTGCGGTGACATGGATAAAGTTGGAAACCATCATTCTCAGCAAACTAACAGAAGAACAAAACTAAACACTGCATGTTCTCATTCATAAGTGGGAGTTGAACAATAAGAACACATGGACACAGGGAAGGGAACATCACACACTGGGGCCTGTTGGAGGATGGGGGGTTAGGGGAGGGATAGCATTAGGAGAAATACCTAATGTAGATGATGGGTTGATGGATGCAGCAAACCAGCATGGCACGTGTATACCTATGTAACAAACCTGCATGTTCTGCACATGTATCCCAGAACTTAAAGTATAATAATAAAAAAAAGAAAAATAATCACCAAAAGAGACAGAGAGGTAGAAGGTAAAAGAACAAAAAAAAAAAAAAAAGGAGAAAATTAATAAAGTGTTTCCAGAAGGAAAAACTGAAATGTTACTAGTAGGTCAAGTAAGATGAGAACTGGATTTATCAGTGTGGAAATCACTGGTGATTTGGCAAATGCAGTTTTGGTGGCTTGGTGGCATGCTGAGAACAAAAGCCTGATTGGAGTGGGTTCAGGAATAAATGAGAACGACATCAGTGGGAATGGTAAGGACCTTCAAAAAACTGCTCCTCCACAGAAGCAATGAGAATGTTGGCAAAATTGTCAAAATTAACTTCTTCAGGGCTCTAGAAATTAACCAGAGGCTTGGAACAATTTGAAGAACATTCATTCAAGAAGAGAGCCTGAATCTAAGAACAGTGACCTTTGTGGTGTTTTACGTGCCCTATTTCTGTCTTCTTCTCCGCAGCTCCACGGTAGCCTTGAAAACCAACAGCCATAAAAAAGGATGAGTTCATGTCCTTTGTAGGGACATGGATGAAGCTGGAAACTATCATTCTCAGCAAACTATCGCAAGGACAGAAAACCAAACACCGCATGTTCTCACTCATAGGTGGGAATTGAACAACGAGAACACCTGGACACAGGGTGTGGAACATCACACACGGGGGCCTGTCATGGGGTGGGGGGAGGGGGGAGGCATAGCATTAGGAGAAATACCTAATGTAAATGATGAGTTAATGGGTGCAACACACCAACATGGCACAGGTATACATATGTAACAAACCTGCATGTTGTGCACATGTACCCTAGAATTTAAAGTATAATAATAATAATAATAATAAAAAGAAAACCAACAGCCATACAATCACGGTAAGAACAGCAGTCTAGCAGCCACTGGAGGGGAGAGAATGGGATCAGAGCTTCACTCCCAGATAATAGGAAGCTGTCATTGTTTGACCTGTCTGGTAGTTCCCTGGAAATTCTCACTCACAGGGCTTGCCTTTATTTGATCTAACTGGAATCTTGTTTAGTGCTTTAGTGCAAACAGTTGTTTCCCCAGGAGGGTTTGTGAAACAATCACTGGCAATTGTTCAACATTGCAACTTCTTGAGGTGGTGAAGAAAGCTGGGGGTGAACAAGAAGTTGATCAGAAAACTAAGAAGGGGAAAGCCGGGGAATGAGATGTTCATGGAGTTATTCGAAGAGCTCCGACATGTAATTGGCCCTTTGTTTCCACAGGTTTCACATCTGTAGAATCAACCAAGCAAGGAGCAAAAATATTTGAAAAAAATAATTGAATAACAAAAATAGAAATAAGCAAATGCTGAGAAATTTTGTCACCACCAGGCCTGCCTTACAAGAGCTCCTGAAGGAAGCACTAAATATGGAAAGGAACAACCGGTACCAGCCACTGCACAAACATACCAAATTGTAAAGACCATCAACACTATGAAGAAACTGCATCAACTAATGGGCAAAATAACCAGCTAGCATCATGACAGGATCAAATTCACACATAACAATATTAACCTTAAATGTAAATGGGCTAAATGCCCCAATTAAAAGAAACACACTGGCAAATTGGATAAAGAGCCAAGACATCAGTATGCTGTATTAGGAGACACATCTCATGTGCAGAGACACACATGGGCTCAAAATAAAGGGATGGAGGAATATTTACCAAGCAAATGGAAAGAAAAAAAAAAAAGCAGGGGTTGCAATCCTACTGATAAAACAGACTTTAAACCAACAAAGATCAAAAAAGAGAAAGAAGGACATTCCATAATGGTAAAGGGATCAATGCAACAAGAGCTAACTATCCTAAATATATATGCACCCAATACAGGAGAACCCAGATTCATAAAGCAAGTTCTTGGAGACCTACAAAGAGACTTGGACTCCCACACAATAATAGTGAGAGACTAACACCCCACTGTCAATATTAGATCAATGAGACAGAAAATTAACAAGGATATCCAGGACTTGAACTCAACTCTGGACCAAGCAGACCTAATAGACATCTACAGAACTCTCCACCCCAAATCAACAGAATATACATTCTTCTCAGCACCGCATCACACTTATTCTAAAACTGACCACATAATTGGAAGTGAAACACTCCTCAGCAAATACAAAAGAATGGAAATCATAACAAACAGTTTCTCAGACCACAGTGCAATCAAATTAGAACTCAGGATTAAGAAACTCACTCAAAACCACACAACTACATGGAAACTGAACAACCTGCTCCTGAACAACTACTGGGTAAATAACGAAATTAAGGCAGAAATAAATAAGTTCTTTGAAACCAATGAGAACAAAGACACAACTTACCAGAATCTGGGACACAGCTAAAGCAGTGTTTAGGGGAAAATTTATAGAACTAAATGCCCACAAGAGAAAGCAGGAAAAATCTAAAATCAACACCCTAACACCACAATTAAAAGAACTAGAGAAGCAAGAGCAAACAAATTCAAAGGCTAGCAGAAGACAAGAAATAACTAAGATCAGAGCAGGACTGAAGGAGATAGAGACACAAAAAACTCTTCAAAAAATTAATGAATCCAGGAGCTGGTTTTTTTGAAAAGATTAACAAAATGGGTAGACCACTAGAGTCAGACTAATATGAGAGAAGAATCAAATAGACAAAAAATGATAAAATGGGATATCGCCACTTATCCCACAGAAATACAAATTACCATCAGAGAATACCATAAACATCTCTACACAAATAAACTAGAAAATCTAGAAGAAATGGATAAACTCCTAAACAAATACACCCTTCCAAGACTAAACCAGGAAGAAGTTGAATCCCTGAATAGACCAATAACAAGGTCTGAAATTGAGGCAGTAATTAATAGCCTACCAACCCAAAAAAAGCCCAGGACCAAACTGATTCACAGCTGATTTCTACCAGAGGTAGAAAGAGGAGCTGGTACCATTCCTTCTGAAACTATTCCAAACAATAGAAAAAGAGGGAATCCTCCCTAACTCATTTTATGAGGCCAACATCATCCTGATACCAAAACCTGGCAGAGACACCCACCCCACCCCACCCCCAAAAAAAAGGAAATTTCAGGCCAATATCCCTGATGAACATCAATGTGAAAATCCTCAATAAAATACTGGCAAACTGAATCCAGCAGTACACCAAAAAGCTTATCCACCATGATCAAGTTGGCTTCATCCCGAGGATGCAAGGTTGGTTCAACATATGCAAATCAAACATAATCCATCACATAAACAGTACCAACGACAAAAACCACATGATTATCTCATTAGATGCAGAAAAAGCCTTCAATAAAATTCAACACCCCTTCATGCTAAAAACTCTCAGTAAACTAGGTTTTGATGGAACATCTCAAAATAAGAGCTATTTATGACAAACCCACAGCCAATATCATACTGAATGGGCAAAAACTGGAAGCATTCCCTTTGAAACCTGGCACAAGACAAGGATGCCCTCTCTCACCACTCCTATTCAACATAGTATTGGAAATTCTGGCCAGGGCACTCAGGCAAGAGAGAGAAATAAAGGTATTCAAATAGGAAGAGAGGAAGTCAAATTGTCTGTTTGCAAATGACATGATTGTATATCTAGAAAACCCCATCGTCTCAGCCCCAAATCTCCCTAAGCTGATAAGCAACTTCAGCAAAGTCTCAGGATACAAAAATCAACATGCAAAAACCACAAGCATTCCTATACACCAGTAATAGACAAAAAACAGAGCCAAATCATGAGTGAACTCCCATTCACAATTGCTACAAAGAGAATAAAATACCTAGGAATCCAATTTACAAGGGATGCGAAGGACCTTTTCAAGGAGAGCTACAAACCACTGCTCAAGGAAATAAAAGAGGAAACAAATGGAAGAACATTCCATGTTCATGGATAGGAAGAATCAATATCATGAAAATGGCCATACTGCTCAAAGTAATTTATAGATTCACTGCTATCCCCATCAAGCTGCCATTGACTCTCTTCACAGAATTTGAAAAAACTACTTTAAATTCCATATGGAACCCAAATAGAGTCCATATAGCCAAGACAATCCTAAGCAAAAAGAACAAAGCTGGAGACATCATGCTACCTGACTTCAACCTATACTACAAGGCTACAGTAACCAAAACAGCATGGTACTGGTACCAAAACAGATACATAGACCAATGGAACGCAGCAGAGGCCTCAGAAATAGCATCACACATCTACAACCATCTGATCTTTGACAAACCTGACAAAAACAAGCAATGGGGAAAGGATTCCCTATTTAATAAATGGTGTTGGGAAAACTGGCTAGCCATATGCAGAAAACTGAAACTGAACCCCTTCCTTACACCTTATACAAATATTAACTCAAGATGGATTAAAGGCTTAAACCTAAGACCTAAAACCATAAAAACCCTAGAAGAAAACCTAGGCAATACCATTCAGGACATAGGCATGGGCAAGGACTTCATGACTGAAACACCAAAAGCAATGGCAACAAAAGCCAAAATTGACAAATGGGATCTAATTAAACTAAAGAGTTTCTGCACAGCAAGAGAAACTATCAGAGTGAACAGGCAACCTACAGAATGGGAGAAAAGTTTTTCAATCTATCCATCTGACAAAGGGCTAATATCCAGAATCTACAAGGATCTTAAATTTACAAGAAAAACAGACAACCCCATCAAAAAGTGGACCAAAAAATGTGTACACTTCTCAAAAGGAAACATTTATGCAGCCAACAAACATATGAAAAAAAGCTTATCACTGCTCATTAGAGAAATGCAAATCAAAACCACAATGAGATACAATTTCACACCAGTTAGAACAGTGATCATTAAAAAGTCAGGAAAGAGATGCTGGAGAGAATGTGGAGAAATAGGAAAGCTTTTACACTGTTGGTGGGAGTGTAAACTAGTTCAACCATTGTGGAAGACAGTGTGGCAATTCCTCAAGGATCTAGAACCAGAAATACCATTTGACCAGCAATCCCATTACTGGGTATATACCCAAAGGATTATAAATCATTCTACTATAAAGACACATGCACATGTATGTTTATTGCAGCACTGTTCACAATAGCAAAGGCACTTGGAACCAACCCAAATGCCCATCAGTGATAGACTGGATAAAGAAGATGTAGCAACATATACACAATGGAATACTATGCAGCCATAAAAAAGGATGAGTTCATGTCCTTTGCAGGGACATGGATGAAGCTGGAAACCATCATTCTCAGCAAACACAGGAACAGAAAACCAAACACTACATGTTCTCACTCATAAGCGGGAGTTGCACAATGAACACATGGACACAGGGAGAGGAACATCACACACTGGGGCCTGTCAGGAGGTGGGGGTCTAGGGGAGGGATAGCATTAGGAGAAATACCTAATGTAGATGATGGGTTGATGGGTGCAGCAAACCACCATGGCACATGTAACAAACCTGCATGTTCTGCACATGTATCCCAGAACTTAAAGTATACAAAAAAATACAAATAAGCAATATGAAACTAATTACATAGCACTTACATTGTATTCGGTATTATAAGTAATATAGAGATGATTTAATGCATGCAGAAAGAGGTGTATCAGTTATCTGCAAATATGACACCATGACATATAACGGACTTGAGCATCCATGGATTTTTTTTTTTTTTAATTCATGGTAGGCCTGGAACCAATCCCCATGGATGCTGAGGGATGACTGTATACCTGGAAGTCTAGAAGCCCACACACATGTTCAGGGCTGTGCACATACCCAGGAAAGATCTGAGAAAGCCCCAAGTTCTTACCTCTGACTGATCTTGAGGCTCTATACATACAAGCAGGAAGTGAAGGCTAAGGCTGAGTTGTAAACTGCCTACCTGAGCATTAAAGGCAGGTCCCAACATGCACAGAGTCCCTCAGCAAAGGCTGGGGGACTTATTGGTTCCAGACATTTAAGGACCTATCTGTCCAAATATTAGCTGACCACTAAGACAGTTGAATAGAGATTTCAGTGGCCACACATGACAAAGGATACAGACTTTACAAAATTACTTCAGGAAGGTCACTAAAAATTGTTACATAATGAGCCAAACATGGCCTTTGTGTATTGGGTCCCAGATTATTTCTTCACTGCACACTGAGATTCATTAGCACCAAATTCAAATTTTTATATATCCAACTATTAAAATAGCCCAAGCTAGCAAATTTTTAACCTCTTAAAGCCTGCCTGCTTTGCATACTCTGCAAAACCTCACCTGATAGTCACTGCCCATTGATAAGGTACAGCCCTGTGGTTATAAGACCCAAGCTACCATGGTTCTTTGCAGCCCTCTGACCCACAGATCGCTTGCTGTGCTGCTGGGTGACAGCACCTAGACCTACCATCCTTTTTGAAATGTTTACTTGGAAGTGTACTCCAACTAACAAAATGTGAATCGAAAGTAGTAGAAATTGTGGCATAAGAGGACTAACAAACATCTGAACTATTTAAACAAAGTCTAAGTGATCGATGGAAATGTGATCGTCTGAAATAAAATATGTAGAACATTTAAAAAGAAATATTTCAAAAATATTTTTAAACATAAATCTGGGCCTAAAGCCATGGAAAATATTAATGGCTAAAGCATAGATTGTGCTGCCTGCAAGTCAGATATCAAGTCCTAATAATACACTGCTTAACAGACATGTATGTAAAACAATAGGTGACTCATAGGATAGATTCACATGTAAATATTAAAACAAAACTCCTGACTAAAATATCAGCAAATCAAAGCCAGCAGTATACTTAAGAGCTGTTTAACCGGGTACAGTTTATTTTGAGAATACAAGAATGGTCTAACAATAAGAAATCTGTCAATGTCATTTGTCACATGAGCAGATTAAAGGAGGAAAACAATATGATTTTGTCTGTCTTGAGACAGGGTTTTACTCTGCTACCCAGACTATAGTGCGGTGACATGATCACTTCTCAGTGAAGCCTCGCCTTCCCGGGCTCAGGTGGTCCTACCTGAGACTCCTGAGTAGCTGAGACTACAGGCGCCCACCACCATACTCGGCTAATTTTTTCTGTAGAGACAGGGTTTTGCCATATTGGCCAGGCTGGAATATGGTTATATCAAAAGGAATCTGATGAAATTTACTATCCATTCACAAAAGGAACTATTAGAAGTCCCAGAATTTAAAATTTTATAACAATAAAGAACATCCCCCTCAAACTAAATCATAAAAATTCTAGAGGTATTTTTATTAAAGATATGGTTTAGAAAAGAATGTCTAATATTAACACTATGATCATTTTTGGTTTTAAATATGCCCACAAATTCTTCTGAGGTTTACTTGGAAGCAGATTCTCCAGCCAAGCCTTCAAATTACTTTCAGCCTCAACCCAACAACTTGTTGACTGCAACCTCATGAGATGAGAACTACCTGCTCCTGAGTTTCTGAGGTTCAGAAAGTGAGAGATAATAAATTTTTGTTGTTCTAAGTTGTTACATTTTTGGAATAATTTGTTATACAGTGATATTGAATGAGTATCCCTTTGTTCAAAAGGTACTAGTAAATATCAATTAGATGATTCTTAAAATGAATTATCACTATGGAAATGGAAGAATGGAAGAGACGAAGATTATATGGGTGGATTACTGAATTAAAAATTTTTTTTTGAGACAGGGTCTTGCGCTGTTGCCCAGGCTAGAGTGCAGTGGCACAAAGACAGCTCACTAAAGCCTTGACCTCTTGGACTCAAGTAATCCTCTAGCTTCAGCCTCCCCCGTAGCTGGGACCACAGGTGCATGCCACAATGTCTGGCTAATTTCTTAAGACAAATTTTTTGTTAGAGATGGGATTTCACCATTGCTTGGCAGGGCTCAAGCAATCCTCCTGCCTTGGCCTGCCAAAGTACTGGGATTATAGGCATGAGCCATGTGCCCAGCCTTAAAGTTTAAGAAGTCAAAATCTATAAGAGATAAGTAAATATTTCATTGGTCTTAGAACTGGTAAGAAATATTGAAATATAAAAGCAATGGAAAGAATAATCAAAGATGTCTAATATTTATTAAGCACATACTATATACTAACTAGAGTAGGTATGTGGCAAAATACCACTAGGTATTCACCAGAATGGGTGTAATTAGACTATAACGCTTAATGTTGGCAAAGATGTGGGACAATTGAGACTCATACATTGCTGCTAGAAGTGTAAAATGGTACAGCCAGTTTGGACAAAGTTTGTCAGTTCCTTAAACAATAAACACATACCCACCTTAGATCCAGTAATTTCACTTTGAGGTGTTCACCTAGGAAAAATAAAAACTTATATTCTCAAAATGACTTGTATAAGAATATTCATAGCAGCTTTATTCATAATAGTCAAAAATGGGACTCAGACCAAGGTTTCCATCAATAGGAAAATAGTTAGGTTGATATAGTCATAAAATGGAATAGTAACTAGCAGTAAGAAGGAACAAGCAATCGATACAGCCAAATGGATAAATCTCAAAAACATTATGCAGGAAGAAATAAGACACAGGAGTACCAACTGTATGATCCCAACGATGTGAGGTTAGAGATGAGGCAAAACTAATCTATGGGTGGAAGGGGAAGAGGGGAGCCGGGATTAATTGGAAAGTAACATAAGGAGCTTTCTGGGCGTGATGGTAATGTTCTATATCTTGACAGGGGTTTGGGTTAGAGGTGTCAAATTTGTTAGAGCTCAGTGCATGCACTTAGGATTTGTGCATTTCATTGCATGTAAATTTTATCTTAATAGAAAGTATCAATATTGAGCTGTAGTTAAAAATATGAATACTGAAGTGTTTAGGAGGATGCGTAGTGATGTCTTCACTGTCTGGAGGGATGAATAGATATATGATGAAGCAAACATAGTGAAGCAATGACAGAATTTAGGTGATGTGCAAAAATTAGCTTCGCTGTAGGTTTCAACATTTTTTTAAGTTTGTTGGAAAAAACACGTTTTCAAAGAAATTCAGATACATTGTCAAATTAAAAAGCAGGATAGAATGCTGCATGTGTAAGGTGATATAGTTTAGAGAGAGTGAAAAAACACTAAAAGAGAAAAGCCAATGGTTATCTTGGGGTGTTGTGGTAATGTGTGATTTTAAATTCTTTTTATTTTCTACACTTTCTACAATAAATATAAAAGACTTATCAGAAAAAAAAACTTATCCCATAAGACTTTTAAAATAGTTTCAAGGAGGCAGATTTTAACTTGGAGCATAGAGAAACACTTTCCAATGTCTGGAACTACACGCAGCTGGAATATATCTCTAAGATGGTAGAAGGTTTTCCGTCTTCCAAGGACCCTGACCCAGGCTGTAAGACCACAAGTAGGAATATCTGAGAGCAGGTTTAATCAAGCCATGAGGGGTTTTAGGGTATCCTCAAATTCTGAGATTTGACATGTGAAACAGAAAGTGAAGAAATGAAAAGGCCTCTTGAGTTTTCCTAATCTGTTCCAAATTCAGTACTACTTTGAAAATAAAAACACTTGGTACTAAAACCAAATTCCTGGTCAAAAACAAACTAAATTTTTTTTTTTTTAAAGCAAAAGCACTGATCTGAGATTTCCCCCAGACAGCATACACACAACCTGGTTCGATGTGTAACAGAAAAGTCCTCCTTAACACCCAGAGTTGTTTTAACATCTCAGCTGTGCTGTAGGTATGGTGGAATAGTAGTGCCACCTCATATTTGCAAAGCGTTTTAGAGGAAGCAGAGCACTTCGACATGTATTATCTAATTCTATGCCGACCCCGAGACACGCTCTGTAGAGGGAGACAGGATTTCCCAGATACTGCAAAGCTGAAGGCAGTGAGCTTGTTCAGGGGCGCCTGGGCACTGACTCTTCCCCCATGTGTGAGGGGTCCTGGTTGGTGCTGCATTTGCCTCAAGAACTAAGAGCTTGAGATTTGTAATCATTTCTTTAAAGAAACATGCAGAGTTAGTTCAAGTACATTTTTCTGGCTTTAGTTTCTTTCTCAACCCCTTCAGTGCCCCATCTGGAAGGAATGTTAATGTCAGTGAAATGCCCCATGATGAGCCAAGTGTTCAGGGAAAAGCTGAGCCATGGTGGGCTGCACTGGGAGAGGTTCTGTCATCCGTGACCACATTATAGTGGCTGTGTGCATTTGAGTGTAGGAGCTTTCCCTGTCGATTAGGAATTTATCTCCAGTGATGCACATGGATGCTATTGTCTCTATTTTTCTGTTTTTATTTATTTATTGTAGATGAGGAAACCGAAGTTCAGAGATGAGGTAGAAGGCCCAGGCCTAGAATGTGTGACCACCAGTGGTTTTGGTGGAGCAGAAATGAAAGCAAAATTTGAGAGTATTCTTCAAATGAGTTCCCAGTGAAATCTATAAAATCTTTAAGTTTGCTAGTTGATATAAAAAAGAAATTAAGAAATACAAATTGGCACTTCAAATTTAAAGTTTTAAACTATTCTGAATGCTGTAAAGTGTCCCAGGCATTCTGAAAATATTTCCTATGAGGGCAAGACCACATGCATCCAAGTTGAAGCATTAGATGTTCTCTTCCTCACCAATGACAGTGGAGAGCTTGAAGAGCTACCTCTGGCTTTGGCACTTTTGATTGATGCTTCGTGCAGGCTGAATTTTTTTTTCTTTTGTGTCTGAGACATTCTGGTTACCTGTCCTGTTCCTAATGAGGGCAAAGGGGAAAATGCATCTAACATAGGCCAACCAAGAGAGTTTAGAGTGATGGTACAAATCCATGACCACTAATCAAACAATGATACAATAAATCACATCAGTTTTGAAAAGCTCCTAATGAAAAACCTGAATGAGATGGAGGCAACAATATATTTCAGTAATCCAAGTCTTTACTTTGAAAAAAGATACTACTCCAAAGCTTGGAGAATCTTCAACAAAATCATTCAAAGCCAGGACCAGCATAGATGACATTTTTCATTGCATGCCTTCAAAGTTTCAAAAACACAATCCAATATATACATTTCTGTGTTTGGCTAGGTTCTATAAGGTAGAGTAAATCCTGTCTTGGCTGAGCCAAGTTCCCCTCATGTTCCAGCCCTGGATCTAAGAGGCCACGTCCACTGCTGGTTCCACAGTCAACAGCAATTCAAACCGTAGCTGCTTCTCCAACTTTTCAGGGTGCTACAGCCTTAACTAAGGACTGCCAGGATAAAAAAAAAAAAAAACACAACCCAGAGGAGCAGTGTCATCCCCACTTTTCCAAATATTGAAGCCCAGCACTATCACCCAAAAATCTGCCAAAAATCTGCCTTTCCAGGTTGTCTCCAAAACTCTATATGGAGCCTTTGGCTGACTTCAGCTCAAGCCTGGCTGCTGAGTGGGGAGTTGACTGGGAAGGGGACACCCTACTCCAGAATGTCAGGGCCTTCAGAAGCTTCCCTGCCCTTTTGCATTCACTTGCCCTAAATACTTCAACTCCAGGTTGCCTGAAATTGTTCAATTAGAGGTTTATTTCTTGAGCTAGGCTTCTGTTAAATATAATACCACTGGGGGAGTTAATAGCAACTTTCAACTCAGTGTGAAGATGTTTATCAGATTCCTTTATGAAGAAGGTTGTGACTGAGCAAAAGAACACTTGTTGCCCCTCCAGGAAAGCAGGAAAGCAGAGAGGAGGAGAAAAGATTTCCTGAAGGGGAGGCTGGGAATATGGACACTTTCAGATTACACCATTTTTTTCTGGCTGGCCTTGGTCTTAAGCGTTAAAGTGCCCTTCATCCTCATCGTGAAATCTCACCTACTTACCTGATAAACTATTCTAATCAAAAGCCACATCAAATTTGTATGTGCCCAATTTTTCTCTATCTTGACCAAATACAGGAAATGAATTACTTCGCAGAGCACAGGGAGACCAGCCAAAGCAATTTGCTAGTTGTGCAATTCTGTCCCAGCTCTCGGCTGTATGTATTCAGCAAGGAGTTCAAGAGAAACCTCATTCTTGTTCTCCCTCTCAAACGCACACACCCGGATTTTTTTTTTTTTGGGGGGGTAGACTTGTGGGCTTTAATTTTGCAATCTCCTCTTTTTGGGAACAAGCAGAAAATAGTAACACTCCATTTGTTTTGTGCTTTTTCTTAGTGTTTTGTCCTCATATTAAGAAACAATGGAGCAGACTTAACTACAAAAATATAGAGAATCTCTCCTTTCCTTGTGTACACACACAGGCTTATAAAAACCATGTGACCATGAATCGGTGGCCCATATAACCCTATTTTTAGCACAGGATAAAAAAACCTAAAGGGCCAGGGGCAAGACCTAATTTTCCTCAATCACTCAGCTAAGCTATTGATTGGCACAACTTGGAACTAGACTTTTTCTCTTTTATTCTTGTTTACGGAGTTATACTAACTGGAAACTCACTATATTTTCTATTTCTGCAGTTGTTTTAAAAGCAACCAAAGTAGGCAGGTATATTACCTTTGCTAAGAGATGGTATGATGTTCTAACTATACTTATCACTGAGTTCAAGTACAGGATCTTTATCAAGTCCCTGTGCCGTTTTTAAACTTAACTTCAAAAGCATATGAGGTAGACATGATAGTAAACTGTAAATGGAATTTAAAGGCAAATTCAATTTTCTTCTTAGAGCTGTCATGAACTTCAATTCTGCTGGCCATATTTCATTTGTCACAGGATCTAAAATGAGTACATATTGTGTGCAATTGTGTAATGTAGTTGTCCTAAACTTTAATACATTTACTTTTGAGTGCCATTTACAGATTGTTTCTCTAACACTCACAACCTGAGTTATTAAAGTTTAAAAGTGTACAAGGCTCTTACGAAGACCCTGTTTATAACTCAAGTACAGAGCACAGGAATTCTTGCTAAATTACCTCCTTTTGCTGCCAGCCTGGTCTCCTTCATTTCAGACAGGCTACAAATCAAAAGAATTGTATGTTCCTTTTCAATGAAAAGGAGAAATTCTTAAACTCTAGTATTTAGTGAATAACTGGTGCTAAAAGGCATGGCTACATTTTTTAAGTGGATCCCTGCTTAGAACACATATGCAATGTTAAGATCTAATTGGAGTGACAAAAGGCACTGAAGAAGAGAAAGAACAGTAAGTTAGATAATTAGAAGGCTGACCATCCTGAATATATATGCCACTTGGCAGTGACCAATTTAGATTCTATTATTCCTTCAAGGTCCCTGCAACTGCAGGTCATATTTCCTGAACACAGTTCACAAGGATACAACTCTTCTCTGAAGTCTTTGATTTTTGAGGCAGTATCTCACCATCCTGTCACCCAGGCTGGAGTGCAGTGGTGTGATCACAGCTTACTGCATCCTCTACCCCCCAGGCTCAAGTGATCCTCCTACCTCAGCCTCCGGAGTAGCTGGGACTACAGGCATGCACCACCATGCCCAGCTACACCACCACATCCAGCTGATTTTTTAGTTTTCTGAAGAGAAGAAGAGGCCCACTTTTTTACCCAGGTTAATCTCAAACTCCTGGGCTAAAGTGATGCTCCCACCTTAGCCTCTCAAAGTGCTAGGATGACACGTGTGAGCCAACATGCCCAGCCTCTTCTCTAAATTCTTAAAGCATCCTTAAAGTGACTGAACTCAAACTTCAGAGATCTGGCCAGTTTGTGGCAGGGTTGGTTCTAGAACCCAGGACTGTTTTCTTACCAGACCCTGCCTCAGTTCTGGGAGGAGGTGGTCAAATATAGCATGAAGGGAAAACCAGATCTGGAGGGTGAAGAAGGTAAATTCAAAGATGCCTGAGGTTTTGAACTTGAGTGGCTTACAAAATATGGGGAGCCCACATTAAAGGAAAGGTAATGAGTTTCACATTAAACCTGCTGAGTTTAAAATGATGGCAGAACATCAAATCTATTGGGCCTGGATAGATCAAGATTCTTGGAATGATAAAGGCTAAAATCTCTGTGAAAAGGGCAGGAATGTGTAGAATGATAGACGTTTTAACCTTGGTGATGTAGGAAGTTTAAAGCTTGATTCAGTGGTCTAGGTGGTGAGGAACGTTGGCAGATGTGCCGAAGCCTGTAAGAGTGATAGGGGAGGAAGTGCCAAAGACTCTGCTTCCTCAGTAGCAACTGTGGCCTTTTCATTTGAAGCAATCCTTTCCCACCCAGTCCCACCCTATAAGTCAGGTCAAAGGTCAGCAAACTATAGCCCACAGGGCCAGTTCTGGCTCACTGCCTGTTTTTGGTCAATCCTGAGAGCTAAGAATGTTTCTTTTATTTTTCAGTGGCTGAAAAAAAAATATTCCATGATGTGAAATTTAAATGAAATTCAAATTTCGGCATCCATAAAGTTTCACTGGAACACAGTCATACTCATTTATATATTGTGTATAGTTTCTTCACATTACAATAGCAGAGTTGAGTAGTTGCAACAGAGACCATATGGCCTGCAAAGCCTAAGATATTTACTATGTGGCTCAGAAAAATTTTATTGATCCTTGTCTTAGGTCTTTAAAGGTTTAGGCATCTGAAGATGGCTTCTGATCCTTAGCATTCCCATCTGTTCATCCATTCATCCATGTACCCAGCCAGATAGACATCTAATATTTATCAAATGTGTAGTATGTGAAGTTCTAAAGAGTTGCAAGACTGAATCCCAGCCCTCAGTACCAGTGTTATATAGCAGAAAGAATGTGGCATTCAATTGGAGATGTATAGGTTGAATATCCCTTATCTGAAATGCTTGGGACCAGAAGAGTTTCAGATTTCAGATTTTTTTTTTAATTTTGGATTATTTGTATTATACTTACTAGTTGAATATCCAAAATCTGAAAATTCAAATTCTGAAATGTACCAATGGGCATTTCCTTTGAGCATCATGCTGGTACTCAAGAAGTTTCAGATCTTAGAGCATTTCAGATATCGGCTTTTTGGATTAGGAATACTCAACCTGTACTTTACTGGGTTGTTGAACGCTGAGTTTCTAGTATCCTTAGGTTCCTCCTCAGAGCGGTTTTCCTCAGGGACCAGCCTGGGGTTGGAAGAGGGATTAGTCTTTAAGATAAGAATAGGACTGAAACTGTAGCTGTCAATCCAGGGGTTGTAGTTAAGTGAAAAAGAAAGGTTGCTGAGATTGGGAACAAGGCTGAGTTTGAGGGGCTGTGGCTTTTGTCTGGCTGGTCAGGGCTTGTTTCTTCCACTAGGCCCGTACTATGATTTTCATGAGCCTCAGGTGCTTTTACCTTTTTGGATACCTTCTTACATTAAAAAAAAAAAATAGTTTAGGCATGGTGGCTTACATCTGTAATCCCAGCACACTGGGAGGCTGGGGCCAGAGTATTGCTTGAGCCCAAGATTTTGAGACTAGCCTGGGCAGCATAGTGAGACCCTTTCTCTACAAATAAAATAAATTAAGTAATTAGGAGTGGTGGCAAACACCTGTAGTCCCAACTACTCAGGAGGCTGAGGCAGAAGGATCTCTTGAGCCCAGGAGTTTGAAGTTACAGTGGGCTATGATCACACTACTGCACTTCAGCCTGGGTGAGAGAGTAAGACTCTATCTCTAGGGAAAAAAAAAAAATCATAAAAGCTAAAAATGTTATGACTACATTGCTATCAATATAAGCTAGTCTGAGCTCATATTTTTTCTGATTTAAGAAAATTAGCAGCCATAAAAAAGGATGAGTTCATGTATTTGTAGGGACATGGATGAAGCTGGAAACCATCATTCTCAGCAAACACAGGAACAGAAAGCCAGACACTGCATGTTCTCACTCATAAGTGAGAGTTGAACAATGAGAAAACATGGACACAGGGAGGGGAACATCACACACCGGGGCCTGTTGGGGGTGGGTGGGGGGCTGGGGGAGGGATAGCATTAGGAGAAATACCTAATGTAGATGATGGATCGATGGGTGCAGCAAACCACCATGGCACGTGTATACCTGTGTCACAGACCTGCACGTTCTGCCCATGCATCCCAGAACTTAAAGTATAAATAAGAATTAACATTTTTGTGGGCTTCTAGGAGTATTGTATGCCATAGGCACTGTGCCTACTATGCTTAACTGGATAAGCCTGCCCTGGTTGGAGCTGTAAAATACAGACTTCTGGTGGAGAGGGACCCCCTGCAGCTCAGAGACATGGTTCCTGTGCCTGGCAGCTTAGCATAAACCCCTCCCATGAAGTTCTGAGTTACACAGAGTTTCCAGATCTGTGAACTGCATTAATGTCTCCTGCTTTAGCTTAAGTTCCGTACATGGCTGGCTTCCTTAATAGACTTTATTGTTGTTTAAAAACATCTTTGGTAATAGAGATCATTGATGGACTTTATATTAGATAAAGATGATTCTAGGCATCTATTATAATATGTATCGCATGTTCATATATATTGGATGCATCCCTACTGGAGCAGCACAATATACTTTAGACCTAAGATTCTAATAGCTTCACATATGAAGGACAACTTGGTTCTGCACCAAGTACAACCGATGTAGACACTAACCTTGTCCCCTCTCATTTTCTATATATAATTTTGATATGTACTTTGAAGAACAGAAATCTGAGGCCATTTTTTTAATTATCTGTAGAAAATGCTATCTTTTTATGTGGGGAGAAATGGAAGGTGGGGAGAGTATTTCTGATATCATTTTTCATTCAAAGCAGTGGCCCTATTTTGGCTGTAATACACTTAGATGGGATCCTCTATCACTCCGCAGCCTGATTTGCTGACACTCCAAAACTCTGAAACACACAAATATCTACACTCTGCAGCAAGTGCTGTTGCTGTACCTGCCTCAGCCCACTCTGCCTTAGCCTTGACTGTTTATCAGCAGGGAGTGCACTTGCCAAGTCCCTGTGCACCACTGCTAATCTTCTCCCACCTTCCCACTTTGTTTCTGATTGATTTCTTGGAAAGGCAATTTCAGGATGTGAACAGTTAAGGAAATATGGAGTTAATGTGGGACAATATTTTGGTTTCCTCTGAAGGTATACCAACTTCAGGGAAATAGATCCCTATTACACTGTTACCAGGAGTACAAATTATAACCATGGTTTTGAAATACCATTTAGAAATGGTGTTGTAAGCCTTTGAAGTGTAAATGCTTCTTTTGACCACAGTAATTCTACTTTTAAGAACACACCTTAAGAAAATAATCTTGGACATATGCGAATTGTTTAGTTTGGGGTTGGTGACAGTGAAAATTTAGAAATAGTCTGTATGACTAATAGGATACTGATTAAATAAATGCTGTTTCCATAGTAAAATACCATTTAGCCATTAAGATAATGTCGTAGATATCTAAATGCATAGAAAATATGAAAAATATTGAAAAGTAGAAAGATTTCTGCAAACCAACACAGCATTATCTCAAGTTTGTTTTAAAATTTTAAAAGAATATATGTATATTTATGCATACAAAAAATATGTAGTACAATATTAATCATTATTATCTCTGGCTGGTGAGATTATGAGTTATTTCATCTTTCCATTGTATTTCTGACTTTCCATATTTTCTACAATGTACACTGATGCTTTTATAATCACAAATAAAAATGATTTACTTTAAAATGCAGCATCTGCACAGAAGTAGAAAGCTGCCAGCTAGGTCTTCAACCCAAGCCAGAGAGGAGATAGTCATGGTGAAACCCCGTATCTTCCCACTATCTTCTGCATGGTATTTCCATTAGGAGTGCTTTCAGCTATGAGTAACAGAAAGTCTTAGCAGTTGAATAGTCTGTAGAAATATTAATTTACCTATCACGTCTGGAAGTACGCAATTTCGGGATTGGCCTAGAGATTCAACTGTTATCACTTTCCATCTTTTTATTCTGCTGTCCTTAGAGTGTTGGATTTTCATCCACATGCGTGTCCCCACATGGTCTCAAAACGGCTGCACTCTCACTTTCACAATCAAGGCAACAGGAAGGAGGAGGGGGCTATACTGGCATGTCTGGAAAGCAAGCCTTTCTGGGGCAAAGGAGAGGGGGCTTGGGTATCACTATTGTATAAGCCAGTCGGAAATATTGGCCACAGGTGAGCAGGGCCTATTCTGTTGAGACGTATCATAGGCTGATTATTATTTTTCTCATTCCAGCTTCATTAGGCTTATAGTTAGGAAAAATTCTTCCACCATTCTGGCAGAGTTGTTAGTTTTAGTCGGTGTGAGGTTTTCTTTCTCTGTCTTTAGGGGAGTTGGGAGTGGATACATCAGAGGGTACCATGCAGAAGACACTTGAAACGGAGTTCCTTGATTTTCAAACATTCACATCCTTTATTTCATATAAGAATGTGAGGTAAGTATATATGGTTAATAAGTATGAAGCTATTCTGTGAATTTTATATATGATGAAATTGAGAACAAGAGACTATTAATAAATGATAAAGAAGACAGGTGACCACAAGTCAGGATATATTTGTGATGCCCAAAGATAACTAGCAATGAGCTAGGCACAGCACAGCAAGTTCTTAGTACTTGTTCCAGGTCAGACCTGTTACTATTGAGTTTGATTCTATTATCTAGTCTAAGAGTAAAAAAGCATTTAAGAAGTAAAAGACAGAGTATCCAGAACACATTTTGGGAATCCAAGAACTTTGATTTCACTGTGGATATAACCATCTCAACCCCTGCCTTTCTCTTGTGTGAATATTCCCTTAAGTAATTTAACCTTATTTCCCTATCTGTAAAATGGGAATTATTTTGTATACAGTTTGCCTTGCTAAGAGTTATTTGAATTAATTTGTTAATGTGCATAAAAGGCTTTTTGAGATGAAAAGTGCTAGGCATTGCTATTCGTTCTTCTAATGATGTATTTAGTGTATAATGGTTAAGCCTCTGAAACAAAACACTGATAAAAGGTTGAAATTCTCTAATAGGCATCACTTAGCTGATGATGTTGCTAGCTAAATGGCCATGAGTCTATTTTAGTATTCTCTCAAGTGAAATTAATTCAGAAAATAAAAATTAAATGAGTTTCACTTAGAAGTGTACTAAATTTAGTGATAGAGTTTACCTGACCAGCAGGTTTTGAATATTCAAGCAGCAAGATTTTACATTGTGTCAGTATCACCTTTGCTGTATTATTTAATTCATTCTAGCTTTATAATCCTTATTGCTTTCCCATTATTTCCTACCAATAACTATTATTGAATAAATTATTCTTCATATGTGTTGCTAGATTTTTCAACCAATGCTTCAACATTTATGAACTGCCTGTCTGCACAATATAAACCCCTTTATCATGCTTATCGTTACATATGGCAATGAAATTTTTCCCAGTAGTTTCGTATGTATATATTTCCTCCCTAACTGCAAGAACAGAAACTACCTCCTTTATGTTCTTTGTAAGTCAGAAACTTATTAATTTAACAAACATAATATAGCCTTCTATGTTTATATAAACAGACAAAAAATTAACATTACACCAATATCTTAATATCATTTTCAAAGCATTTTTAACCTATTCATTTGATCTTCACTAGGGTGTTATTCCTATTAAAAAATCTACATTGTGTATATGTATACAGTTTTTTCCTTGCCAAATGGAAAAAAATTCTAACCAATTATGATTTGTAAGGCCTTTAGAGAAACATGAAATATTTTCATAATGTTACTTTCATTTTTTTCCCATGCTTAAAATAACAAGATAAGAATATTTGGGAGAAAGCAGGCCAGAGAGATTAAAGGATATGCCTAAAGTTGTATGCTATTTGGTAAACAGAATGAGACCAGAACTTCAGGAAAGTCATTCTACATCAGTACAAATATTGGAGGTGGACATTCTTCTTCAGTGGAAAAGCAGCCTGGAGGAACCAAATAGTCTTTTAAAAAAACACTTTTTCAAGTGCAGGAAATCATCTTATCAGTGACCATGGAGCAGCCCCCAAGCCAAGCATGATCTCTTTATAAAAATAACCAAGGCCTACTCCCTACTCTTCAGTGGCTTTGTGACTTGTAGGTGAGACACACACTTACATAAGTTCCTGCAAATCAATGGAGACTGTCCTTTGGGAAATCTGATAAAACCACATTTCACTGTGCCTGTTCAGCCTGTGGGAGTGGGGATGGAAGCAGGAAGTGGGAAGAAGAAAACTTTTAAGGAGAGTAAATCATATCAATGAATAGAAATAAAAAGACACCAATAACTTTATGTAAAACTAATTAGCACTTATTTCATTAGACTGTAATTATCTGAGTGTCTGTCATTACCACCAAACACTGAGCTCCTCATTGCCATAAACCATTTTGTGGCAGACACTGCTATTTGGACACTGAAATTCATTCTCTCATTCCTGCTTAGCCCCACAAGCCTGACTTTTGGTTAGATAAGTGGCACCAGAATAAAGTCTATGTCTCCCAGCCTTTCTTGCAGCTAGGTATGTGACTGAGTTCTGACAAATAGGATATGAGCAGAATTGCTGAGAGTTCTGAGAAAAACTCCTTTAATCTTTCATCCTGCTGCCTGCGATACAGGTGGCAGCTGATGTTTCAACTGTCTTGGACTGTGAGATAGCCTTGAGGGTGAAAACCAAAATAGGAGAGAAAGGACTCTGGGGTTTTTTGATAATTCTTTGGAATCATCCCCTGAGCTGACTTCAGTCTTAATTTACACAAAAGAATAAACCTGAGTGTATTTAAGCCGCACAGTTAAGTTTCTGTCAATAGTGGCTGAAACAAAGCCTCACCAATATACATCACATCTGTGTATTCCCAACAGACAGTATGGTGCCTACATTGGTAGTTGCTCAAATTATTTGCACTTTAAATTTAATTATTTAAACCTTCCTTATTTTAAAAAGAATTAAAGACAGGATGCTAAATAAATGGCTGCAACAGTTGAAATTACACCAGTTACCAGGAAGAAGATAAAGACCAAATCAGGAAAACAAACACAAGAATGAAAAATCAGTCCTCAAGATATAAAATCATAGAAATTACACACAGAAATGTAAAGGCGACATTACTCTTTTGCTAAGGAATAAAATCTGGCAACATGATTTTAAAAGTATCTTAAGACAGAAAACAAAATAAAAAATTGTGAGTAAATAATTGGCTCTACATATGAGTTGCTAATACATTAAAGGACAAAAATCAAACTCAAAATGATAGTTGAGAATTGATCTATATCAAAGCGGGGAAGGGTTGAGTAATTTATAAAGGAAAGAGGTTTAATTGACTCACAATTCAGCATAGCTAGGGAGGCCTCAGGAAACTTACAGTCATGGCAGAAGGTGAAGAGGAAGCAAGGCACCTTTTTCACAAGGCAGCAGGAAGGAGAAATGCCCAGAAAAGGGGTGGAAAGCCCCTTATAAAACCATCAGATCTCGTGAGAACTCACTCACCATCATGAGAACAGCCTGGGGGAAATGGTCCCCCAGAATTCAATTACCTCCACCTGGTCTCTCCCTTGACATGTGGGAATTATGAGGATTATGGGGATTACAAGTCAAGATGAGATTTGGGTGGGGACACAAAGCCTCACTCAGGAAATCATGCGCAAAATAGGTGCTGGTAACTATGATTTATTCAACAATCACTGACAGCAATTCTTCTGTGCCGGGCACTGTTCTAAACACTTATAAATATTAACTCACTGAATCCACATTATAACCTTATGAGGTAGCTATTGTTGTTATGCCCATTTTTTAGATGGGAAACTGAAGCCCAGAGTGATCATATTACTTGCCCATGATCACATAGTAGGTGGGGGAGCAGGATTTTACCCAAAGACCAACGTTTTTAAGATGAAAAGTGTTGGGCATTATTATTAGTTCTTCTAAAGTATACTTTAGGGCATAGCATACTGATGGGCAGACCAGCTTCTTGGCTCCTTTAAATCTACTTCACATTTTGAAATTATGGAGAAAGAAAGAGAATCTGGAAAGGACCCAGAAATAGGTTAAAAGAAAAGTCATAGGATGAAAAAATGGATCCCTGAGTAAAACGCAAAGTTGCTGTGTTTTAGAGAAGAGAAGATACCAATGAATTTTAACCTCCAGTGAGAGTGTGGTCAGAGGAAGGACAGAACTGCTTGATTGTGATAGCTATAAAGGAAGGTGTTGGAATCCGTGATCCTGATGGTTCTTAAAATAAGGATAGATGATGTAAAATATATTTGCAGCAATGTGGATGGAACTGGAGTTCATTATGTGAAGTGAGTAAGCTAAGCACAGAAAGACAAAGATAGCACGTTCTCACTCGTGTGAAAGCAAATAGATGGAGTTCATGAAGATAGAGTAGACTGGTGGTTATCAAAGGCTGGGAAGGGCAGAGAGAAAAGGTATGAAGAGACATTGATTAATGGGTACAAATATACAGTTAGACTTAGTGTTTGATAGATCAGTAGGGTGACTCTAGTTTACAGTGATCTGGTGTACATTTCAAAATAGCTATTACGTTGGTGCAAAAGTAATCACACCACTTTGCCATTAGTTATAATGTGATATTAAAATCACATTACATTACTTTTAATGTAATGGCAAAATGGTGTGACTACTTTTGCACCAGTCTAATAGAGAATAATTTGAATGTTCCTAGGAGAAAAATAAATGTTTAAGGTAATGGATATTCCAGTTACCCTGATTTGATCTTTACATATCATATGAATGTGTCAAAATGTCATTCGTACCTTGAAAATACATATATCTATCATGTATCAATTTCCAAAGATTAATTTAGAAGATTTTATAAGATATATATATATCACTTCTTTCATATATATTCTTCTGAATTGATACTTATAATTCACATAAGTATATGTAAATTCTGAATGCCTTCTCTGCCTTTTTCTCCTTGTCTTCCTGGAGACACTTCCTTATCTTCCATGATTTTGCTCCGAGAATATTCCCTGTTGAGGCTCCCTAACCTTCCCTCTGTCTCTTCCCAAGTGCAGTTGACTCGGGGTGGGGGGGTGCTTAAACATTTTTAGCCATTTTAGACACTTGTATTTGGGCTATTTTCCCACTGTGTTTGCAATTAATTGTTCACAAGCACGCAGCCCTCAAACAGGCTATGTATGAGCTTCCTAGGGCAGAAACCACCCAACATAGTGATAGGCACATGCTTGGCACTGAAGAAAAACTTGCTGAATGAAAAAATGAATGAACAATTAACTAACCATATGCTATAGGAGAACTAGTGTAATCCAGAGGGGGCAATATCATTTTACAAATGCATCTTGAAATTTGACAATGATGACGTGAACACACAGATTCCACTGTCCAGGAACAATATCCAAAATAGAAACCGAAGCAAAGTGTTAAGAAAATAGACGAGGTGTTAACAATTATTTTTTTCTTTGGAAAAGTCACCTACTAACCTTGCAAGAGGCATCATTGTTGATTCATTGAGCTTTGCCCTCAAAAAGGTAAAGAAAACATCCCTAGCACAGTACTCAAAACAATAGGAAGACGAAAAGCAGTGGGAAATTTGGCCTTGCCCTTCACAGTTCCCTCGAGAATTTTTAGTTCTATTGTGAAGCCTTAGTACTCTGGCTATGACCTCTGTGTACTCCAAGATTGGGGCAGCTTTGCACATAGCTTATGGATTAAACCCTTGGGACCATCCTATAGCCTGAGCTTTAACTGGTGTCAAGAACATGCACCCAAACCTGCATATTCTTTTCTTTTGCTTTACAGGGGATGGGGACTCCTTTTTAAACCGAAGCTTTAAAAGAGAGTAGCTAGAATTTATGCTGAAGTGGAGTAACAGGCCTTTGGAGCTGAGCAGTGTCCTAATGCAGGTGAAAAGCATGTATTGATTACTTAAAGAAAGTTAAAATAAAAGCAATTTTTCTCCCCATTTCGGCACATTGCAGCTTTTGGCCTATCCACTCATAGCTAAAAAAGCATTCTTTCCTGATAATCAAGCTTCAGCTGTCTGAATTTCAGGCTGAGCCTCTCCTCCTGAGCTCTGCTGAAGAGCTGCTTTAATTAACCATTATACCACAGATGTTATTGATTTTTTTTTCAAATCTGGTTGAAACATCATTGTGCTGGATCATGGCCAAAACTAAGGCCTGAATTTGTGTGTGTGCGCTGCTTTTACTCCTTCTGCATACCTTATTAGTCTCCATGTCTGTTAAGTGCAATCCTTAGTATTAACTCAGAAAATATAGAATTGATTTTTAGCCTAGCAGCCGTGATCTAAGGGCTCCTAATTTGAAATCTGAAAACCTCAGTTGCTGAGGAAGTCTTTCTGCTGTTACTCTACACTTCCTTGAAGTAAGCTTTTTATTCTTTAATTTAAAAAAGAAATCTCCCTCTGCCTTTTACTTCTTTTTCTTTCACACACATACATTTGGAAGTTTCAAGGGAACATGAACATCTCTTTGCATTTTGAACGTGTTTGTCGTGAAAGGCCCCAGAGGCTTATTCTTCCCTGCCCTAAATGTTTGACCTGCAATGTAGATTGTATAAGATTTTGAAATTGAAGTGTCTTTAACACTTTCCATATTTTGAAGGGAAATTTGGAAGAACTTGAACAGCATTCACTTTGAGCAAATTGCAGGATATCAGAAACAACGGGGCATCTGCCTTCCTTTTACAATCCACCTTCCAGTGGGATGATAAACTCAAGGACCAAACAATCACAGTAGGTTCCTAAATTCTGATAAGGTTTCTGTGAGTTTAGTGATACATTCTTTAAATGTAATTTGAAGCTTTTAAAATACTGTAATGGCAGCTCTTGACCTTTAAAAATCACATGGAGCAAGAGGTGGTGAAAAATGTTTATTTACTCTGCATTAGTGGCTAACCTCCTGTTCCTTCCTAGAACCAGTAGTTCTTTTATACTCGGGAACTCACGCATGTCACCCTCATTCTTCCAACACGAACCAGACAGGCCCACTTGAGCTGGAGAAACAATGGCCTGTAGCCGGTCCTATGCCTCAGTGCGAAACAACAATGCAGGCCTCTTGACGAATTCTGGCGTCGCGAGTGGAATCTTGCAGTTCAACATGTCTGCTGAACAGAAGTTGGAAAAAGAAAAGATCATCTTGTAAACAATTAATTAATGTTTGTCATGAATTATCATTTTTACTTCCTTCTCAAGAGGCTCAAAGGGAATAAAAAGGCATTTTTGCAGGTGGTGGCATTCAAACTAAGGGCAATCAAAGGTTTGAGAGCTGAGGCACAGCACTCTGAGTCTCTAAGGGTGAATGGTGCTAGGATTAGAGCACAGCAGGGGGTTGAGGGCTTCAGGTGTGAAGCTTAATGTTTGTGATCAGCAAAAAAAGTCTTGAATTTATCTAAACTGCTCTTCTGCTAACAGTACTTCTAGCACATAAATGTTCTGAAACTGACAAGTGTTCTCATTGCTCTTCTAATGCAAACATGATCTGCATTTGAAAGATGCATCCCTTTTGCCTAATTTAGAATGTGCATCACAAAGAGCGTTAGATGATGACCCCACAAAGAGATACACACACACACACACACACACACACACACACACACACACACTCCATGCTGCATGCACATACACACATGAAAACTGTCTCTTTCTGGCCTAGATCTTCTCTGAAGCTCCCAGGAAGGATCCTGCAAGATTGTTTTTCTCCAGATTCCTAAACCAGAGGTTGAGAACTAGGGGCCTCAATAGCCATCTGACCAGTGAATTCCTCTGATCTTCTACATGAATAATTCCTTTTAATTTGGTTTGGATAACTGTCTAGAATTTATCGTGCTGCATTTTCATTTGCAATCTTCCCTCTGCTTCTCCCAGCATTGAATTCTATCAGTAGCAAGATATTGAAGAGTATCCAATATATGTAAAAATTTTAAACACACACACCACCAATATTAAAATTTCCTAAGGAATTATGACTAATATTTGCAACCCCTAGAACCAATGATCTTGGCAGGCATTGTTGATAGAGGTTGCTAAGTCCATATAAATACATCTGATGGTTTAATGAATCCTCTCCGTAATCAATTGTTGAACTCTAATTAAATACTCATTTTCTTTCTATATCATCAATAGAGGTCACCTACTAGGAGAGCTCTAAAGGAAATACTAAGTTAAAGATTATGAGATATCACTTAGTGAAAATGAGTCATAGGCAAAACTTAGAAGGACCAATATGAATCTTAGCCTTGAGTTACTTTTTAATCTAACCTTCCCAAACTCTCTCCTATCCCGTAGTACCCACCCATTTTCTTTTCTGCATTCACATTTCCTATTCCCTGTAGTATTCACCTGAAATCATGCAATAAACACAGGTTATTGGGGCATGAAGCCTGGAGGCCCTGAGGGATCCAGGATGACAAAGGAAATGTAGGCACAAACTTGCCTCCTTTTGTCTTGACTCTTTTGGAGCTATTAAGTCAAGTGATGCTCTGAGGTTTATAGTCACCATCCTAGACCATGTCGTGGGATTTTCCCTTGAATCCCAGCATGTAGTACAAACATGTGGGCTTAAACTTAGGAAAAAAAAACCCAGAAGCTAGAGAAGAGTTTGGGCAAAATGGGCCAAACTAGAATATTATCAGCTCAGGGACATGAAAGGAGAGTTAAAAAGTTTAGAAGAGGAAGGGATCTGGGAGGAAAGAAGGTGAGCAGAACCCCTGAGATGGAATAGACAGAAAGGAACACCTTTCCTGAAATTCCTGGCAGCTCTAGTTTGTTAACATCTAAAAGTGGATAAAATGACTTACCAGAAAAAGTAAATTAGTTTCTCAAAACTACTAAAACTCTTCAAACCTAGAGATCTACTTATTTTCTGTGGTTCCCCATTTTTTGTAAAGATGTTAAAATCCTATTAAAAGCCAAATGCCAACTGCTGTAGAATTATGTAGAAAAAAACAGCGAAAAGAAAGTAGCAATGGATATGGTGAAACTGAAAAAGACTGGAGTTCATGACACTCTCTATACCCAAAGGTATACTCCAGATTTATTACAGGTACACTGAGGTTGTTTCTAAGTCCCAGGATTCTGGACCTTGGTTAGGGTGTGTGGCTCTGCCTGTTGGTCTACCCTATGTCCACATCGTCTCTCTGAACCTGCCTAACTTTCCCTTGCCCCCTTGCTGAACAATGCTCTGCATGTGGCCTTGTCTCTAGGACAGATCATATGACTGGGGGCAGGAGGTTCCCCTTTCTTCCCTGCCACATGCTGCTCTTCATTCTTACTTTGGATGGCTAAGATAGCATTCACTGGGGCTTGAGGGGAGGGGGCTGAAAAGGTCTCAAATGAGTGAAAAATTGAAAGCCTATGTGGCTTTTATTGGTATTGGATCAATTGGTCTAGATCTAACTGGAAAATGTTTTACTGTAGGGTGAATTTTACAAAATTATGAACATTTAGCTTTAAAATAAATGGCATTGATTAATCCAGTCATTACAAATATGTGCAAAGTTGGTATCAGCCTAACACACTCCCCCTACCAGGAAAGACACAGACTGAAACATAGATGGCAATGGTTTTCACATTCTTTAAGTGTAAACAATTAGATTCCCCCAACAAGTGTTTAGCTGCAAGTTGCATTAACCCAAAGCAACAAGGAAGAGTTTCAAGGAGTAAAAACAAAGAATAGTTTTAAGGAGTATTACTAGGAATATATCTTCCTTCTACAGCAGAAAAACTAGATGGGGGGAAGTCCTCCTATAGATTGCTAACGAATGCCTCCCCCAACCACCCAAGAAGGAGTTGTTGATGGAAAGAATTAAAAATTGTGACCACTTGAACGGCTCCACTGGTTGGATCTGTCTTTTCCAAAGAGACTGATCTTTCTAGGACTTCTGTCTGCGTGAGAGGTCCCACCCACCCTGCTACCATTTTAAGGAGACCTGTGAAAGCCTCCTTATTTGGCTTCCCTCCTACTCCCCCCGTTATGCCACCACTGTGTGCTACTGCTTGAAATTAATCAAGGGCCCCTTCTGGGAAAGGGATTCCTCTTTGAGAGAAACGGAACTGGACACTTCTCTGCCTTCCGCGTCCCCTCGCCCTGCCAGCCCCTGCTCCCCAAAGCTCCCCAGACAAAGCCCCAGGACTCCCGACTCCCGCGGAAGCTGCGAGGAGCCGCAGACCTGCCCTTGCCAGACAGCTGCTGTTTGAACCCAGTTCTGACCGTAAAATCAAAAGTGGGTCCGAGGGAAGCGGTAAACACTGTGCAATGAGCCTTTTGAAGGCAGCTGATGCCTCATTTGGGGTGACATGTTGTGGCTGATGAGTGTGGATGATGTGGGGTTTTCGATAAGTGCCTCATCAGTATCCTCATCATGCTCGTGTTGCTCCGCCGCGGCGTGTGCCCTGACTTGATTGTAATTGCCCGAATCTGCTCCCGCTGCTCAGGCGCGCACAGTAATATGCAATAAAACAGCAAGAAGTGAATGTTAACCATCTGAGTTCTGACACGGCGGCTCTGCAGTTCAAGATCTCCATTAAGACCGAAAAAAAAAAGAAAAGAAAAAAAGGAAAGAAGGAATCAGAAAATTCCCAGGGTCTCCTTCTGTGATCCAAGGGAAAGTCCAGAAATTAAGGAGCTGTTTGTTTAGTCTTCTTAGGTCCTCACAGGTAGAAACTAACAGGTAGTTTGCTAGTGTTTATTTATTTATAATTATTTTTTTTTTACATCCCAGGTGTCGCTGCCCTTGCTGCTTAACTCTAATAGCAGGCACCGCTGCAGCACTTGCCCAGGTGTGGAGGGTGGTCCAGGTCTTCAGGGGAGGCAGAGACCCTCCTCGCCCCAGTCTGTCAGTGTCCTCCGTAAGCCTTCGGTTGTTTCAGGTGCTAAATATGTAAGATCCAACTTTTCAGCGAACTCAAAGAGGCAGACACCTGAAGCACTGCTTCATCAAATCACTCACTGCTTACTGGCTTGGTTTTCAACTTCGCTAACATGCAGAGTGACCTAAATGGTCTCTTCCGTTCTTTCCACAATGACCACACACCTACGGAGGTCGCCTTCTATACTTTGAATTAAACCTGCTAGTGTCAGGGACATCGGGAGAACCAACTTCTGGAAACTGAGCTGGTCCCCAGGACTGTGTATTTAGTTTTCAACTGTAAGAAAAGGAAGTCTATCTGGGAAAGGAGACCTGAGGTGAGCGTGGAGTGATCACCTTTCCTTTCTCAGATGAAATATTTTAAATGAGGGTGCAGTTTTTTTTTTTTTAATAAGGTAATTTTCTTAAGTAAAGTTAGACTTTGTACAGCCTGGATTTCAATATAGATCTGATGATAAATATGCACACTTGAAAATCTAATTTCCACATTATAAACCTACTTTTCTTAGCCTTATCCTCTCCCCTTTTCTCCCTGGAATGAACCATAATTGCTTATCCTTTTGTAGGTAACAGCTACTATCCAACCCATTGTCTACTTAGGAGCATTTCTTAAAGCGTCTCAAAGAAAATACCATATTCTTTGCCGTTTCCTGTTAATTGAGTTCTTTCGGAGCCAGTGGCGTGGTAACTTCAGAATGAGATTTTAATTACATATGGAAACTTTACCATTGTTTTTCATTTTAAAGAAAGTAGGGTTTGCTCAAAAGTATTCTTTTTTTCTCTCCCCATTTCTGGTAGCAACGTCTTTTCCGAACTTTACAAATGCTGTTTGTTTGGACTCTGGGTTTTCTTCTTGCTTAAAAAAAAGCCTCACATCTAAAACTAATCAATTCGGCCTGCACTCCCACTTGGAAACTCCTATACAGATGGAGTCTCATTAACTGTTTGAATATCTGTATCAGTAACTGTTCAAGAGAAACAATTCCAGCCCACATGGATAATTAATGGAACCCTTCACAGGAAAATACCATTTTTTTTTTTAATTTTAGATGGAGTCTCACTCTATTGCCCAGGCTGGAGTACAATGGTGTGATCTCGGCTCACTGCAACCTTCTCCTGGGTTCAAGTGATTCTCCTGCCTCAGCCTCCCGAGTAGCTGGGATTACAGGCATGAGCCACCAGGCCCAGCTAATTTTTGTATTTTTAGTAGAGACAGGGTTTCACCATGTTGGCCAGGCTGGTCTCGACCTCCTGGCCCCAAGAGATCCTCCCACCTCAGCCTCCCAAAGTGCTGGGTTTACAGGCATGAGCCACTGCACCTGGCCAAGACCATCTCTTTTAGTAACTACCTGGTCTTGCTTAGCAAACCAGTCAGGTTAAACTTCCTCCTGCCTGGGCTAGTCCTTCCGAAAAGCAGCCAGAAAGCTCCTCTTCATATGTAGCGAGTGACTGTATGTAACTGCCTCCCTACAACTGCTGCAGGCCACCAAGTCTTGCCTAAATTCCTGGTAGGTTCAACTTGAATCTTGGGTGGACACAAGAAGAGAATGAAATCACCCTGTGGCTGCTACCCTCAATAATGCCATAGGCGGCAGCCTTTCTCTTCACCCCAAGGACATGCCTCTCTCTGATAAGGATGTCCTTATCCATCATGTGTTATAAGGCAAGATTTACTCCTGAGTGGTTGGATCAAATTCCCATGTGGGGTTATCCCATTCCAGCTTTAAAAATTGCCCCTTGCAAATTCAGGTAGAGAAAACCTTTCCATTTACTTCCTGCCTTAAGCAGGTGTGCAGTGTTAGCAGCACTATGCTTTCACACAGCTGTTGCTTTTTATCCAAGAAGCGGCTGCATTTCAGAGGTGGGTGCTTCCAGAATAGAGTTCTGGCTCTTCTAATTAACTTGGCATTCTATTGCAGTTCATAGAATACGTTCCCTTAACAGGTGACATACAAATGAAGGATTTTTAATATCTTAAAGACAGACACATTAAATGAATACAATTTTAAAAGAGATTTTAAAAAGCTAAAACAATAATAATTGTATCAGAAAAGC
The DNA here is from genome assembly GCF_000001405.40 of Homo sapiens. Taxonomy (NCBI): domain Eukaryota; kingdom Metazoa; phylum Chordata; class Mammalia; order Primates; family Hominidae; genus Homo; species Homo sapiens. The sequence continues at coordinate 36,275,132 of NC_000014.9, forward strand.
AAAAATGGATAAACAATTTCAGTGAAAGTGTGAGGACCTTAAATCAGTGTAAGTGTGCACTCTGGGAGGAAAGATGTTAAACCAGGAAATATTATTAAATGCAGCCAGGACCCTAGCAAATTTCTTCTCAGAAACTGATGTTTGTGTCTTCTTTTAAAAATCAAAAATTGATTTTAAAGAATGTACAAAGGAGTAATAAGTAATTTAAAAAATATATTGGTACACAGTAGGTTTTTAAGATTCTGTCCTTAACTAATGTCCATCCATTTTATATGCTAGCCTAGAGAATTAGTAAATTGAAAAGAAAGGTATACAGAACTTTGATACAGAATATCTATGTACTTTTATATTCATTTAGGTATTTGCATGTGCACACACAGTGTATATTCACATAAATTTGAAGTAAAGATTTGCAAAAGTTTGTTCCCAAAAATAGTTCTCTATTGTAATTAAGAAAGAATATGAAAGGAGGAAAATTAATTCTGAAATACCAAGCGCTTTCGTTAAAAGGCAAGTTTAATCAGTAAGAATGCATTTTGGCTTTTATTTTATTTTATTTTTATTTTTATTTTTTGCATAAGTCAGCTTTTAGATAGTGCGTCTTAGTGAACCTGATTGGATTCAGGCTCATAAGTTCCGACGGAATTCTGCACAAGTTGAAGGATGTGCAAAAACTGCAACATCAACAGTTCATTTCAAAAAGATTCCAGAAAAAAAAAAAAAAAAAAAAAACTCCAAACCAAAAAGCAACCCTGTGGTAACATTTCAGCATTAAAAGCTGGGGTTGCCATGGGCACCAGAGAGAAGCTCAGTATAAGGACTGCTGCCTGAGGTTACTGGTGGGGGATGGGCATGCCTAGGATGCACAATATGTGGGGCAGCATCATCAGCTGAATGGTAGTGTCTTCATTCTATGGGGCCCCAAAAAATGCCCCATACTATTGTACTATTGCTGGTCAGCGGAAGACAATGAGTCTATATGCTTGTGATCCTGTGAAGTGAGAAATAACCAAAGCCCTAGAATTTATAGAGAGATAAACTCAAGTTCCTTGGCCAGGCGATATGACCAGGGTTGGAGAGTCAGTTGGTGAGCCCATGTAGCTGCCCACGTCCTAGTCCTTTTCCTGTATGCTGTACCTTAGGGAAGTTATTGGCCACACATCCTTTGAGGATGCAGGTTAGCTTGGGTCAGAATGAACCATAAGATGCAAATACAAACCAAAATTTGGTGAGCTCAATTTGGTAAGCTCAAAACCAGCAAAAGAGTCAGGGAAGGACTCCTTCCATAGTCAAATCTCAAATTTGGGTTTATTCAGGTAAAGCTATAGGGTCGCCTCCATATCCCCAAATAAATCACCCCTCCTGATGGAGGTCCAACTTTCCCGGCAACCTGAACAGACTTTTGGGCCAGAAATAATATGTGTCCTTGGTCTAGAAACACAACCCCGGGGTTAATAAGAGCAATCCAACTTATGACTTCTTATATCCTTTTCCATGAACATTAAAGGTTCTATTCCATAATCATTAAAGAAGGAGCTTTAATGATTAATGGTAAATTGAGAGTAAAAAGTCTGCTAGTCTATTAGTGTCACAAGGAGACTGTCTTAAAGACAATGAAAATGGTGGCTCTTACTGGTACAGCAGAGAAAATGAGCAAATACCCAAGTGTCAATGAATAAGACATTCCCATCTTTCCTAAACTTGGGACAAAAGAGACAAGCAAAGATCTGAATTTTATTCCTTTCTTTTAGCCAATAAGGAGAATTTTAAAGAAAAAGAAATTCATGGAATAAACTAGAAGTGTGCCTCAAGACAGACAAAGGGAATGCAAAATTAAATTTTTGATGTGAAAGGGAAGGCACAATGAAACCTTCTGGATGAGATACCTTTGGAGAAAATTTCAATTTCACTGTTTCTTTTCTTTCAGGCTTGCTTTATTTTTTTCACAGATATGCTCTGTGGAAAGCCTGAAAGCCTTTTTATTATTTCTTATTTTCTTTTTCTTTTTACTATGTGGTACACATTCATTTTTTTTCACTTTCCTCCCAATGTTGAAGCAGTTCCCATTTTCTAGTTTTGTTTCTGACACCTAGCTGTGACCAACAATACCTTCCATTGAATCCTTTATTTCATCTGCTCAGTTTCTCTTATTTCCTCCATCTCTCCTTTTCCTTCACCTCCTCCTTGCCTCTTATTAACCCTCACAGTCCCCAGTATATTGTGATTCTCATAAAGATTTATTTCTTTCTTTTCCCAAGCCTAACCTACTTTTCTACATAAACTCAAGTTTATATCCATGATTCTATCTAACTAAATTCATAAACTCAGCCTTTTTAGCAAACAGGAAATTCATATTAATTTATTATATAGCATATAATTTGGCTTTGTTTTGAGGGTGTTTGCAAGAAGCTATTTTCTTTAGGAGAATGGAGTATATTTTAGTCTAAGCATAGAACAGCATCACCAACAGCTTTCTAATACATTGACTTGCTAAGTCACTGACTTCTTAGGGTCTCAAACACAAGAATAGGACACGATTTAAATGTGACATGATATTCTTTGCCATTTTTTCATATGGCTTTTCTTGTGGAGGAGTGGTGCATATTCCAGTGAGTGGCATTTATGTAAAGAAAACAGATCTTTAGGGAGTTAAAGATATGAGAGATGAACTAAAATTTAAAGTTGCCCGGTAATTTCAGTGTCTTGAGCTTCTAGGCACATGGCAATGACATTTGAGTGTATTCATAATTTTTCACCATGAAAATTCCAAATGTGTGAATGAGAGTTATTTATAATACCCTCCATATTTCAGAATGTGTGCTGTATTTTTCCTCATGTTTATATTTTGATGTTATATTTCTCTGTATTAGGTGCTGAAAAACAAGGGAAAAAATGGTCTTGAAAACAAGGAATCATATTTGCCTGTGGATATGGAAGAGGTAAGCTTTTCTTTAGATAATATAAAGTCAAGTGTGCTTATTTATCAGAAAAAAAGGCTTCATTTATATCTACCAAGAAAGGAATTTTTAAAAACTCATACTTTGACTAAACATTCAGAGCTTACACTGTACTGGAGTCTCTGTAAGTTAAGGAACTTATCAGAAAATTGATGAAAGTAGCAAAATAAAAATCAACAATAGAATTTTTTACAAACATAATCAATTTGGAAATTTCTTTTTTTTTGGTGGTCTTTTCCACTTTGGAAATAAGGCTTAGGGAAAGCACTTTTAATTTTTTTCTCTTTAAAG